>NC_000019.10:46634813-46937843 GCF_000001405.40 Homo sapiens | reverse complement strand
CTGAGGGCTGTATTAATTTTACTAAACCAAAATGTATTATGTATCCACTATAGTACTGAGGACACAATGATAGCACAACCCTCAAGGAGTTCACAGATCTGCAGGGAACACAGGCGGGCAGGCAACTGACAGAGTGCTGATGCTCTGGTGGGTGAGGTAGCACAGAGAAAGCGCCCAAGCAGCCATAGCTGCCACCTTGAGCACAGAACAGCTCCTTCGTAGGCCAAGGCCTAATAAATGCCCAACGACAGCCTCAAAACTGCACACAAATGGAGAATCTACACATCTGACAACTGTTGGGACTGCTCAGCTCCTTCTCCAAGAGCATCTCACAATCAACAACAACTGATTCCAGAATCTCCAGATGGCTTGACCCTCCAGTAAGCATCCTGTAGACAGTGAAAGTTATAAACTGCTATGAGGTAATACTCTTACCTGTGGCTTCAATGTACTCAATACATCTTTCAATAAAAATGGGGATCGGCTTCTCTGGAGTCACGACAGTTGTTAAGGGCACCCCAAAATAGTTACTCTCCCAGGTTGCCTTTGTGATGGATGGCCGGGGTTTGGGCTTTGGTTTCTGTCCAGGAAAGAGAAAGGGAAGCACAAAAACAAAGTGAGTATCAACATGTAACTTAAACATCAGTAAGGCTTCCAGAAGGGAAGCAGTGGTATAAAAACTGCTAGAAAGAATGTCAAGAAGTGGCTGGATACGGTGACTCATGCCTGTATTCCCAGCACTTTGGGAGGCCGAGGCGGGTGGATCACCTCAGGTCAGGAGTTTGAGACCAGCTTGGCCAACATGGTGAAACCGTGTCTCTACTAAAAACACAAAAATTAGCCAGGCGTAGTGGTGGGCGCCTGTAATCCCAGCTACTTGGGAGGCTGAGGCAGGAGAATTGCTTGAACCCAGGAGGTGGAGATTGAGGTGAGCCGAGATTGCGCCACTGTATTCCAGCCTGGATGACAGAGTAAGACTCAAAAAAAAAAAAAAAAAAGATTTCAAGAAGGATTAAAAAGATTCGCTTGGCTCATCTCACTACTTTTAATTTTCTATCTTCTGGCCTCTGAATACCACACAGGATGCCAGAAAGTCACACCTTGAGTATGAGACCACATTATTAGAACAAAGATGTTTATAAGAAGCAGTCCATGTTTATGTAATAAAATAACAATACGATGATTATCTACATCCTCTACCAGGGATGCACTGGAGTAAACAGGAAGTTTTCCAAACACCCTACAAGGATAATAGATGTTACATACTCAAAGATAGCTAAAATCTTTAAAAAAAATGAAATGGAAAACAGATTATTTCCTCTTTCTAGAAAAGAGAGCAGGCATTCTGCTAGGGCTGATAGACCCAAATGAGAATGTCCTTTGATACATTAGCTTGGGGTTAATTCTCAGTTGCATCCACATTAGGAAAAGGTAAAGTCGACTAATCAAACAAGACAAATAAAGTATTTTTTTTGTCTATTTTTCCCTAGTCACCTTCTTCAAGAAGTACTAGCAGCAGCAGTAGCAGCAGCAACAGCAACCACTTGAGAACTTACTATGCACAGACTAAGTTCCAAATATTATTATTATTATTATAATTTTCAGACAGGGTCTCCCTGTGTTGCTCAGGCTGGAGTACAGTGGCACAACCACAGCTCACTGCAGCCTGGACCTCCTGGGCTCAAGTGATCTTCCTACCTCAGCATCCCAAAGCTGGGACCACAGGCATGTACCCAGGCTAATTTTTAAATTTTCTGTAGAGATGAGGGTCTCACTATGTTGCCCAGCCTGCCAAATATTATTTCTTTTAAACCTGATGACACTCAATCTTACCAAGGAAAAAATCTCTCACATGCCTAAATGACACAACTACTAAGTGACTGCTTGGATTCAAATCCAGGAAGGTTTGTCTCCAAAGCCTATGCTCATTAACATGATTAATACTGAGATACTCTGCCTCAAAAGTATTCAATCTTTTTATTTTGAACCTTAAATGGAGAAAAAATTACTCTAAACAAATGATAAATTTCCTAAAGCCAAAGAAATACACTTGAAATTTTGGCCTTTTGTTAAAATATCTACTAAAAAAGAAAAGTAACCAAATAGGATCAAGGTAAATTAGACCCAGGTGTATCTCCAGCAATCCAGTTACATTTTCCAGTTGATGAAACCAATTTAGAAAAGCAGATTTACTCAGAAATGTGCACAGCCCATAAACCTAAAGTATTTAGGGATTTTACATAAAATCCACTGAAGGAAACAACGAACCGCCAGGCCGCAGGCCACCTATTCCCTCTCCTTCTCCTGCCCATCTTCGTTCCTACCAGTACCCCTTTGTATAAGAAAAAAATCACTTCCTGTTTAGTCTGAGATTCGTTGAGAACTTCCTGTGCAAACAAATAGCAAGAAAAAAAAAGAACAGATCAGAATATAATGTACACAAGGAAAGAGCAAGATCATTCCATTTCTGGGCTGCTGGGTGAGATTACTTCAAATGACAAACCAAAGGCAATGAGAATCCAATCTTCATTCAGCCTGCTACCTGACTCAATATGGAGAATGCTATAATGTGAATGGATTCTGGGGTCTCAGGGAAGAACCATGTACTCCATAAAGCCTGTCCCCACTCACTGTGAGATACCTGCTCCTCATAAAGTAGTGGCATAGCCTCCTAGGTTCGGGGGAATGGCTGCTGCTTGCTCCCCTTATAGACTGAAGCAAACAGGCTCTGACTTCAGACTTTTTTTACCAAAGAAGTAAGGAAATGCCAATTAACGATGTATGATATACATTTACAGGAAATAATTTAACGAGTCTATACTGTGTCTCTAGCATCTTCTACTTATATGAAGTATAACATAAAGAATTTAAGGCTGGGCATGGTGGCTAATGCCTGTAATCCTAGCACTATGGGAGGCTGAGGTGGGCAAATTGCTTGAGCTCAGGAGTTCAAGACCAGCCTGGGCAACATGGTGAAACCCCATCTCTACAAAAAATACAAAAACAATTAGCTGGGCGTGGTAGCGCACACCTATAGTCCCAGATACCTGGGAAGCTGAGGTGGGAGGATCGCCTGAGCCCAGGAGGTCGAGGCTGTAGTGAGCTGAGATCGTGCCACTGCACTCCAGCCTGGGTGACAAAGTGCGACCCCGTCTCAAAATAATAAATAAGAGGGCTGGCCGGGTATGGTGGCTCACACCTGTAATCCTAGCACTTTGGGAGGGCAAGGCGGGCGGATCACCTGAGATCAGGAGTTCGAGACCAGCCTGGCCAACATAGTGAAACCCTGTCTCTACAAAAATACAAAAATTAGCCGGGCATGATGGCAAGTGCCTGTAATCCCAGCTACTCAGGAGGCTGAGGTGGGAGAATCACTTGAACCCAGGAGGTAGAGGTTGCAGTGAGCCGAGATTGTGCCATTGCACTCCAGCCTGGGCGACAGAGCAAGACTGTGTCTCCGGGAGGAGGGGCGGGGTGGGGAAGAGGGGCTGAGTGCCTCTGTTTCACACATTGTTGCAACCAGATAACAATGATTCAAACAATGCTCTCCCCACTTAAAATGTTTCCTATTTTTTTTTAATTTAAAGTTTAAAAGGTTAAAAGTCGAAAAGTTTTACATTTGGAGTTTAAAAGGTTAGCTATACAATCTGAATAACCAAAGAGCATCTGTACTTAAATCACATTCATCCATCTTCTATCATTGAAGTTTTTAACAATCTCAAATCCTACAGAATATGCCTGTTGAAACTAACAGCACTGTTCAATAAAACAGGCTTCCAAATAAACCGCTGTGAAGGAACAGAAATGGAAGCTGCAAAGAAGCTATTCCTAATCACCTTAAAGCCTCCTTCTAACCATGGTTCTAGGAAACAGACAACAAATTTCAATCTTACATTCCCCCACCCTCTTAATACTAGGAACAAGATGATGCTGGTGTGTTCTAACAATCTAACTTAGCCAGGAAATTTAGCCTTCATCAACTGAGTAGTTTCTGTGTACCAGAACCTAGCATAAGTTCTTTTTTAGATAGGGTCTCGCTCTGTCATCCAGACTGCGGTGCAGTGGCGCAGTCATAGCTCCCTACAACCACAGCTTCCTGGGCTCAAGGGACCCTCCTGCCTCGGACTCCCAAAGTGCTGGGATTACAGGCATGAGCCACCGCACCCAGCCAGTATAAATTCTTTACAAGCACTCCAGATTCAAAATATTTGTGGGTGTGGGTATTAAAAACTCCATTTGATAGAGGCCAACTCCTAGAAAAAGTAACTTGACAAAGTCAGGTCTGTATGACTGCGAAACCTGTGCTTTTAACCACCACGGCTTATAATCTAGTGAAAATTCTTGAGATGGAGAGAATAAATAAATGGATGACTGAGTAAGTGAATAAAAGCACACTAGCTGGGCTTGGTGGCTCATGCCTGTAATTCCAGCACTTTGGGAGGCTGAGGTTGGCAGATCACTTGAGGCCAGAGTTTGAGACCAGCCTGGCCAACGTGGTGAAACCCCATCTCTACAAAAAATATTACAAAAAAATTATCTGGGTGTGGTGATGCATGCCTGTAGTCCCAGCAACTCGAGAGGCTGCAGTGGGAGGATTGCTTGAGCTGGGGAGGTGAAGGCTGCAGTGAGTCAAAATTGTGCCACTGCACTCCAGCCTGGGTGATAGCAGGAGACCCTGTCTCGGAAAAAAAAAAAAAAAAAAAAAAGAAGGCACACTGATCACTGATTATCTGGAGGACTTCCAAAGGTTTCTAAAGGTAATAAAGATCCACTCATATAAAATACCAGGGAACTTTAAATTGGCAAAGAGAATAATGGGGCACTCTGATAGCTATTTTCAAATAGCTATAGAGCTACCTATTGACTATAGAGCAGGCTTCTTTTACATGGCTCCAAAGGGTCACATTGGGAGCGATAAGAGAGACGGAAGGCTAACTGAGACAACTGCTCCTATCTCTTTCACCTCAAAGAGCCCCAGATTTAGTTCAATCCTTCCATTTACAACAGTGGATGTGGAGGGTAAGCTTTTGCAGTAGCATCACCCCACCTCCTTGCTGAGTGACGTGGATTCAATCTCACTCCCTATTTTTTAAGACAAACTCTGGTTTACAGAATTTCAGAATACCTCCTTGAGATAACTGAAGGCTCTCTAGGGTGTCACAAAATTGGAACTCTTGCAAAATGAATTCTAAACCTTCCTAGTAAGAAAATCAGGGTTTGGGGTGCATGCCAAGAGCTGGGCCAGACTGCTGATAGAAACAACACTTCAGGCATCTGAAGGGTTACTGGGCATATTTCTCATGGAAATGCCATTCTCCTGAGTGGCCTGCCAGATATCTCATGCCCCCAGTCAGACGTGTGTCACTCTTCAGGGAGTTATTGGGTGCACTTTCAGCAACAGGTCCTTGAAAAGGAGAAAGTAACAACACCCAACATCCATCTTCTTCCGGAGGCACTTACCTATTAGCAGGCTGAACTGAAAAAAGCATCTAGCCAGAGGAATTCAATCCCTGAGAACAATCTCCACATGTGTGCCTCTAAGTTTATTTATTTATTTTTACTGAAATGGAGTCTTACTCCGTCACCCAAGCTGGAGTGCCGTAGCGCAATCTTGGCTCACTACAACCTCCGCCTCCTCAGTTCAAGCCATTCTCCTGCCTCAGCCTCCTGAGTAGCTGGGATTATAGGCATGAGCCACCATGCCCAGCAAGTTTTTGTATTTTTAGTAAAGACGGGATTTCACCATGTTGGCCAGGCTGTTCTTGAACTCCTGACTTCCAGTGATCCACCTGCCTTGGCCTCCCAAAGTGCTGGGATTACAGGTGTGAGCCACCGTGCCCGGCCACCTCTTAAGTTTAGAGTCCAACTGGGTCAAAAATGGAACAGAGATTCCCTAGGAGTGGCTGGGCATGGTGGTAGCTGCTCTGCACAATTATTCAAAACTTCACGACCACTCTGCAAGGTAAGGGTTATTTAGACCCATTTTACAGTTGAGAAAACAGAGACTCATGGAGATTCACAGCCAGCACTTAGTGTACGGTGATCTTTGAATGCCAAAGCCCCATGCTCTTTCCCCTGCATGGTCTATCTCCTCCACGAAGAAATGCCACTGCCATACACAAAGGACTGGGCCAGCCTGAAACACCTTCACCTTGGCCTTTTAGACTGATTTTAAAAAAATGAACAACATAGTCCATTGCTTTGTACCTCATAGTTTGCTTAAAAACACACCTGATTTTTGGTCTTGATATTAATCATGGCAAAGTTTATAAATAATAGTTTATGCCCGTGGTGCACTGGGGAGAAATGGTGCCTGGCAACTACCTCTGGTCTCTCGGCTTTTCAGACACAGGGCATAAAGAGGAAACTCCCGACTGTGGCAGAGTAGGAAGCTGCATCTGTCACTGCCTCTGCTCCCCACTCGGCTGTAAGCCCAGTCCACAGACCCTGTCCAAGTCCACTGGGGCAAGAAAAAGAGTAGAATGGAAGCCAGGGGATAGGTAAGAGCCAAAAGAAGGGCCTTCTATCAGCTGGGAAGATGGTTGGGTTCCAGGGCCTGACGTGCAGTGGGCACTCAATGTATTTGCTGAACAAAAACAGTTTCCAATAATGTACTGGGCCAATGTTCCTTTCTATTTTCTCAAATTGAGCTGAGACGCAGACTATCTCTGTGGTAGAGATTCTCATTTCTCCTTACACTGTGCTGCTCACACTAGTGTGTGAGGAGGTGAGGCTCAGAAGGCCTTGTTCATACTTTGGCAGTACTATATCATAAGCCTTTTAAAAACCGCCAGATGAAGTCCTAATTCCCTCTGTAGGTACTGAATGAGGTACAGTTATTTACGTACACATACAACAAATATTCTACTAGGCTAAGTTCCTAGAAGGCAAGAGTCTTGGTTTGTTTTTTTTTAATGAATTTATGAATCACCCCAAGGCCACATAACAAACTGGCAGCAGAGCTAATACTAGGACCAAAGTCGTCTCCCGCCCTCAATGAACTTCCAATCTATTTGGTAACAGAAGACATATCCACAATAAACAAAGCTCATCTAGGTACCACATGAGCAAGTACCAGCTATGCAACAATGGAAAAAGGTAAGAATATTCTATCTTCTGTGGGAACAGCAGGGAGGGCTACTTACTGACCCTACGCTGTCAACTTCAAATATTCTCTTTTGGTCTCCATAAACAACCTTATAAATGTAAAGTTACTTATCTAGATTTTAGAGTCAGAAAATATGTTCACTAGAGTTGTACCATCTAGTATAGCCGTTTAAACCTTTTAAATGCTTGGTAACACATCTAATAAAGGAAATAAAAAACAGAACCCAGCCTGTTGGATTCACTGCCTTTTTTTGTCTTTTTTTTTTTTTTTCAAAGTGCCTGGACACCAGCCCTAGTGATTTTGATTTAACTGGACTGGAAGCAGGTGGGGTGGTGGGGAACCAGGCATCGGAACTCGGTTTTCTAGTTGGTTTTTTGAGACAGCGTCTCACTGTGTTGCCCAGGCTGGAGTGCAATGGTGTAATCATGGCTCACTGCAGCCTCGACCTCCCTGGGCTCAGGTGATTCTCCCATCTCAGCCTCCCAACTAGCTGGGACTACAGGTGTGTGCCACCGCGCCCAGATAATATTTTGTAGAGACGGAGTTTTGCCATGTTGCCCAAGCTAGTTTCAAACTCCTGGGCTCAAGCAATCTGCCAAACTCGGCCTCCCAAAGCATTGGGATTACAAGTGTGAGCCACCATGTCTGGCCTTTTTAAAAAACAGTTAACACCAGCCAGGTGCAGTGACTCATGCCTGTAATCCCAACACTTTGGGAAGCCCAGATGGGAGGACTGCTTAAGGCCAAGAGTTTTGAGACCAGCCTAGAAACATAGTGAGACCCCAACTTTTAAAAAATTTTTTTAATTTTTTTTTTTTTTTGAGATGGAGTTTCGCTCTTGTTGCCCAGGCTGGAGTGCAATGGTGCGATCTTGGTTCACTGCAAACTCCACCTCCTGGGTTCAAGTGATTCTTCTGCCTCAGCCTCCTGAGTAGCTGGGATTAACATATATGTGCCACCAAGCCCGGCTAATTTTGTACTTTTAGTAAAGAGGGGGTTTCTCCATGTTTGTCAGGCTGGTCTTGAACTCCCGACCTCAAGTGATCTGCCCACCTCGGCCTCCCAAAGTGCTGGGATTACAGGTGTGAGCCACTGTGCCCGGCGTTAATGTTTTATGTAAAAAAAAAAAAAAAAAAAAAAAAAAGAGTAACAGGTAACACCATATACGGAATGTAGTCTGGAACATGGACAGTGCCATCTGAATGAGGATGAGAGTGAAATCAATACACAGAGCCCCAGAGGGTCACACCCATGGCTTGCCAAGTTGTGTGGTAGCATACTATGGACTAACTGTAACTGGTAGAGTCTTAGAAAATCGGAAAGATTCCATAAGTGGCATTACTACAGCTGTTCCCTAAACCACTTTCTTGCATTCAGTATTCAACATCGTGCCTTTCTGATTGGCAATTATTCTCTTCTATTTCCAAAAGAGTTCCAAAAGGACCTTTTTAATTAAGTTATTTGCTTATGCTCCAAATGTATTCTTGGTTAACCGGTGCTCCCCCTTCTGGGCTCTGAAAAATTCCACGCCCAAGTTTAAAAGAAAACCTGAAGGCAGATGTATTCTTGCTGACAAAATCTATTATTAAAGCACAAATGCTTAGATATGGTCTCCTTCAAGCTGGCAGTTAATACCATGACTCAGTCACTCACCATCTTGGAGCATCTTTATTTACGGATGAACAGGAAGGACCACAAAGTCCTGGCCTTCCTGTCATCCCTAATCTTAAATAATGGAGAAAGAAACGGAGACATGTCATCCTATTGCAGGACCTAACTAAATCCAGACCATAGCTTTTTTTTTTTGAGACCGTCTCCCTCTGTTGCCCAGGCTGGAGTGCAGTGGCATGATCCTGGCTCACTGCAATATCTGCCTCCCGGGTTCAAGAGATTCTCTTGCCTCAGCCTCCCGAGTAGCTGGGATTATAGGCGTCCACCACCACACCTGGCTAATTTTTGTATTTTTTGTAGAGACGGGGTTTCGCCATGTTGGCCAGGCTGGTCTCGAACTCCTGACCTCAAGTGATGTGCCTGCCTCGGCCTCCCAAAGTGCTGGGATTACAGGTGTGACCCACCGCGCCCAGCGCAGACCATAGCTTTTTGTTCTATTAAGGCATGAAGTCTGGTGACCGCGGATCCACCCCCCCGAGAAGACAACTCGTGGCCAGTGTGATCTGGAGCCAAACAGCGAGGAGGGCCCACTAGTTCCAGGTACATTTTCATGAACACTTGCCTGAAGTTCAACACACACTGAATTTGGACTTTCCAACGCTATGGGTCAGTTCTTATTGCTTGCTTCTCTCAAATGCTGTAGAAAATCCATTTGGAAGGCCTTTGCCTTATAAGCAAAGGTGATTCCTGACTAGAGCTGGAATAATTTGAGTCCCTACAAAGGTATTTCAGTATCACCAGGTGGTGGAGGAGACCAAGTTGGCTCAGTGAGGCATCAGCACAATTCCCAGTTCTTTTAAAAACAGATTTGGGTTGCCTATCGTAATTTTTTTTTAAGAACAGGTATGCTGTAAGCTAAGGCAGATAGTTAAAGATAGTCTATTTTTATCACCAAAAACACACTACAGAAGTTCTTCAGGCTTAAAATAAACTGAGAATCGAGTGACACCAGTGAGAAACAATTTCTCAAAGTTCCAGTTGCTATTTCAATGTCTCCATGCCTTTTTTGTCCTCTACTCAACTAGGCTCTGAAGCTAGAAACAAACAGCACCGTGCTGTTCTGGGGGGCAGTGAGGAGAAATGGATTTTTTCAGATAATCAAAGATCTTTTGTTTGAATGAACAAATCGACTGGACTGATTGAGTGGTCTAAATATAGGCACCTGACTGTTGAATATTAGCAACTTTTCTGCAGACTGGATGATGAAAATCCACAGGAAGTGGAAGTCAGAACACCAGGGTTCAGAATCTCAGCTCTTCCACTCAGTGGCTACACTCACTTGGGCAAGGTTTAATCTCTCTGAGCCTTAGTTACCTCAACTCAAAATCAAGGATGAAAAACATCACCTCATTAAGACTGGGAGGAGGAATAAATAAAAAATTGATGTGAAAATGCCTGACACGTACCTGGCACACAGTAAGTATTCAATAAATGCACAAAAACACAAAACCCTTCACGTGGTAGCCACAGCCCTCTATTATTTGGCGTGGGTCCCCCTCACCTCTCCAGAGCAGCCACGCTAAGCTTCTTTCAACTCTTTGAACACATGAAGTTCTTTCAGCTCCATGAAGCTTCCATCCTCACTGACTTTGTCTGCCTCAGCTTCCAAAGTCTCAGCCTTAAATATCATTTCCTTGGGGAGCTTTCCTGATACCGCAGTTTAGGTTAAACTTCCTTGTTACACAATTCCTTAGTATCCTGTACCTTCCCTCTGGTAATATTCAAAATGCATGCAAGTACATGTTTAAAACCTAACATCCCCAAGACTGTAAGCTGGATTAACGTCACTACCACACCTAGGGCACCCAACACAATGCTGGGCATAAAACAAGTGCTCACTGAATGCCCACGCACCGAAATGCATGTCTCCTTCCTAAAAGAATGACTGAACTTCGGCTTGGAAACAAAAGTACCTCGTTTAAAAGACACAATTTTTCCAGGAAACAGAAAATCCAAGGTCAAGTCAGTGTGCCCACCCCATTTTTAAAACCAAGTTATGTATTTGGTCTCAAAGCTCATTGAGTAGGACTATTTCTGAAGCACACACTGAGAGTCTTTCCTAGGCAGGTTACAAAGAGCTCATATTTCATCGCATTCAGCTTGTCTGTCAAAACTCAACATCCCTCCCAGGGGAGCAAGCAGTCCAATTCCCCAGCTGGTTTTTATTCACACTAGAAACTTTAACTCCATTCTAGGCCTCACAAAATGAGAGCTGTGTCCACACAAAGCCACAACAACCAGCCAATTCACTGAATCCAATGAAATAAGCCAATTCACTAGGGGGGGACACAAACTGTCAAACTGGTTACTTGGTGCCTTATAGACCAAACAATGCATGATTGAATTGGTTAGCTTTTCAATAGGTTGTCTTGTCATGTGGTTGCTGCAGTGAGTGAAAGATTTTCTTTATCATTCTGTTTTGTCTTTTTTTTTTTAGCACCAAAATAAGAACACATCAGATAGAAGGGTAAATAGCCAATAATGTCTTCTTTTTAAATCCACAGTCAAACACACCAAACGCAGCCATTTCAGCATGACCAAAAGGCATACTTTGTGGAACAAGGCTCCCCAGCCTGTTTTTTGGCTTTAAAATAAGACCCTGCCGATCCTGATCTCGTCTTTGCAAACGCATGGCACTGGGAGACAGAGACCATGTGCAACAACAACTCTTTACAGACAAAGCCACTATTCATGGACCCTACTGAAGTGCAATCGTAGATTTTCAATTTCATTCAGCTGAGTGCGGAAGGCTCCCACTATGAGGGTGGGTTGCTAAATGGTTCAGCTGGGAAAAGCACCCAGAATGAGAGTCAGCTTTACAGTCTGCACTTTCATGAGGAGAAATGAAAGCGATTCCCTCACTCCGACTCCAGTTTTATAGTAAAGACCTAATCTAGCAAATCAGCCAAGGGCACTGAGTGATTTTTTTCTGTATCACATTGGTACCCAGAGCATAGCTATTTTTTTGTTAGGGTGGTTGCTAGGGTAAGTACCAAGAAAGCAGCTCAGTAATGCATGAGGTTAAAACTTCCAAAAGACGGGACGGATAATGTTGGTCCCTCAAGCCCTCAGCTAGACCAGACAAGTTTTCTCCTTTCTCGGAATACAATATGCATATTTCCACCTTCAAGTCCTTCCTTACCTCATGCCACTGCTTTAGTTCCACTCATTCTCTGGGGTCTAGTTAAATGATGACAGCTGACACTTATCCAGCATGCACTACGCCCGGTGTTCATTTCTCACAACCTGATCAGGAAGGTGCTCCCTCTTTTGCAGAAAGAATGTGGAGAAGTGACTCACATGCCCAAAGTCCAACTAAGGAAGCGGAGGAGCTGGAGTTGACTGTAGCCCAGATTCCCAGAGCCTGAGCTCCTAATCACTACAACCTACTCTAACATAACTAACCCGACATGCCCACACATAGCCTTCCCTGGGCAGGCCACCTATTTTCAGTGGCTGTGTAGGCCTTGCTGCCTCAACTGGGTACTAAGGTCTGGGCAAGAAGGGTCTGTGTCATTTCCCTATGGTGCCTGGCACGCAGGAGGTACTCAGTGTATTTTCCCTTACCAACTGAAATCCTAGTGCCTAGCTGCCCCCTCCCTCCAAATAAATATTGTATTGCTTTGTCATGCCAATAAAAACCAAAGGCCAAATCTCCCACACAGGGGTTGGCTTGGCCCTTCTCTCCCCTGATGGCATCTTGCTTTTCCAGTAAAACAAGTGCCAGTCTGTGTTCCGAACTGCAGCAATTTTAATAGGAGGTTTGCTCTAGCGGCAAAGGATTTGCTCATCTCTGCACTGGGATGACAAAGCAACTACCCTCATTTCAAAGCACCATTTTCCAAGGCAGGAAAAGAAAATTTCACCTTCTAGTCACTCTTTCCAGAGGATACTCCATAACTGACTTCTGGCACGCTATTGCTCTTGGGCCAGAAGTATCATTTTTATTTGACTTGAAGAGGTGTGGCCCACATAGCTAAAGATAGACCGGAAGCCGACCACTTCTTGCACGCTGACCCAGCAACCCGGGGAAGGAAGTCTCAGGTTAGGAAGTGCTCATTACCAGCATGAACACAGCTATCTTAGAGGCACACTGTGATCAGCTGTTTTCTGCTGAGCCTCCACTACAGTGTGTGCTCTTTAAAGCCTGGCTTGCATGGGAATGTGTTTTTAAAGCATCATTTTCAGTAAGTATTAAAAATGTAGCTAGAAGTCAGAATATAGTTATAATTCAGTATGCTATTATGCCACCTTCCTAATTTCCAGGTGTGCAAACACCCCCACAAATTAGAAGACTGTCAGCATTTTTAAGCTGTTCTGGCAACAGTCTTCATTGGGAGAGGAGGAGGAAGAGAAGAAATGTTCAAAATGTTTGGATTCCAGTATCATTAAATAGGTGAGCTCTGGGAAAATACCGGAGGCAAGTCAGGCCGTTTTCTGGCTTCCTAAATAAGCAATGCTTTCCACAGGGTGGCCTCCTACCAACCTTTGGAGGAGAAAACACTGGAGGCAGACAAAGGACTCCATGTAGAAAAGCCAGGCAAAGGAAAATCAGACAGGAGGATGCCTATGGCATTTATTAATAGTCAGCACAGGTGGGGAGGGATACAGAACCACTCTGCCCTTTCTCACACTGCACAGATGAGAAAACTCTGGAAGCTCCTGGTCAGCGGTAATGCAGGAACACTCTCTACTATGGGATGTAGCACAAAGTGGATGCAATTTCTGTGGGAGGGTGATGGCACCCTGTTCCTCCATCTCTCGGGGCCCGCAGGGCTGCCAAACTGGCCTCTGTATTACATTTTACAACAGAGTTGTCAGGATTGTCAGCTCTCAAGACAGCCTGGATTCTAGAACCTTCTGATTTGGTAGGATTTGTAATAATAAAAGTTTCTGGCAATCTTTCTTTCCAGAGGTCCCTGCAGTACTTTCAGACAAGTAACTCTGTTCTCTGTTCTTTCATGGGAGGGAGAGTAGCAAAAGCTTTAACGTGAAAAAATCCTTCTATATATCATAATCTGCTGGTGAAGGATTATTATATAACACAGTTCTGTTGTGGCATGTCACCAAAATGTCTTTTTCTGAAAAAATAAAGAGTATTTATATATATACACATTTTTTTTCCTTTTTCCTTTTTTTTTTTTGAGACAGAGTCTCCCTCTGTTGCCCAAGCTGGAATACAGTGTCGTGAACTTGGCTCACTGCAACCTCTGCCTCCCAGGTTCACGTGATTCTCCTGCCTCAGCCTCCTGAGTAGCTGGGACTATAGGCGCCTGCCACCACGCCCAGCTAATTTTTGTACTTTTTTAGTAGAGATAGGGTTTCACCATGTTGGCCAGGCTGGTCTCAAACTCCTGACCTCAAGAGATCCACCCGCCTCGGCCTCCAAAAGTGCTGGGATTACAGGCGTGAGCCACGGCGCCTGGCCTGTAAAGAGTATTTCAGTATTTCTAAATCAGCCTTGGCAATTGGGGGTGGGGGGGAAGAGTATTTCTCCCTACTCCAAATGGAAAAAAAAAAGAAAAAGAAAAAGTTGAGAAACGCTTTTTCTTTCTCAAAGCCTAAACCCAAGGGGACAGAGTACTGCTTACAGCTCTCTGCCCTGCAGACTACAAACTACAATTCTACGCAGGATAAGAGACTTCATCTGCAGCCGGGCGCGGTGGCTCACGCCTATAGTCCCAAAACTTTGGGAGACCAAGGCGGGCGGATCACGATGTCAGGAGATGGAGACCATCCTGGCTAACACGGTGAAACCCCGTCTCTACTAAAAAATAAAATAAAATAAAAAAATTAGCTGGGCACGGTGGCGGGCGCCTGTAGTCCCAGCTACTCAGCAGGCTGAGGCAGGAGAATGGCGTGAACCCAGGAGGCGGAGCTTGCAGTGAGCGGAGATCGCGCCACTGCACTCTAGCGTGGGTGACTGAGCGAGACTCCGTCTCAAAAAAAAAAAAAAAAAAAAGAGACTTCATTTGCTCCTGTCTCTACATATGACGAGTAGGCCCAATGTTTATAATGTATACAGTTAACTTTTTCTTTTCTCTCCCTGCACCATTTGTGATCCCTAAATAAAATCCGAGTTTCTGACTGATAGCAGCAGCAACTCCCTTGAAGATAAAATAATAGACTGGATGGTATTCCAATTTAACAAATACGGGACAGGTTTATAACTCTCAGTGGCAAGATTCTCTTTTTTCATTTATGTACTCAAAGACTCGTCACTGATTTGTGTGTGCAAATCATCATCCAATCCTTCACCAATCTCAAATGCAGCAACCTTTACAGATCAGCAAGGGAGGAAGGATCATTTAAGAGATGTATGGATGAAATGTTATGTTTAGCAGTGAGAGACTGCGGCAAGCAGTTTTGAGTTCTGGTGTTTCAGTGAAGGGAGAGCAAGTGTATTGTCACTGCGCTTGGCCACTTGTCAAGACACTGACAAGTTCTGCATTATCTCCTCATTTTGCTAATTAATTAACTATTGTTTTAGGCAACAACAACTCAGACTATCTATCCAAAGTCCTAACTACTTGAGAGCTGCCAATAATGGTAGCTAATTGAGGCACTGCTTTTTTATGTTAAGTCAAATACACACACAGGGCAGTTTTTTTTTTACCAGAATAGGTTGTCCTTGAAAAATCATCATCAATCAACCCTCACCGAGACGCTGTACAAAACACTATGACTAATCCTAGACTGGTGTCTTACCTTAGTGTTCCTCCTTAGGCTGCGAAGAATATTCCTCCTCCGCGGGTCTTCGTCTGTTTCGTATGGAATGACAGCATTGTCCCCTTTATAACCCTGGGATGCCTGATCCTCCTCTTTCTTCCGGATGGGCCCCAGCTCATCATCACTCCCCACGCTGAAGCTGGTCCGGTAACTAGCAAACCGCCCCAGCCGGGTGCATCTCGTCCTGTACAGCACTGGCTTGCTCACGATGGAAACCTTGCGCCCTCGCTCTAGAGAGCTGGTGTCCATTTCACTGTCAGAACCATTCCCGCTGCCGTTGGACTGGGCTTTGTTGATATTCCGAATGGTGATGATTTTGCCTTGGGTGCTGTCATGGGGCACGGAGTATATGTTTTCTTCTTCATTCCTTGGCTTCACCACAGCATCCATGGGTTCAGCATAGTCAGAAGGATCAAACCCATCCTGAGGCAGCCAGGGGCTAGAAGACACAGACTTCCTCTGTCCATCCCTATGGCCTTGGTCTAAATAAGATAGATCCCCCTTTGTAATTTCAAAATGGACAGGAGGCTTTGGTTTGACTGGCGGAGGTACTTTGTTGTTCAGTTTACTCTCAAAATTGCTCATAATGAAAGACAGCCCATCATTTCCCTCCAGTTCCATAGAGAGCTTAGAATGGTCTTTGGACAGAGAAGGCAGTGATGTGTCTTCTCGAAACAGGCTGTAAGATGGCTCGATATCTTCTTCTGAATCCTGCAGGTTTGAGTTGCAGAGCGGTGATCCTGCCCGGGGGGAGTTAAACACCTCTTCGGTGGTGCTACAGGCCTCGGCAGCATTATCGTACATATGAGTAGCCTCGATTATGTTCTTTTTTTCCACCACATCTTTAAAAAATGGGTGAAAGATCTCAAGTTTATGCTGGGGTTGGCTACAGGGGATGCTTGTGAACCTTCCGTCAATTTCTTGAGCAATCTCCTCCCCCTCAGTTAGCTGTTCCCTACTTAAGTCATTGTCCAGGACATCTACAGCGCCATCAGTGAGTGCTACAAGCTGAATAGGGATAATATCCTGCACTTCACAAAGAAAGGCACGTAACATAGCCAAAGAGGCCTTACGTTTGGCTGAATAAAAAACAATGTACCCATGAACCAACCGGCTCTTTCTGATGCTAAAGGAGGAATGGTATGAAAGAACAGACAGTTCAATCCGCTTCTTGTGCAGTCCGATTGGTAGTTCAAGTAAAACAGAGTTGTTGCTTCCACAATGGGAAGATTTACAGGTTTGGGACTGAAGGACAGGAAAAAGTATGTCATCTGCACTAAAAGGATCTCCACACATCAGACACATAACAATTCGCAGATCAACATCAGCCAAATCTTTGATGCTAGCAGTAGAACTGACCAGGTTTAAGTTACGCTTAGAGTCCAGGAGTCCCTTCAAAACTTGACTGATTTGCTTTTCATTAATGTTGCGTCCGTAACCAATGCCAGCAGAAGCAGGGTCGAGAAAGACACACTGAAGTTTGCTAGCAATTTGTTGACCTTGCTGTATTAAGCTATGCAGAGTCTCTCCACTGGTGTCTCCTCTCTTGTTAACCAAAATTAATGTAAGGGGGAGATGGACTAAATGATTATCCCGCCGGCCCAGCGTGGACTCTCTACTCTTCTCTATACTTTCCACTACATAGGATAGCGATTCCTTTGAATTGTAAAGGCAGAGACAGCCGTGGGGCTGAAATGTTGGCGTCTGGAAAGAGTTCACAGGAAGCCTGACATTCCCCTCTATTGGCCTCAGGGAAAGCTCATACATTTTACCATCTATCACATACTTGTCATCATTTGTACAAAGAGCTCGAATCTCATTGGCCAACTCTCGGGCAAGGCCGTCTTTGCCCAATATAACCAAGTTGATTCTATCAATGTTAGGGTCAGAGAGTGAATTTTTCTGATTCCGGTCAGACGGCCGGATAAACCGAGAACTAATCAAGTGCTCAATCTTAGCGTCCACACAAGCTGGGCAGCTGGGGCATGTCTCCTTTGTTGGGTGGTACACAAAATGAATGTGTTTCAGAATAAGGGCATCACGCTCTGCTTGGAGCTTTTGTAATGCTTTAAATCGCTGTTCCTCTCCCAGAACATCCTGAATAACACCCATCTTCTCCTTGCTGGGCTTAGCATCCAGCTCCAGTTCATAAAACAATTCTGAATATTCCAAAAGCAACTCCTGAAATTCTTCCTTTGCTTTATCTATAATTTGCTTTTGGTGTTTGCCATAAATATCCATGTATACAGATTCCTCCAGCCACTGGTAGAAATCCTCATTCATAATAAAACTACGGGCCTCTTCCCAAGGCTTTCCGGGAGTTATGAAAGGAGAAGTCTCCAGGTTTTCTTTAAACGCCCTTCGCATCTCAACTCTTTTCCTTTCGTTCCTCAGCTTCTCTAAGTGGGCCTCGTATAGCTGCTCTGCAGGGACGGTATCCATTAAATCAAAGGGAATCCGTTCGTTTTCCATGTTGTCAATGTGACTGGTGGCATCCCATGGGGTCTCTTCAAGCACAACAAACCACTTCAAGAATTCTGGCTTGGTTTCTAAGAGCTTTTTGGCTTTTATGCAGCTTAGGTGGTCTATTTCATCTAGATTAGGTATAAGAGCTTCAAAAGCTAATGGCAGGGCTGCCAGGTACAGCTTTCTCCTACGCTCGATATGCTCATGCTTGAGGCGGTGGATGTGCTGTAGAAACAGCTTCTTGGCTTTCTGAGTCCCTTCCAGGTAGACATAGTCCTGGTATTCTGGAGAGGCCTGCATCTTTCGGCTGACACTCAGCCAGTTCTCATTGTGGTTTTTCACAATGCGACTCACCAGCCACTCATACTTGTCTTTTGCTGTAGCTATCTGCTGACTCTGCTGCTTGAGAGCTTCAAAATAAGGAATGATTTTTGTCTTTCCCCGACTTTTATCAATGAGTTGCACTAAGGTGCTGAAAGCCAAGTCCACGTTTACATTGGATCTCGCTGAGGTCTCCACAACCTGGAGGTTCTTTTTGCTTAAGGCAAAAGTATGTGCATCTCTAATGTACCGCTCAACACCTTCGTCACACTTAGTCAGGACCACCACTATGGGCTTTTTTGTTTTTGCAAGCTGATTGTAGAGATTGGAGACAAACTTGAGCTGGTCATCAAAGTTCCTATTCATGCCCCTGCTAACATCAATACCAAGAAGAAAACCATCAACCAGCAGCTTTCCGTCTGGCATTTGTTTCTGCTCAAAGTCCTGCTCCAGCCCCAGCTGGTCAGTGCAAAAGTACATGAGTTTTTCAGCTGATGCAAGCTTGGTCGCAGCAGCTCTCTTGATATAGGGCTGCAGGGCCGTGCTTCGATGAGGTTGAAAAGTCTGATCATCAATAAATTCAGTCTGCTCCACAATGTGCATCTTACATTCCACACAATCCTCCAGGGAGCGGCTAACTTCTCCCCAGTAGAGAAAGTGGTCATTATTGACCACTCGCCCTCCAAAGTCACTGGTGCTGAGGACGGAGGTATGGTCCAAGTGAAACTCGTCAGCACTCGGGCGCACGAAGCGGTTGCACAAACAAGACTTTCCAATCCCACACTGGCCCTTTTCCTTCTCGGTCCCAGATAATCCCACCACACTGATGTTGTAGGTGGGAATTCGGACATCTTGCTTTCTTGCCATCATCATCGTCGACACATCCTGCCACGATCAGCCACTTCTGAGATCAGATTAGTGTTTCCAATGGACCAGACAGCTTCCTACATTATTAGTGGGGGTGGGCTGGACATGCAGCAAAAATGCCAGGTCCCATAGTGTTGTATACCAGTATGGTCACTGTTCACCACCTCTCATCGCCAAATAGCCAACATTTCTTCCTAGATGGGGGAAAAAAAAAGAAAACCCATCAGCATCATAATTTTAGAACCAAATTTTAATCAATTAACTACAGTAAAAATTAATTTTTTATTCAACAAATATTTAGTAAACATCTCATGTGTCAGGCCTTGTGCTGGGTGAAGATACAAGAGCAAGTAAGACTCACATCTATGTGTCCCCAGAGAGGTACAATCTAGTCCAGTGGAGGAAAACATAAGTAAACAGTGTGCTAAGTGCTAAAACAAGGGTGTGAGGGCTCCCTGGAAAAAGGGCTGATTCCAGGGTTAGGGCAGGATAGGGACAAAATGAGCCTGGAACATCTTTTTATGCAAGAAAAAAAACGATGGAGCATCTCACAAGGACACAGAAGCCAGCCTGAAGGGGCTCCCACTGGCCAACTCTGGGACAATTTGAGCGCCACAATAATTAAGTATGGTAATGAATTATAAACCCACTGCAAAAACAGGAACCTGGGCCGGGCGTGGTAGCTTACGCCTGTAATCCCAGAACTTTGGGAGGCCATGGTGGGCGGATCACCTGAGGTCAGGAGTTCAAGACCAGTCTGGCCAACATGGTGAAACCCCGTCTGTACTAAAAATACAAAAATTAGCTGGGTGTGGTGACATGTGCCTGTAATCCCAGCTACTTGGGAGGCTGAGGCAGGAGAATCATTTGAACCTGGGAGGCAGTGGTTGTGGTGAGCTGAGATCTCATCACTGCACTCCAGCCTGGGCAACAGAGTAAGACTATCTCAAAACAGCAACAACAACAAAACATGGAAGCAACCCAAAGTATCCACCTACTCATGAATGGATAAGCAAAATGTGATATATACATACAATATAATATTATTCAACCTTTATTTTTATTTTATTTTTTGAGACAGAGTCCTGCTCTGTAGCCCAGGCTGGAGTGCAGTGGTGCGATCTTGGCTCACTGCAACTTCCGTCTCCTGGGTTCAAGTGATTCTCCTTCCTCAGCCTCCCGAGTAGCTGGGATTACAGGCATGCGCCACCGTGCCCAGCTAACTTTTGTATTTTTAGTAGAGACGAGGTTTCACCATGTTGCCCGGGCTGGTTTCAAACTCCTAGGCTCAGGCGATCTGCCTGCCTTGGCCTCTTAAAGTTCTGGGATTACAGGCGTAAGCGATCACGCCTGGCCTATTCAGCCTTTAAAGGGAAGGAAATTCTGACAACATGGCTGAATCTTGATTGTGCTAAGTGAAATAAGCCAGTCACAAAAAGACAAATACTATATGATTCCACTTATATGCAGTACTTAAGAGTAGTCAAACTCATAGAGACAGAAAGTAGAACAGTGGTTGTCAGGGGCTGGGGAAAGTGGGAATGAAAAGTTACTGCTTAATGGGTACAGAGTTTCAGTTTTACAAGATGGAAAGTGTTACAGAAATAGTTGCATAACATGAAAGTATTTAATATCGCTGAACTGTATAGTTAAAAATGATTAAAATGGCAAGTTTTATGTTTTGTGTATTTTAACACAGTAAAAAAAAGATTGAAAAAAAAAAGAAATGCAGGAAGGATAAATCCTCCCAAATAAAATATTTTATCAATGTAAATCTATAAAATCTATCATGTGAAAATGTCTCCACTTTTAGGAAACTGACACCTTAGTATTTTGAGGGGAAGGGCCATAATGTACGTAACTGATCCCACTGGAAAAATTATGTATACAGAAAGAGTAAGAACACAAATGGGGTGGTAAATTGTTAACAACACATGAATCTGAAAAAAAAAAATAGATGAATCTGGGTAAAGCATATAGGATATTCCTTTGTGCTATTTTTACAAGTTTTCAATCATTTCCAAATAAAAAAAAATTAAGTGTGTAAATACGAGATGGTTTCCCTGACAAGAATGCAAGCTCTGTGAGGCCTGTCCCCTGTTTAGTTCTATTCTGTGTCCTCAGCCTATGACACAGTGCTTGACACAAATATTCACTGAAAGAATCAATAACTGAATGATGATTCAGCATATTAAAAGGTCCCCAAGCCCAGCCTTTCAGATTCGGGAAAGCCTTTCTGTAGGAAGTTCCATCTCAGGTGAGACCTGAAGTATGAAGTGCATTTAAGACAGAGGGACAGAGTGTGCACAGACCCTTCCCTCCGCAAAAAAAAGCACTGCCAGTTGGGAGAACCAACTGGAACAAAGTGTGTGTGGGGAAAGAATGGGTAAGATGCATTAGCAAGGAACCAGGGACTGGATCAAACCACTTTAAGAGTTTGGATTCCTTCGCTGGGCGCGGTGGCTCACGCCTGTAATTCCAACACTTTGGGAGGCCGAGGCGGATGCATCACGAGGTCAGGAGATCAAGACCATCCTGGCTAACATGGTGAAACCCCGTCTCCACTGAAAGTACAACAAATTAGCTGGGTGTGGAGGTGGGCACCTGTAGTCCCAGCTACTCAGGAGGCTGAGACAGGAGAATGGAGTGAACCCGGGAGGTGGAGCTTGCAGTGAGCCGAGACACGCCACTGCACTCCAGCCTGTGCGACAGAGCGAGACTCCATCTTAAAAAAAAAAAAAAAAAAAAAAAAGAGTTTGGATTCCTTCCTGAAGGCTATGGGGAACCACAGAATGTGGCCAAAAAAATGGCACCTTAAAGAACCTAAAGTTTTAACAGCTTAAGTTAAACAAACTGTTATGGCTTACAGTCTTTAGCAACTTTCCAGCTACGACAGTTTATGCTGCACTTCAGTTTACTTAGATACTCCAATATAACTGTGCAAGCACTGAACCTGCAGCCAAATGAACATTCTCTCAAGACAATCACAAAGAGGAGAATCTGAAATGAACAGAGCAATTTTCTTCTGAATCTCATTTATGTCTGTAGGAACCTAGGCTTGCCATGACCTCATTATGTTTTTGTAAGCCTATTGCATAAGAAATGCCACTGGAAGTCAGACCACCACGCATTATTCTGACTGACACCAGGGAGCAATGAATGGGAGAGTGCAATTGTCCCCTGTGATGATAACCTCAAAAGGTCACAGACCTTTTCCAAACATCCATAGCTTCCTTCTGATATCCCAGAAAGCCAAACCCTCTATGGAAACAAAATGTGACTAGACGTAGTATGCAAAAACTACATTTTAAAAAGAAAAATCTCAATGACTGTAGGCAATTGCCTCCAGATAATGGCATGTTCCTAAAGATGCCATGTTCTAGAATTCAGCAGGAACAAGCAAGGTATCCACGGGAAAGAAAAACAAACCTTTCGCATCCTCTACTTTTCTAGGCGATTGCTTACATAAACAAAATTATAAGATGCTTATGAATATCTAAAGCATGTTTACACACATCCTCTGAAATACCTAAAGGAAGCATCTGTACACAATCAATTACTCTGTAATATGCACATATAATTTTGTTTCAATCCATGAAGAAACTTAGGTTGAACAGAGCCTCAGACAGGAGTGCTGATGAAGGGTTGAGGAAGTCATGGGTCCTCATCTAACAGAGTCCTTCTCTATCAATTCCTGACCCCAGGGTCTGTCAGGTCTTAAGGTTACCAATCTTGAAATGCAACTTGGTAGCACTGGTCCTACTTAAAGTGACCTCTGCATGCAATTGGCAAGTCATCCCTTGTCTGTGACTCAACTGTTCTCTGTAAAGTGGGTCTAATATTTATCCCTTCACAGAAATCTGAAGGAAAAACAGAACAAAACACCAGCCTGCTCTCAAACCTCAAGAAATAAAGATATTGGCTCTATTTTGAAATGAACTAAAATGTATTATCCATTCAACACCTTGGTTATATTTTTTAATGGCATATTTTCAGTTATTTGAAGGATGCTAAAGAAAGCAACACTCAACTCTGAATAATGTAGAACTGATTATTTTATTTTATGAGATGGAGTCTTGCTCTGTCACCCATGCTGGAGTGCAGTGCTGTAATCATAGCTCACTGCAGCCTCCAACTCCTGGGCTCAAGTGATCCTCCCACTTCAGCATCCCAAGTAGCTGGGACTACAGGTGCAAGCCATCATGCCTGGCTAATTTATTATTATTATTATTATTTAGAAATGGGGTCTTGCTATGTTGCCCAGGCTGGTCTCAAACTCCTGGCCTCAAGCAATCCTCCCACTCACACCTCAGCCTCCCAAAGTGCTGGGATCATAGGCACGAGCCACTGTGCCCAGCCACGACTGTTATTTTTAAACCCAGAATGCTGCTGATCATTAAAATAGCTACAAAAAGTGAAAATCAGCTGGCATGGAAGTGGTTAATTTTGGGACACCTGGTAACTTTCCACTTGTTAGAAACCTAATAAGTTTCTTGGTGTAAGTATACTCTTCTTAGCTTTGATGTCTAGATAATGCAGTTTTACTAGTTCCTCAATTGGACTGAATTACACGGTAAACAAAGACTGTTATAAATCTAAAAACATCTCAAACACTTGGTTTAGAGGAAATAACTTTAAGTGCTTGGTCACAAATACATTCAACTTAGTTCTAAGAGGTGGGTAAAAAAAATTAGCTGAGTCACTAAATTTAATGATCTGAAGGCCACAAAGAAAGAGAAAGTAGGAGACCGGGCATATCCAGACTTCACAATGTCTTTAGAGTTTAAATGTGATGGGAACCAGTGTTCTTAGCAGGCAACTAAGATACACAACAGAATCTGAATGTCCATTCTAATAATTTTCCAGTGCTAATCCTTTTTAAATGGAAGAGTTAAAACAGAGGGGAAAGAAGGATCCTTTAAAAATGGTAATTACTTTTATCTTTGAGCTGTACAGAGATATTTCATTAGAAAAACAGAAACACAGGACTTCAAAGTTTCCCATTTTATGCCAAGAGTCAACTACTTCAGAGAGGAAAATACTTCAGAAGTATTTTGGTTTCTCAGTCACAAATACATGCTGTAATAAAACATAATGCAAATATCTACGTGCCTTCTTCAGACTGTCACCAAGCATCTAGAGTTGTTTGTGATTTGTTTAACCAAGACACAAGGTCCCCACCAGAGTGCCGCAACTGGAAGGTAGAAGGAGGGTGTTTTCTTTTTTAACACCTCTATGAAACACTCAGGGCAAGAAGTGGTAACATTCCCAAGATAGCACACATTTTTGTAGGACCTAGAAATGCCACCGTGATCCCAGATTTACTATGACTGGGAAAGTTCATACTGTCAACAGCTCTATCAGCATACGCCTGGAAGTGTGTGTATCACTCTTCCAACACAGCGTGTGTATCACTCTTCCAACACAGCAACCTCATCCCTCTCTCCCCGAAGTAGGAAATGTTTGTGTGCTCTGTAATCTAGAATGCCCCCTAAGACAAAAATCTTCCACCATTATCCATAATAAAAATGACCATCTCCACCTGAGAATATTCAACAACTTCTGAAAACACACTGAGTTTCAAATAATCACATACAGAACACCACCAACTAGTAACACTGTAAGGAAATAATTTCATACAGAACTACAAGCAAAGGAAGTAAAATACTTGTTATCACAATTTTCCTTAATCTCAATAGGGGAAATAAATGGAAATATACATCGTAACTAACAGAAAGCAAAAAAGCATTCTTCAAACCTCCTTAAAACCTCGTATTTCTCAATATCTTACATTTCTAAGTCTTCAAAGCTATGAGTTCCCATTAGCAGCTGGTTAAAATGTTTGCATTTGGTAGACACTTGAAAAGACTCAGTTGGGGGGTGGGAGGGGTGGAACAAGAAATATATCTATGTAGGAAGCACTTTCCATGTCAGGTAGACATGGAAGTTTTCCAGAGGAATGTATTAATACTTACCAAATAGGCCAGGAAGGATGGGATATAAAAGTTTCAATAAGAAGAGAACACGACCAGGAGCAGTGGCTCATGCCTGTAATCGCAACACTTTGGGAGGCCGAGGTGGGCAGATCACGAAGTCAGGAGATCAAGACCATCCTGGCTAACATGGTGAAATCCTGTCTCTACTAAAAAAAATACAAAAAATTAGCTGGGCGAGGTGGTGGGCACCTGTAGTCCCAGCTACTCAGGAGGCTGAGGCAGGAGAATGGCGTGAACCTGGAAGGCCAGCTTGCAGTGAGCCGAGATCGTGCCACTGCACTCCAGCCTGGGCGACAGAGCAAGACTCTGTCTCAAAAGAAAAAAAAAAAGGAAGAGAACACTGGCCGGGCACGGTGACTCATGCCTGTAATCCCAGCACTTTGGGAGGCCGAGGCAGGTGGATCACCTGAGGTCAGGAGTTTGAGACCAGCCTGGCCATCATGGTAAAACTCCGCCTCTACTACAAATACAAAAATTAGCCAGGCATGGTGGTGGGCGCCAGTAATCCTAGCTACTCGGGAGGCTGAGACAGGAGAATCGCTAGAACCCTAGAGGCAGAGGTTGCAGTGAGCAGAGAGAGTGCCACTGCACTCCAGCCTGGGCAACAAGAGTGAAATTCCGTCTCAAAAAAAAAAAAAAAGAAAAGAAGGGAACACTATTCTCTGGCTTATTAAACCACTGAATTTAAGCAAAACATTTTCTTAAAACCCAATGCTTCCATTTTCATATTAATAAATGCTAAAGTAAATTTTCTTAGGGTTTTTGTTTTTCCTTTTGAATAAAGATAAATTAGAGAAGAAAAGTTGGAAATAGAGTTCAAGGTCCTTATTCATCCAATTCATTCATCTGTAAAATCCAGATGAATTTAGAGAACCTTAATTAGTAATATGCAAAAATGATGTGTTAGGGCATTTAGGTGTAAAAGGGGATTATAATCTTTTTGAATCTGAGTGAGACATAGAGGGCATTTTCATTTTCTGTGTATGATTTGTCAGAATCTGAAGCAATACCCCTATTCTACTCATCTGTTTACCACATGAAGAGTATCTTACAGAAGGATTCCATCAAACTCAACAAGGACAACAGAATCTCTAAAGCTGAGTAAAAGAGAAAGGTCCCCATTTGATAGATCTAGTTATACAGCAGCTAAATTCCCTCCTTTCTGCATATTTCAGAGTGTTAATCATTTTTGTATTACCATAATCTTTGGAATTAAGGACTGAACTGTCCATCACCCAAATCAAATGCATACTCACATAGCAAAGAAAATGTGATGAAACAAAAGGAATGGGTACTGTCTTTGCTGACGAGGATCTTATAATTTACTTGAGATACAATATTTACACTTAAAAAAAATAGCCAAACCATAAGACAATAAATGGTATAGACCATTTCCTGGGATCCAGAGAAAGAAAAACCATTCAATCTGGAGTAAGTGGGAAAGGCATCAGGCAGAAGTAAAATTTGAATTGGTTCTTAAAAGACTGGCAGAGTTTGGAGAGGTGACATAAAAGGCATGAATAATAGTGGCTAAAATGGGAAAGCAATAAACATGTTTTGGGACAGATTGACTGGAAAAGGGTTTCCAAGAATGGGAGACAGAAGATGAGATGGGCAGTCGGGGCTCAGATTATCAACAAGCTGTATGTTTACTCTGAGAATCAAATATGAAAATAATCGAGCAGGGCGCAGTGGCTCACACCTGTAATCCCAGCAGTTTGGGAGGCCAAGGTGGGAGGACTGCTTGAGACCAGGAGTTCAAGACCAGTGAGAACCCTTCTCTACAAAAAATTTAGGCTGGGCATAGTGGTTCACACCTGTAATCCCTACACTTTGGGAGGCTGAGGTGGGTGGATCACTTGAGCTCAGGAGTTCAAGACCAGCCTGGGTAACATGGTAAAACCCTTTCTCTACAAAAAATACAAAAAATTAGCTGGCTGTGGTGATGCATACCTGTTGTCCCAGCTACCGGGGAGGCTGAAGTGGGAGGATCACTTGAGCACAGGAGGCAGAGGTTGCAGTGAGCTGAGACTGCACCACTGCACTCCAGCCTGGGCAACAGAGTGCAACCCTGTCTCAAAAATTTTAAAAATTGGCCAGGTGTGGTGGCTCACGCCTGTAATCCCAGCACTTTGGGAGGCCAAAGTGGGCAGATCACTTGAGGTCAGGAGTCTGAGACCAGCCTGGCCAACATGGTGAAACCCCAAAATACAAAAAAAAAAAAAAATTCGCTGGGTGAGGTGGTGCATGCCATGTAATCCTAGCTACTCAGGAGGCTGAGGTGGGAGGATGGCTTGAACCCAGGAGGCAGATGTTGCAGTGAGCCAAGATCACACTTCTGTACTTCAGCCTGGGCAGCAGAGTGAGACTCTGTCTCAAAAAAAATAAAAGAAAAAAAATAAAAAATTAACCAGGCATGGTGGCATGTGCCTGTGGTCCCAGCTACTTGGAAGGGTGAGGCAGGAGGATCGCTTGAGCCCAGAAGTTTGAGGTTACAGTGATCTATGATCACATCACTGCACTGTAGCCTGGGTGACAGTTAGATACCATCTCAAAATAATAATAATAATCTTTTACCCCGTTGAGTTATTTATTGTTGTACACTGCTACCTTAACTACTCACCCAACAAATTAACACAGTCTAAGGAGTTAATCATCTTACATAAACGAAAACTCCATTTGAATATAGCAATTATATTTCTACCTTTCAGTCCAATGCAAATTAAAATAACAACATTGAGCTGGGTGTGGTGGCTCACACCTGTAGTCCCAGCTACTCAGGGGGCTCAGGTGGGAAGATCACCTGAGCCCAGGAGTTCAAGGCTGCAGTGCACCATTATCACATCTATGAAAAGCCACTTCACTCTAGCCTGGGCAACACAGGAAGACTCCACCTCTAAAAAACATAAAAATAAAATAATAACATTGTGGGGATGGTATGCAAAACCAGGATTTGCCAAGGGGAAAAAAGAAAGTGACATTTGCCCAGAACAGTGTTGGTGGGGTAGTTGTTCCCACTAGTATAGGCTACATACACTTACTCCTACCCAATGTGAGAGGAAGATTTCCTCATAGCCATGGAATCTCACTATGTCCCTAGGGCTCTGGGTACAGGCAGTCTCTGAAATGGGTCATCTGGATCTTTAGAAAGACTGATTTCAGTGTTTGCCTATCTGGTCTTGAAACACGTCGTCTCATGCAACAGATTCTTGGATATTGATTACGCGCATTCAGCTCTCACTATACTCTCTATAAATTCAATGTGCAGCACACTCCAGAAGACCAAAGGAAACCACAAAGGGATCAGTAGACTTTCAAGGGCTAGTAACTCGCATGCCTGTTTTGAAAATAATCTGGCCTAAAGTTTTTTTGTTTTTGTTTTTTAAATATGGTCTTAGTCTGTTCCCCAGGCTGGAGTGCGGTGGTGCAATCACAGCTCACTGCAGCCTCAATCTTCAAGGCTCAGGCAATTCTGCCACCTCAACCTCCTGAGTAGCTGGGACTACAAGCGCATGCCACCACGGCCGGCTAATTTTTAAAATTTTTTTTGTAGAGATGAGGTCTCACTATGTTACCCAGGGTGGTCTTGAACTTCTGTGCTCAAGCGATCCTACCACCTCACCCTCCCAAAGTGTTGGGATTACAGGCGTGAGCCACACCACTCTTGGCTCTAAAGTTAATTTTTAAAGAGTAGCTATGAAAGATTCTCTGACATTCCATTTATAATTTTTGCAAATGTCCCCTCCTGCCCCTCTTGATTTGTCCTCCCCACCTCCATGCAATCCCTGCTTAAAGGTTCTTCTGAATTCCAGGGTGGGAATACAGAACTATGTTGCTACCTTACCATCCTAGCAGCCCACACTAAATACAGCAAGTAGCCCATTTTTCCCCCGCCACAGTTCTCATGCTTCCAGGCTTGCAGAACTCTACAGGCTGGTCCCAAAGAAACAGAATTTCTAAGCTATGTTATCCACAGGATGAAATCAAATTCCCCTGATGAATAAAGGGAGCCGCTTTTAGCCAAAGTACTTCCTTAAGCTTTATCCTTAGCAGCTTTCTACCAGGTAACTATGGAATTCTAATTAAGCTATCTGATCAAAGTATAAGGCAAATATAAACAAAGACAAAATCAAAAGCTAAGAAGTCTTTCTCACTGATTTAGCATAATTTCTGGATTACCTATATTAAGAAAAACAACAACAAAAACCAAGATTCTGATAAGCTGTAAAAATATTCTACGTCAAAGGGAATACAAAACCAAGGCAAATTCGAAATTGGAGGCACTCCAATAAGCCTAGGTATCACAGCATAATTACCATTACCACAGTGAGCTGAGATTCTTACCAAGTCAAGATACAAAAAAACAGCCGAGTCTTACCTTTGAAATTTCCTGGCATTAAGACCAATTTTACATTGATTTTCAAAAGGGTAAGTAAAACCTATAAAATTATTCCAGCAGTTGCTTCTAAGCAGTTATACTCTACTAATTTTTTTTTAAAACTTCTCACTAGGAAAAAAGTTCTTTTTGAAAGAACATTCTCTATATAAATGTCCCTGACGCAAGAAGAGTGGAGGCTGCGTCCAGCCAAATGTGCCTTGCCAACAAAGGACAGTGCTGAAGAAACAGGCATTTCTGTCAATGGGGAAAAATGGGTCAGCTTATTTTCGAGTCCAACAGTAAGGCTTACTATTTCCTGATGGCATGTTAGGATGACATGAGGATTTCAGCTCATTATTTCTAATTATTCTTCACTACTCACTTGCATTATTCTGTAAACTGCCAGTCCCAAAACAGGCTATCGCAAGTAATAAAAGTTATACCACATGTATATCCTTTTAAAAAGGATGGTTGGCTTTTATTTTATCTAATGCACCTGTACTGAAGCTAAGGCCAACCTAAGAAGCTAAGAAAAAGGGCCGGTGGCTCACACCTGTAATCCCAGCACTTTGGGAGGCAGAGGCGGGCGGATCACGAGGTCAGGAGATGGAGACCATCCTGGCTAACATGGTGAAACCCCGTCTCTACTAAAAATAAAAAAATTAGCCGGTCATAGTGGTGGGCGCCTGTAGTCCCAGCTACTCGGGAGGCTGAGACAGGAGAATGGCGTGAACCCGGGAGGCGGAGCTTGCAGTGAGCCGAGTTCGCGCCACTGCTGGACAGAGCGAGACTCCGTCTCAAAAAACAAACAAACAAACAAACAAACAAAAAAAGAAGCTAAGAAACAGAATGAATGGGGGCCGGGTGCGGTGGCTCACGCCTGTAATCCCAGCACTCTGGGAGGCCGAGGCGGGCGGATCACGAGGTCAGGAGATCGAGACCATCCTGGCTAACACGGTGAAATCCCGTCTCTACCAAAAATACAAAAATAAAATCAGCCGAGCGTGGTGGCGGGCGCCTGTAGTCCCAGCCACTCGGGAGGCTGAGGCAGGAGAATGGCGTGAACCTGGGAGGCAGAGCTTGCAGTGAGCCGAGATCGTGCCACTGCACTCCAGCCTGGCGACAGAACGAGACTCCGTCTCAAAAACAAACAAAATTTATTATAACATATTTCTTATTATTAATATTTTTTATTAAGAAAAAAGATTCTTTTTTTTAGACAGGGTCTCACTCTATCACCCAGGTTGGAGCCCAGTATGATATAATCACAACTCACTGCAGCCTCAACCTCCCCAGGATCAAGTGATCCTCTCACCTCAGCCGCCAGAGTAGCTGGGACTACAGGCATGTGCCATCGCGCCTGGCTAACTTCTGTATTTTTTGTAGAGATGGGGTTTTACCATGGTGCCCAGGCTAGTCTCGAACTCCTGGGCTCATGTGATCCGCCTACCTCAGCCTCCCAAAGTGCTGGGATTGCAGGTGTCACCTACTGCACCCAGCCAAAATATTATTTCTTATTCAAATATTTATCATCTGTATTTGAAAGCAGTGTTTTGGATTCCTGCTTTGAGACTAAGGAGATATAAAAGCCATTGGCTTTTATTTTATCTACTGCATCTGTACTGAAGCTAAGGCTAAGAAGCTAAGAAACAGAACGAATGGAACCAAGGAAAATACTAAATACAAAGTGGAGCTTCTGTTCTATTTCTGGACTTGGGTAGTGGTTATATTGGTATTCACTTTATAGTTGTTCAAATCGTACATACTTTATACACTTTTCTATACAATCTCCCCCTTCTACACTAGGCCCCTGCCTGGGGTCATGTCAAACAGGTGACTCTAATCCTGGCTGCATAGCAAGAGAGAAGAAATGCAGAGAAGCAGTGCCCTGGGGAGCCCTGGATGGAACTGGCAGGTTTTAAGACTCAACAGGTGGCATGTCAGACCTTTCAGCCTCAAGAGAGCAAGTCCAATTTGATCTGTTTCTGTTTATTTTTATGAGACAGGGTCTCACTCTGTCACCCACGCTGGAGTACAGTGGCACAATCATGGCTCACTGTAGCCTTGATCTCCTGGGCTCAAGCAATCCTCCCACCAAGCCTCCCAAGTAGCTGGGCCACCATGCCCGCCTAATTTTTTTAATTTTTATTTTTTGTAAAGACAGGATCTCACTATGTAGCCTAGGCTGGTGTAGAACTCCTGGGCTCAAGCAATCCTCTTGCCTTGGCCTCCCAAAGTGCTGGAGTCACAGGTGTGAGCCACCTTACCTAGCTTTTGATCTGTTTTGTATGTTGGTGTCCCACGTTAAAAAAAAAAAAAAATGTGGCCAGGCACGGTGGCTCACGCCTGTAATCCCAGCACTTTGGGAGGCTGAGACAGGTGGATCACAAGGTCAGGAGTTCAAGACCAGCCTGGCCAAGATGGTGAAACCCCATCTCTACTAAAAACACAAAATTAGCTGGGCACAGTGGCTCACGCCTGTAATCCCAGCACTTTGGGAGGCTGAGGTGGGCGGATCATGTGAGGTTAGGGGTTCAAGAACAGCCTGGCCAACATGGTGAAACCTCGTCTCTACTAAAAATACAAAAAAATTAGCCAGGCATGGTGGCATGTGCCTGTAGTCCCAGCTACTTAGGAAGCTGAGGCACCAGAATCGTTTGAACCTGGGAGGTGGAGGTTGCAGTGAGCTGAGATCGCGCCATTGCACTCCAGCCTGGGTGACAGAGTAAGACTCTGTCTTGGGGGGGGGGGGTGGAATACAAAAATTAGCTGGGCGCGGTGGCAGGCGCCTGTAGTCCCAACTACTCGGGAGGCTGAGGCAGGAGAGTCTCTTGAACCCCGGCGGCAGAGGTGGCAGTGAGCCAAGATCGCGCCACTGCACTCCAGCCTAGGTGACAGAATGAGACTCCATCTATTAAAAAAAAAAAAAAAAAAAGTTTAAGTTCTACTTTTAGTGGAGATGAGGTTTCACAGTCTTGGCCAGGCTGGCCTCGATCTCCTGATCCACCCGCCTCAGCCTCCCAAAGTGCTGAGATTATAGGCGTGAGCCACCACGCCCAACCTACAGTGTTTTCTTTTTGTTTGTTTTTGTTTTTAAGAAGTTCAAAAAACTTCATGGTTCAAAAACCCATTTAATGCTCAGACATTTGGTGTTCTAATTTCCAAGCTAGGCCAGGAGACAAGAATCAGAAAGAGCCTTGTAATCTGTCTCCTAAACCTTTTCTTCTCCTCCTCTCATTTGGTAAGCCTATCCAGATTAGTAACTACTGAGACAGAGAGAAATGAAATAACTCAGCTAGATAGACAGGAACCCCAGTCCAGAACCCAGGTCTCCTGACACCACCCCCAGCTCTCGTCCCTCCACTCCCCCGCACTGCCCTGGCTGGAGAACAGGAACGCGGAGCATAGGCACATATGGTGGGAGACGCTGGGGGCAAGTCTGTGGAGGGTCCTGACACGCTAAAGACAGTCTGGACTTCATCCTCTGAGGAACCACAGGCTTCTGAGCAAGAATGGCTTGGTCAGGACCGGGCTGGAGAAGGGAATTCCGAGAGCAATCTGAGCCCTCTCCCCCGCCACCTCTGTCCTGCTGTTTCACTCTCATCCACTGGATAAACGCTTCCCATGTAAAGGCCAACTCCAACCTGGTCATAATAAGCATCAGGAAAAACAACTGCTTTACGATGGAATCATGGAAATGCTGACACAGTGGTGGTGTGAGATGCTCCTTTGAAAGGCCTTGTCAGGCCCAGTCTTTGTAATTTCATGGTGGCTCACAGGAAGCGCCTGGGAGCCAGATGCTTTCTGCCTGTGCTCAAGGCCATAATTTCCTTCCCATACTTAAACTGATGACCCTGTGTCTCGCTGACAGAAGATTAGCCAAAGGAACAGGGCAGATAAAGAAGAAGCAAAATCTGAGGAAAACTGGCTGATTTGAAAAAAAATTCCTAAGATTCTTCTTGAGATGAACAACTAAGAAAACTTCCAGATGAACATGATCTGCTGTCTCTGAATGAAAGCCACTGGAAGGCAGGCCAAGCTGGGAATGCTGGCAGCCAGCTCCCTCACGTCACAGATGCGGAAGCTGAAGGGGAGAGGGGAAGGCAGTCCCAGAAACTGCTGTCAGAGCTGTCTGTGCCCTAAGAAAGGCTTTGCGCCCACTTCCCACCCCCATCCCAGTGCTGTCTCTCCACACTCTGCAGAGATGATCACATTAATCAAGACCCTAGAGTCAAAGTGACTGGGAAGGGGACAAAAAAGAATGACATCCAGCCAGTCCCATTTATTAAAGCAATAATCTCCACCCCTCACTAAATGTATACTTCTATAAAATTCTGCTTGTATGTTCTATATGGCACCTAGCCACCACTCAACACTTCAAGATATATTTCAGAGAAAAAAAAAAAGGCGAATTTCAAACTATAAGTAACATATCCTGTTGGGGAGCCCAAAAATAACTAAGAAAACATTTGTGATCATACAAGGAACTGAATAAGTGCATTTTCTATAAAGTGCTAGCTTCATGATTTTCCTTTAGATAAGAGACCAAAATAGTAGTTTGTTCTTCCTTATCAATCGTCATTCCTTAGAAAGTGCTTGGCCAGTAATATCAGGAAGATCAACGAGTCATCTCTTATCACTGGTTTAGCCCTCGGACTTAAGAAGGAAATCAGGTCTGGCCTACTCTTCCATGACAGCTGTCCTAATTGCTAGAGGAAGTCACCTTGACCTCATATATTTGGCTGCTATTCAGAATACCATGTCTCTTGGTCCAAATTATCAAAAGCATACATTAGGTAACAACATACCTTTCTCAGTTACATATGCACAGAATGCCCAAGATAAACCCACTGAGTGGTTCCCTCCGTGGCCTCACCTCCCACTCCCTGGCTCTGAATGGCCCTGGGAAGAGCACAGAGCAGCTACTTTCTTTTGAATCGTCTTAAAATCAATGCACAACAACGTACATCACCATTATAAAAACCCTGTCAGCAGACCGACTCTGACTCCCACGGCATTTACTATGTTAAAATCTTATGGGAAACTTGTACCATAGCTAATATGATTACTGTGTGCAGAATGAAGAGAGGGTTTGGGGATGAGTAGGTGTCTCAACCCAGTTCCTTCACTATTGCATGTGTCTCCCCAATGCCGCAGACCACTCCCCGGCCCCTGAATCCATCTGTGATTTCTGCTTTCTGCTCAGAAAACCCACTGTCAAGGCCTTAACTTAAGAGAGCCTGTCAGAGCCTTAGCTTTGCCATCTCTAACACCACGATCCCTTCTGGCTATTACCGCTCCTCAAGGGTACAGGTGTGGGCACAGAAACATATATAATCTGTTCATACCAAAATGCGATATCATACACACCAACCCTTTAGTTTTCTTCACTGAGGACATCATAGATTGCATTCAGATAAAGAGCCCTTTTTGCCCAGTGAAGAATCATATACAATAGAATAAGGTGGCATTTTTCTTGCTGTGTATGTTGGGGGGAGTTTTGTGATAACTTGTTGTTCCTTGAATGTAAATATTCCTCTACTGTCTTATTTAAAACATTAGAGGGGGCCGTGGCGATTAAAATATATGTGTCATGGCTTGTCAAGCCTCATGACTACCTGAGTTCAAAAAACAGGCTGCTCAACTCCATTTTCCTTACTGACTGTAACAGAAAGCTAAGCTCAGCCAGTTGAATCATGAGAGCTAAAAGCCAAGCAAGGTACAGCTAGGCTCAAAAGCTGTATGTCCACATTCCATACCAGTAAGGCAGCCGGGAGCAGATGGCACAGACCAGGCTACAATGTGTTCAATATGGCCTTCTCACACCCCTTTCTCCGCTCCCCTAACCCAAACCTGCATTCCTACAGGCACAAACCCCACTCCATAGTAGAATACAGTAAGGCCAGTGTTGTCTGGAGTCACAAAGTTTTATATATGATTGCTTCTAATTAAAGATCATTTGATTTTAAGAACTTAATAAAAAGGCCATAAACCTGTATCATTCCATAAGAATGCCAAGAATGCTAAGTACCCAACTAATATTCTTCCAGAGTGACTTTTATTAAAGGCTGCCTCTACTACTTTGCCAACTAACATGTCAGGTGGCAGAAACATTCCCACCTATCACAGGCTACTCAACTTTAAAAAGCAAAGGTAAGTGAAAAGGCCTTCTTTAAGTAATCAAATCAGCTCAAATTCCTCCAGCAAAAAATCCTAGTACAAACAGACTCAAAAATGGCAAAATCAAAGTTTAAAAAGCCACTTACAGTGCCAACAAGTGATTCAGAAGAATTCTGAGAAAGGTAATATTAACATTTTAGTGGTAGAACACTTGGAGAGGAGCCAGGAAGCCTAGACTCTCTCCTGGCTAGGTCATTAAATCTTGCAGGGGGAGGGAAAGCATACACAGATAAAAACTAGTTAAATGGCATCTCACAGCCAAGCTATCTTGACAGCTCTCATCTGTCAGCAGGATCACTGGACAATGATGTTCTTCAAGGAGACAGGTAAGTCTCTAGGGGCTAATGATAACCTAAGTGCATGCAAGTATAATCAGAATGATAACAATCAATGCCTACCCTTGGAATGGGCACTCAAATTCAACAGCTGAGAAAGCCAACGTATCTGCTGCCAGGGAATCTAGATCGCCTGGATCCCCACAGCCTTACGCGTTCTTCACATGTATACTCTTGCTCTCCTAGAGCAGCAAGTTATCTTTTAAAGAACAGATTTGATCATTTTTTTTGTGTGAGACAGAGTCTAAGCTCTGTCACCCAGGCTGGAGTGCAGTGGCGCGATCTCGGCTCACTGCAACCTCTGCCTCCCGGGTTCAAGTGATTCTCCTGCTCCAGCCTTCCAAGTAGCTGGAACTACAGGCACGCGTCACCATGCCTAGCTAATTTTTGTATTTTTAGTGGAGATGGGGTGTCACCATGTTGGCCAGGCTGGTCTCGAACTCCTGACCTCAAGTGATCCACCTGCCTCGGCCTCCCGAAGTGCTGGGATTACAGGGGTGAGCCACTATGCCTGGCCTGCTCTTATATTAAACCCTCAAATTCTTATTCCCTATGTGATCTCATCTCCACCATTCTGCCTTTTTCTCACTAGCCACTGTAGCCTTCCTTGGGTTCCCTGGATGCCCTCATTTATTTATTCTCATTCGCCCATTCAATCATTCAATGAAAATTACTGAGCAAGCACCTACTACTGTGCCAGGCACTGTACTAGGCATGTGGATACAGCAATGAACAAAAGAGACAAAGATGCCTGCCTCATGGAACTTAAATTCTAGCAGAGGGAAACAGACAATTACAAAGCAAACTTAGGAGGGAAATAGAATGGGGAGAAAGCCCCGGCACGTGGTAGAGGAGTATGCACAGAGCTGAAAGGGATGGCCAGAGCAGGTCCCACTGAGCAGGAGGCGTGGGAGCAGCCATGAGGGAGGCAAGGGAGTTAAGAATCTGGGCATCTGGGGGACAGCATTCCAGGCAGCTGAACAGCAACTGCAAGGGCCCTAAGGCCGAGGAATGTTTTTTTTTTCTTTAATTTCTATTTCTCATTAAATTGTTAACTCCAAAAAGATGGGGATTTAATGTCTTATCTATTCTGCTCCTCATGTGACCTCAGCACCACACACACTGCTGGCTCAATAAATACCTCCTAAATGGAATTAATGAATTAGTGTCCAAAGAAAAAACCAAAAACCTGTCCACAAGTAATTTAAGTATTACCTCAAGTTATCAAGGCCCTGCAGAACTTGTTGCACAGGTTTCAAATTGGCTAATAAAGGCTGGGCATGGTGGCTCACGCCTGTAATCCCAACAGTTTGGGAGGCCAAGGTGGGCGGATCACTTGAGGCCACGAGTTCGAGACCAGCCTGGCCAACAGGGCAAAACTCCGTCTCTACTACAAATACAAAAATTACCCAGGTGTGGTGGCACATGCCTGTAATTCCAGCTACTTGGGAGGCTGAGGCAGAGAATCACTTAAACCTGGGAGGAGGAGGCTGCAGTGAGCCGAGATTGCACCACTGCACTCCAACTTGGGTGACAGAGTGAGACTCCATCTCAAAAAAAAAAAAAAAAACCCAAAAAACAAAAAACAAATTTATGAATAAAGTTTATGATCAAAGTGAATTTAATGCCACTTCAAGGAAGATCCTAACAATACCATGATGAGTCTAACTTATCAAGGCATTATCCCAGAGAAGTAAAAGCATAAAAAAGAGAGAACTAAGACCTTTTCAAGAGCATAAGGTAATCAACAAATTCAATTTATATAGAAAAATCAACAGAAAATCAGAATTCATTATTTATTCCAATTACTTGCCCCAAGCCATTGACAGGTACATCAGTTAAAAGCTTGTTTTGAATGAACTGTTTATCTCCAACTCCACTACCATAGCCTCAGTTCTTAAGACAGAAACAATTCATTCAAGACAACTTTGTCTTGAATGTACAGGTTTTTACCACAGTCCTCAAGCCCTTAAAGCTTGAGCTATCATAAGAGTTTCCTCATTGGTCTATCCCAGCTCAAATCACTGTGTAAAGTGCTATGGGTTAATCTTCTTCTTTTTTTTTTTGTTTTTGTTTTTGTTTTTGTTTTTTTTTGTACAGGGTCTCACTCTGTCACCCAGGCTGGAGTGTAGTGGCGCGATTATGGCTCACCACAGCCTCAACCTCCCAGGCTCAAGCGATCCTCCCGCTGCAGTTACCTGAGTAGCTGGGACTAGATGTGTGGGTGTGCTACCATGCCCGGCTAATTTTTGTATTTTTTTTGTAGAGACAAGGTTTCACCATGTTGGCCAGGCTGGTCTGGAACTCCTGGGCTCAAATGATTGCCAGCCTCAGCCTCCCAAAATGTTGGGATTACAGGCGTGAGCTACCACACCCAACATGGGTTAATTGTAAGACAGCTTTTACTACCACAATCTCAATCCAATTTGAACCCAACCTTATTTTCTACCTTCATTTCTAGCTATCCTTCAAAAAGAACTCTATGGTCCAGCTAAGCTATTCTCTGAACATGCCATGAGCATTCCTGCCTCCACACCACCACTCTGGCTATCCCCTTATCTGGAATGCCACTGTGCCTCTTCTCCACCTCTCTGAATGTTATCAGTGTAAAATAATGCCTTCTCTGCCCATCTCCGTTATGAGAAATGCATCACCCAAGCAATTACAGCATTCATTTGGTCAAACGCGCCCTTCTACATTCTCCTCCGTATCAGCAGAACTGAAAGCCTGCACACTACATTTCCCAGACTCCTTTGCCAGCTGGCTTCCACAGTTAGGTTTTCAAAGGCTGGAGATTGGTTGGCAAGTGGAAGGATAACACCACTTTTTTCCTGTTACTGCTCTGTCTTGGGGAGCAGCAGCAGCAGGAGCAGTGAACAACTATGGAAGAATGCAGGCAACTACACACACCGCAGGTTCCAGCACATCAGCGCAGTTTTGGCTTCTGGGTTCCTGGTGAACTGCAGCAATACAGCTCCAACAGCAGCAGCAGCAGCAGCAGCAGCAGCAGCAGCAGCTCATCTGTGCATGGAGGCTCCTGGGTTCTAGCCCACAGGCAGCTTTCTCATCTCTGGATAACAACCCTCTTCTGCATTTTGCTCCTCCCAAGCCTTTCCAGCACCTTTGTAATAAATCCCTTGCATTTAAGTCCCTTCCTGCTGGAACTATCTAGAGTGGTTTCTACTTTCCTGATTGGACAATAACTGATACAATAACAGAGAATGAGGAAATAAAAACAGCAATATTAACTAAGATGGAAAATGAAATATAAAATGACAAAGGAATGAGGACTAGCAATTTTAAAAAATATCCCAGAAAATGAAATTCCAGAAAATTTCTCCCTAGGTATATTCCAATTAATTTTTGAGTTCTAAAAATGAAGATGCTAGTTGGCTGTGTATTTAGTTGTTTTTCTTTTTAATTTTTTAGGAAAGTCAATAAGTATATTTTTTTGACTAAATCGAGTTTTTGTGGAATTGGGAGAATCCTTCCTTTATGTTTCCTCAGAACCTTACACACAGAGGGCACTTCTTTTTGTTTTTTTTTTTTTTTGAGACGGAGTCTCGCATTGTAGCCAGGCTGGAGTGCAGTGGCGCGATCTCGGCTCACTTCAACCTCTGCCTCCCAGGTTCAAGTGATTCTCCTGGCTCAGCCTCCCAAGTAGCTGGGATTACAGGCATGCGCCACCATGCCCGGCTAATTTTTGTATTTTTAGTAGAGACAGGGTTTCACCATGTTAGCCGAACTCCTGACCTCAGGTGATCCACCTACCTCGGCCTCCAAAAGTAGGCACTTCTTAGGTAACGTATCTGCCTGGTGACTGGTATAAGGCTTTGGAATTCACAGATTGGGAATGAAAACCATGTAAATGGTCACTCTAATTCTAAAAAGCAACTTGAAAACAAATCTCATCCAAAGCACTCAGCAAAGGATTCCAAAGCCCTTTCAGCCCTGAAATGTAGCCACTGGTGAGGGAAGGTGGAAGAAGTTCAACTGACACATGGGGCAGAGATTTTTGCCTCTTCCTTGTCAAAGCTCCCCTTGACCCTGTAAAGGCTGTTTCTAAGTTTCTGTAGGGCCTCTTTTTTTTTTTTTTTGGTTAAAGATCTAGCCTGAAAATCCCATTACAAAAACTGCCTAGAACACAGTTTACCTTTCTTGGAAAGATGAAGAACCAAGTTAATCCAGAATACACTCAAATCCCCTGGCTCTTGAAAGTCTCAGTTTTCAACCTGCTTGGAGATTGTTTAGACAAATCTCTAAGTCTTAACTAAAATTCATTTTCAGGTATTATATTAAGCCAAGATAAATAGAAAGTGTTGGAGGTCGTAAAAAAAAAAAAAAAGACAAAATAAACCCACTACCTTCAAGGGTTAACAACTACTAAAACTATACTTATGGCCCTTCATCACTGCATTTGCTAACCCAGCTTTCCATTAACAAAAAATGCCTCATGAAATGGACACCTTGGAGAAAATAAGTGCACCCCAATAAGTGCACAAAGCAGCTTGACTCTTGCTGATTTCCAGGATGACTGATGAAAATGGGCCATCAGTTGTTGTCATTTTCATACTTCCTTTGACAACATGCTGAAGGCTGGGCGCGATGGCTCACGCCTGTAACCCCAGCACTTTGGGAGGCTGAGGCGGGTGGATTGTTTGAGTTTAGGAGTTCAAGACCAGTCTGGCAACATGGCAAAACCCTATCTCTACCAAAAAAAAAAAAAAAAAAATTAGCCAGGTGTGGTGGCATGCGCTTGTAGTCCCAGCTACTTGGGAGGCTGAGGTGGGAGGATCCCTTGAGCCTGGGAGGCGGAGGTTGCAGTGAGCTAAGATCGCGCCAATGCACTCCAGACTGAGTGACAGAACAAGAAGCTGTCTCAAAAGAAAGAAAGAAAAAAAGACAACATGCCCAGTAGATAAATGCTTGAACATTTTTAGCTGGTCCATTATTACTTCTAAAAACCTTACCATAGGAAATCATGCCCTACAATCCATATTAAGCATTTCTCACAGTAACCCAACAGAGCAGCTACTATTATAATCCCCATTTTACAGATGAGAAAACAGGCTTGCAGAGGTCAAGAGACTCGTTCAAGATCACCCGGCTTAGTATGGCCCCAGCTGCCTGCCTCTGAGGCCCACACACGTGGCTTAACCCCAATACTGCACTGCTGCAAAGCCAGAATGGACAAAAACAGCTGCTGCACAGCGTGAGCTTTCTGGAGAAAACAGAAGCTACAACTGCTCTAATCCACTTGCTCTTTTACCAAAGCTCTCCACTGTGAGGGAAACAGTCTCTTATGTACCTAGATGCAAAACTTCATAATATATTTCCCACAATATTTTGTATATGTACCTTATGCTGCTCAAAGTACTATTACAAAACTTGCCTTCTTAGCTTTTATTTGAGACAGGGACTTGCTGTTGCCCAGGTTGGAGTGCAGGTGCAGTGGCGCAATAACCACTCACTGCAGCCTTGACCTCCCGGGCTCCGGTGATACACCTCAGCTGGGACTACAGGTGCACACCATCACGCCTGGCTAATTTTTTGTAGAAACAGGGTTTCACCATGTTGCCTAGGCTGGTCTGAACTCCTGAGTTCAAGTGATCCTCCCACCTAGGCCTCCCAAAGTGCTTGGGATTACAGGTGTGAGCCACTGTGCTGGGCTTCCTTATAGCTTTTTTTTTGAGACGGGGTTTCATTCTTGTCACCGAGGATGGAGTGCAGTGGCGCGATCTTGGCTCACTGAAACCTCTGCTTCCTGGGTTTAAGCGATTCTCCTGCCTCAGCCTCCCGAGTAGCTGGGACTACAGGCATGTGCCACTAAGCCCAGCCAATTACGTATTTTTAGTAGAGATGGGGTTTCACCATGTTGGCCAGGCTGGTCTCAAACTCTTGACCTCAGGAGATCCGCCTGCCTCAGCCTCCCAAAGTGCTGGGATTACAGGCATGAGCCACCGCACCTGGCCTTCCTCACAGATTTTTAAATCCACCCGGGAAGGGTAAGTATTCTCTTCATTTCACAGACAAGGGCATTGGGACCTGGAGACTAAATTATTTGCCCAAAGTCAGAGGATTCAATATGCTCTCTCCTCAATAGGATTACTGATATCACCCAAGCCTCACAGAAGAACAGAATTTCTGCCAGAGTTAACCATAAAGACCATTTCTAATTGATGGGAAATGGTCGCCTTTCAACTTCAGTAACTTGCAATTAAGGATATCATTTTACTTGCCTGAGCATTAAATTGTGAGAAAACACCAACGTGCACTTTTCTTAATTTCCCAAACCATAGAAGGGATAAGATGCTATAAGATTTTGCCCGGCTGGGCGCGGTGGCTCACGCCTGTAATCCCAGCACTTTGGGAGGCCGAGGCGGGTGGATCACGAGGTCAGGAGATCGAAGACTATCCTGGCTAACACGGTGAAACCCCGCCTCTACTAACAATACAAAAAAATTAGCCGGGCGTGGTGGTGAGCGCCTGTAGTCCCAGCTACTCGGGAGGCTGAAGCAGGAGAATGGCGTGAACCCGGGAGGTGGAGCTTGCAGTGAGCCGAGATCGCGCCACTGGACTCCAGCCTGGGTGACAGAGCGAGACTCCGTCTCAAAAAAAAAAAAAAAAGATTTTGCCCTTAAATTTCAGCTTTTTTCCCCCTCATCCAATTGCAAAAATTCATTTCTATTTACACAGAAAGTATACCTTTAAAAAAAAGTTACCAAAAAAATATGAAGCTCACTATTCTGGAAATACTCTTTCAAGGCTTCAGGAAAAGTACCTTTCCTACCAACTAGCAGTATTCACATAAATCCTAAGGGTCTGGCCCTCCTATAAGGATGATGATAAGTTAAATACTATGGGAAGAAAATCAGTCTCAAATTTAAAGGAATTAAAATGCCTGTAGTAAAAATCAGTGAGTAGGTGAAAATCTAGAAAATCTCTCTCTATTATCTCAATCTCAAGGACCATTACAAAACGGCAGAGTAAGACATGACATAGGAGACAGCAGAAAAAGATACATGGCTTTCCTTTCACTAAAAGTATGGCCGGGCGTGGTGGCTTGCACCTGTAATCCCAGCATTTTGGGAGGCTGAGGCGGGCAGATCACCTGAGGTCAGGAGTTCTAGACCAGCCTGGTCAACATGGTGAAATCCCATCTCCAATAAAAATACAAAAATTAGCTGGGTGTGGTGGCACATACCTGTAGTCCCAGCTACTCGAGAGGCTGAGGCAGGAGAATCGCTTGAACCCAGGAGGCAGAGGTTACAGTGAGCAGAGATCGTGCCACTGCACTCCAGCCTGGGCAACAGAGCGACTCCGTCTCCAAAAAAAAAAAAAAAAAAACCAAAAAACAGGATAGAGTGTAAACCAAAGTCAATTACATCTAAAGTTTTTCAAAGGAAAAAATAAAAACTGCTCCAAGGAATGAGTCATAAAGTGATATTTATAAATCAAGAATATCTTAGAAATTTCACATCATTGATCCACTCTCAAAAACTAACCTCAAGGTAAGAATCTCACTTCATCAAGTTATTTTTTCTAAGTTCACCAGATCTAAAGAAAGCTTGACTTTGTCCATGAGCTTCCAAGTAGTGTGGAAAATAATTTTCCTTGAAATCCACAGGCAAGGGATTGCATCCTAATTGCATCATTTGCTCTTTGTTTTGAGGATACTGGAGATAATTCTAAGGACAAGGGAGAGAGTTGTGCTTAAAAATACTCAGCCTAATCACAAAATGGAACCACTTCAAGAACAACTGCACCCTGAATTTATGGTAAAAAAAAATCCCAAATCAGTAGAGAAGTTTGGTTTTTCCCTGACAAGCAGCCTTCACCAATATAAAGTTGTATTTAAGAATAATGGCAGAGACAGTTTGAAATCTTAAAAAAAAAAAAAAAAAAAGAGAAAGAACGAACGAACGAACTTATGTTAAGGCAGAAACAAAATATCCAAAATATCCATAAATAAATGGACTTCCCCCCCAATACATTTTTCACTGGTGAAGATGATATTACAAACCTACATCCCAATCTAGCTAAAGGATCACTTATTGAAAGATTTAAGTCCCCAAATCTACCTAAACCCTGGGATCATTAGTTCATACTCCTATTGGTACAATTCAATTTTAAACTTTTAAAAAACCTAAGTCAAAACCAAGGGGGGCAAAACCAAGGGGGGAGAGAAGTATTCATAATAAACAAGGTAAGTGTGTTTTATAATCTTTAAAGTGCTTTCTCATTTGATCCTCAAAACAATCCCAAGCAGAAGTTGGTGCCCATTCTTCAGATGACAGAATCACAGCATTTTAAGGCTAGAAAGGACTAACTTCCCACCCAATGCTTCCCACTAGAAAAGAAGGGGTCTTGTCTGGTGGCAACCTACTATATTCCCAGGACCTAGAGTAGTACCTGGTATACGGTAGATGCTCATCAACATCACCTCTATTATATGTTCAAAAAGTCCAACCCGAACAGTTTTTGAAGGTGTTAACTCCAGTCCAGAAGTGATATGACCTGGCCAAGACCTTATGGCTGGCTACCTGTTCCCCACACTCCTGCTTCCTAACTCAGGGCAGGCTCCTCCCCCTATTCAGGTTGTCAGTGAAACTCTAAGGGTTTCCCAAGCTCCCCCGCAGAATTCACTGGTATCTGAAAATTTTAATTTATAGCCTTCTCCCTTACACAGGTGTTTGTTTCCTTCATATGTATCACTCTTCACTTAGTTCCACAACCCTTTATTTAGCACCTACCATGTGCAAAGGACCATGACGGTGAAGGATCCGAAGATGAGAGTCAGTGCTCTCCAGGGAGTTATAAGCTGATGAGAACTCTAAAAGGCAACACCAGGAAGCTCTGATGCATGGAGAACTGGACTTACAAATGTTGGGAGAAGAGATACTCTAGGCAGAGGGACCTCATGAACATACAAAGCCTGAACACAGTGTTCAGGAAAAAGCAAGTGGTCCGGCCTGATTGCAAGGTACAGTGCAGAGACGCCCCAACTCAGAATCAACCTATGGAAAGAACTATGAGGACAAGCAGCTAACAATTATTTAGGTGGTTTCTTACTTCTTACTTCCTCCTGATACCACTTTCCTTTATACTTGTCCCACCTACTCCTGGCAGAAAAAAAAAAAAAAAAAGCAGCCAACAAAAACTTCTGAATATTCTCCCTGTATCTTCATTACATACTTCGTACTTTAGAAAATTGCTCTCAGTAATATCTTATTATAATGGACAATTTCAGGATCAAAGGTACCAACTGTGGCTCCATACCCACCCAACAGGTCCATTAACCAATTTTTTTTTTTTTTTTTTTTTGAGACAGGGTTTCACTGTTACCCAGGCTGGAGTACAGTGGCGTGATCATGGCTCACTACAGCCTAGACTTCCCTCCAGTGATCCTCCCACCTCAACCTCCCAAGTAGCTAGGACTACAGGTGTGTGCCAGCACACCTGGCTTTTTTTTTTTCTTTTTTTTTTTTTTGAGACAAAGTCTCGCTCTGTCGCCCAGGCTAGGTGCAGTGGTGCGATCTCGGCTCACTGCAACCTTTGCCTCCCGGGTTCAAGTGATTCTCCTACCTCAGTCTCCCAAGTAGCTTGGATTACAACAGGCATGCCACCAGGCCTGGCTAATTTTTCTTTTTTTTTTTTTTTTTTTTTTTTAGTAGAGACAGGGTTTCACTACGTTGGCCAGGCTGGTCTCGAACTCCTGACCTCAGTGATCTGCCTGCCTCGGCCTTCCAAAGTGCTGGGATTACGGTTGTGAGTCACTGTGCCCGGCCAACACCTGGCTAATTTTTGTATTTTCGGTAAAGACAGGATTTCATCACGTTGCCCAGGCTGGTCTCGAACTCCTGAACTCAAGCAATCTGCCTGCCTCGGCTTCCCAAAGTGGTGGGATTAAGGCGTGAGCCATCGCGCCTGGCCAGTTAACCAATTCTTAATCTTTTGGCAGTTAAGAATCCCTTTGACAATCTGATAAAAACTTGAACACTTTCTCCCAGAAAATAGAATGGACTTACACAAAAAATTCAGGAACCCTGGATTAAGAACCTTTGCCCTGGCCGGGCACAGTGGCTCATGCCTGTAATCCCAGCACTTTGGGAGGCTCAGGCGGGCAGATCACGATGTCAAGAGATTGAGACCATCCTGGCCAACATGGTGAAACTCCGTCTCTACTGAAAATACAAAAATTAGCTGGGCATGGTGGTGCTAGCCTGTAGTCCCAGCTACTTGGGAGGCTGAGGAAGGAGAATCGCTTGAACCCGGGAGGCGGAGGTTGCAGTGAGCCGAGATTGCACCACTGCACTCCAGCCTGGTTACAGAGCGAGACTCCATCTAAAAAAAAAAAACAAAAAAAAAAAACTTGCCCTAGCAAAAAGCCTAAGAAAAGTGGCCAAAAATGAGAGATTGAGCCACTGTTTCTAACTAGGAATTCCAAACTCCCCCATTCACATAAGTAGAATACTCCTTCTTCTGCACAACATAATAATTATCCTTAATGAATCAATAAAGTGAGGGAATTCCTCCATGGTTTATAATCCTCACCTGCTAGTAACAATACAACTTCCATTTATTGGGCTCTACTATGTGGCAGAAGTCCTGGAGGGCGGGTGATAGTTATATCCCCATTTTGTACATCAGAAAACCAAGGCTCAGAGGTATCAACTGACCTGGCCAAGGCTACCCAGATGGAAAGTGGCAGAGCTGGGTTTGGAACTCTGGTATTTTGATTTCCAAAGCCCAACTATCCTACCTCCCACCAGAGGGAAGCTTATTACCATACTGACTACTGGGAGACAGCAAAGAATATTGCCAAAGAGCCACAACCCAATCATTTCCATCTGCTCTTCTAGTAAGTAAACAGTCCAGTCCAAGGGTCCAGTCCAGTATTACACACCCTCTGGGCATCCAATAAATACCTCCTGAGTGACTAAGGGCAAACAGAACCGTATACTGTTGTCGACAGAAAAGTAGAGAAATAGAGTCAATAGTTTTTAAGTGAGTTCCATTTGAATACATGTGTCACAGCTACAGCCTCAGTCACTGTCGTGTTTCCAACTGTACCTCTCCAGTTTGGCAAAGGCCCCAAACACCTAATCTGTTACACCCTCTCATGCAAAGGTTTGCAACCCATCAATGAGCTAATGAGATGAATCAACAGTGAAATTTCAATGAAACATAGTCTAGATAACCTCTCCTGTGTTCCTGTTCTACCCTGTATATCCTCTATGACTTTGGCCATGACACTATATAATAGCTGTTCCCAGGAGACTAACAGCTACCATTTCTGAGCACTTACATGTGTATCACTAAAAGCCTCTAAGGGCCAGGATCTGGTCATTTCATCTCTCTATGACCACTGCCCAGCATGGGCCTCAGCATATAAATACATGACAAATGAATGAATACTTGCACCTAGAAATACAGTAATCATTATTTCAAATAGAAAGACATTTTTACTAAACAATGACAGAAAAGATGAAGATTTAAGAGCCATAATACCCAAGCTTCCAAAAAAGAAAGCTTACATACTCCTCCTTAGATGTTCAACAATAGAGTTCTTTGCATCAAGGACCCCTCCAAATAAGTATCAGGGAAAAATAAAAGGCAGGTCTCAATCTAGAACAGTAAAGTAAAACGGAGACAAAATGAGGCCATGGGGCTCAGTGTTACTCTAAGCCAGTGGTTGTAGTCTTTTTTGGGTCATGGATTCCTTTGAGAATTTGATGAAATCTACAAATTCTCTCTCTGCAGAAAATATACAGACCCCAAAATTCAGCATATACTCATTCTGAAAGCATCATAGACACCCCTGACCCAACCCCTTAAGGGTCTACAGAACCTCAAGTTCCTATAACCTTTGCTTAGAATCTGCACGTCTAGCCATGTCTCACTAGAGGCAACCCAAAACACTAACCATTTAGTTTTTCAGCGGTCACACTGTTAAAGAAAGCTGAAGCAATGGCTTTAGTACTTGTAATGTTTCACCACCCACCACAATGGCCTCTACTCTTTTTTTTTTTTTTTTTTTTTGAGACGGAGTCTCGCTCTGTCGCCCAGGCTGGAGTGCAGTGGCGGGATCTCGGCTCACTGCAAGCTCCGAATGGCCTCTACTCTTGTTTCCTGATTCATGTGGTTGAGCCACAGTAACACACTGTGGGGTGAGGATATTCTATTTTCCCCTACTAGAAAGTAAGAAATTCAAAAGCAGGAGCCATGTCTGATAGTGCTATGTATACCACCTAAGGCGGTGCACATTTTATATAATTAATCGCTGTTGATTGGTTTACTAAAGAACGGTTCTTTGTCTTTGTTTTTGTTTTTTTGAGATGGAGTTTCACTCGTCACCCAGGCTGGAGTGCAGTGGTGCGATCTTAGCTCACTGCAACCTCCACCTCCCAGGTTCAAGGGATTCTCCTGCCTCAGCCTCCTGAGTAGCTGGGACTACAGGCACACGCCACCACACCAACTTTTGTATTTTTAGTAGAGACAGGGTTTCACCATGTCGGCCAGGATGGTCTTGATCTACTGACCTCGTGAACTGCCCACCTCAGCCTCCCAAAGTGCTGGGATTACAGGTGTGAGCCACAGCGCCTGGCCATGCCTGGCTAATTTTTTGTATTTTTAGTAGAGACAGGGGTTTCATCATGTTGGCCAGGCTGGTCTCGAACTCCTGACCTTGGGTGATCCACCTGCCTCGGCCTCCCAAAGTGCAGGGGTTACAGGTGTGAGCCACCATGCCCAGTCCAAGAACAGGGTTTTTTGTTTTGCTTTGTTTTGTTTTGAGACGGAGTCTCGCTCTGCCACCCAGGCTGGAGTGCAGTGGCGTGATCTTGGCTCACTGCAACCTCCACCCCAGTGATTCTCCTGCCTCAGCCTCCTGAGTAGCTGGTACTACAGGCACGTGCCACCACCCCTGCCTAATTTTTTTTTTTTTTTTTTTTTTGTATTTTTAGTAGAGACAGAGTTTCACCGTGTTAGCCAGGATGGTCTCGATCTCCTGGCCTAGTGATCTGCCCGCCTCAGCCTCCCAAAGTGCTGGGATTACAGGCATAAGCCACCACACCCGGCCAAAGAACAGGTTTTAAACAACCTACACATTATCTTTTATGGTAAAATGAGCTGTAAATTCACATAGTACAGGAAAAGATAATGCTACATAACTAAGCAGATTTTAAAAAACAAAACATTTTCCTAAATTGGACCCCTGGGACCTTGAAATATAAGAATAAGCCTTACAAAATGTGCTTTCTCACCTTTATGGTGCTGAGTTTGTCTCCCTGGCAGGGATTTGGCCATCTACAGCATATATGCTGGTACAGAGCAAACCACAGCCACCGTTACCCAAGGGCATGAGGGAAGCTGCTGCCAGTGGAGCCTAAGAAGGTGTGAGCAGGAGCCTTACTTCTTGTTGTGGGGTGTGTGTGTGTGTGTGTGTGTGTGTGTGTGTATAAAATCAATATTTTATATATATATATATATATATATATATATATATATATATATATATATATATATATATTATTGATTGAGGCCGGGTGCGGTGGCTTACGCCTGTAACCCCAGCACTTTGGGAGGCCGAGGTGGGCGGATCACAAGGTCAGGAGATCGAGACCATCCTGGCTAACATGGTGAAACCCCGTCTCTACTAAAAATACAAAAAAATTAGCCAGGCGTGGTGGCGGGCGCCTGTAGTCCCAGCTACTCAGGAGGCTGAGGCAGGAGAATGGCATGAACCCAGGAGGCGGAGCTTGCAGTAAGCCGAGATCGTGCCACTGCACTCCAGCCTGGGCAACAGAGCAAGACTCCGTCTCAGAAAAAAAAAAAAAAGGCAAAGTACTAAGTACCAGCACAATGAGGGTTCCACTCAGCAGGCAAACTCAGACAAGACACTGACTTCTGTGGGTCAGGGAAGGCTTCCTGAAAAAAATAAAATCTAAGCCAGAGACCTAAAGAATGAAAAGGAATTAGTCAAGCTGCATTTTTTGTTTTTTAGGTGATCTTTATGTATTTTGTTTTTGGTTCGGTCGGGGAGGGTGTAGCAGGAGAATACCCCGATGAGAAGTGTATGAAACGGCCCAGAAGCATGGATTTTGGGGAGAGTTAGTCATTCCACATGGTTAGAGCACTGAGTTGAAGGAGGGAAGTGGGCAGATAAGCAGAACTTCTAGAGGCCCTTAGAGAGAAGCCCTACTTATGAACACACTCCCTTGGTGAAGTCACAGCCCTTGGAAGCTCTTGCTAGTCACAGCTTCTATTTCAATTTCTTACTCTGGAATAATTTTAGATATACAAAAAAGCTGCAGATGTTACAGAGTCCTCACATACCCTTCACCCAGCTTCCCCTAATGTTCACATAACCATGGTGTATTTGTCAAAACTAAGAAATTAGCACAAAAAACTAAACTACAGACTTTCAGATTTTACCAGTTTTTCTATTTATTGCCTTTTCTGTACCAGGATCCAATCCAAGATCCCACATTCCAGTTAATTCAAAGGCTTTTAAAAATTCCTTTCTTTACTTTGGAGCACCACGGTTTTATCATTTTCATCAGTTTCCATATATGCTCCCCCACCCCCCATCTTCACCAACCCACTGAGAAGGTAAATATATCCTTTCAGTAACGAGTAGAAGGTACCAAAACTGATGATGTGGAGTACAAACAACTGTTAGGGAGTCAAGAAAATTTAACAAACATGAGACGGATGTACACATGCATACATACACCCACACCAGTTACAAAATGAACCTGGCCTAAGATGCTGCTTCCACTATCAAAGAGAAAAGAAACTCAAAATTCAAGCAGACATGTTTCTGCTTTTTCAGTTTTGCTAGTAGTAAATCCTTTTTAATCTCTCTCTCTTTAAAGATCCCAACCAACCCAAGAAGTCAAGACAAAATCACCTGAACACTCAATCCATCCTTAAAATTCTAGCAAAATCATCTGGGATTTGGGAAGGGAGAAAACAGTGATTCATCCTCTTTCCCACATTTTCACTAAGGATTCTTAAGCATTAGGATAGAAATTCAATCATATCGCAACAATCATTATAAAGACACTTTTACCAGTATTAGTCATACTTCTTTCTGTTACATTTATAACCTGCATTCTAAGCCTCCTCCATCTCCTAAAACTCCCAAATCTACAACAACCTTGAGTAACGCCCGATCCCTAGAATCAAGGGTGAATCACTGTAATGATAATAAAAACTGGCAATTTATCCTACAGTTAAAAAATACAACTATTAACAACGGTTTTCCCTGGGAGGAAGACTTTAAGGAATACTTTAACTTTCCTTGTATTTCAGCTAGTGAAAGCATTTAACAAATACATAAAGAGCACAGCCCTATGTCAGAATTAGAAGTAGGAAAAAAAGAAAAGAAAAAAAAAACCTCCCTTACGGAGCATAGTCTAGATCTGCACTACTTTGGCCATTTAAAGTTAAACTAATAATAATAAAAATTTTAAATTTAGTTTCTCAGCCCCACTAGCTACATTTCAAGTAGCAACACGTGACTGGTGGTTACCATAATGAATAACACAGAAAGTTATATTAGACAAGGCTGATGTAAAAGAAGACCTGATGCTAATTCAACCTTGGAAACAGAGAGGAGGCATTTGAAATGAGCAGCATTAAGGCAAGCACTCCAGGACGGACGACGACAACATAAACCACTGGCCTCCCTGCAGCATCATGCAGTACCCAATCTCCAAGGCTCTTCCCCGAAGTCAAAAGCAAAATACTTCAAGGAGGCATTAGAGAAATGAAATGGGTGACAGGCTTTGATTGTACTTTAAGATAAGCTTAATACCCTAAAATTTAAAAATCACATTATAAAAATCTATTTATAGCTGGGTGCAGTGGCACACACTTGTAGCCCCAGCTACTCAGGAGCCTGAGGCGGGAGGATTGCTTGAGCCTGGGAATTCGAGTCCAGCCTGGGCAACATAGTGAGAACTCATCTCTAAAAAGGTAAAAATTAAAAAAATTAAGATTAAAAAAATCCAATTAGGACCTCACTAAAAATAAAAAGGTGGAGGGGAAAATGGAACTGGAATTAACTGCTAGATCATTCTGGAAATCTTTAACAAGTAAGCTAAACTAGAGATCAAGAAGACAAACCAAAGAATGTACTATGCCCATCCAAATACCTTCCCGTGAGAGAAACATTTCCCAATGATCAAGGTTAGTATATGAAATCACCGGCATTAACCCCACATTAATAAAAACAAGTAGGGCCAGAGAGAGAGGAGGGAGGTGGGCAGAAGAGAGAGCACACAAACCCAGACCAGTACTTTCTAAGTGGGGGTAATTTATTATTCTCCTTCCTCTGAATCCTTAGCTTACATCACCTAGCATGCATGGCCTGTTTCCTATTCTGAGTAATGGGTACAAGGATAGTACCTACTTCATTGGGTTGTTATGTGGATTCCTTGAGTTAATACATGTAAAGTACATAATACAGTGCCTGGCATATAGAAAAGATTAAGGAAATATTTGCTATTATTATTGCAAGAGTCACAAACTATCTCTGAGGATCTGGTCTCACTTGTCCAAAAGTAAAATGATTTCCCTAAGGGTGAGTTCACAGGGGAATGAGATGTTGTGTTGACTATAAGAAGGGGCGCTTTTCAAAAGTCCAATCCATCCTAAGCTGAAACACCTTCCAATTATGTCCTATGGATTATTATTCATAATGCCCAAAGCCATGGGGACAGCTGAAAGAACTTCCGCAAGCTTTAGGATTTAGATATAGACCCCTGGGCCAGGCACAGTGGCTCAAGCCTATAATCCCAACACGTTGGGAGGTCAAGGCAGGAAGATCACTTGAGGCCAGGGGTTTGAGACCAGCCTGGGCAACATAGCAAGATCTCATGTCTACTAAAAATTTTAAAAAGTAGCCAGGCATGGTGGGTGCGCACCTGTAGTCTCAGCTGAGGCAGGAGGATCATTTGAGCCCAGAAAGTCGAGGCTGTAGCAAGCCATGATCATGCCACTGCACTCTAGCCCTTAAACCTGTAATCTTAGTACTTTGGGAGGCCTACGCGGGGGAATTGCTTGAGCCCAGGAGTTCAAGACCAGCTGGGGCAACATGGCAAAACTCCATCTCTACAAAAAAAATACAACATGGTGGCACATGCCTGTAGTCCTAGCTATTAGGGACACTGAGATGGATCATCTGAGCCCAGGAAGTCGAGGCTGCAGTGAGCTGTGAGCATGCCACTGCGCTCCAGTCTGGACAAGAGACCCTATCTCAAAAGGGGAAAAAAAAAAAAAAAAAAAAAAAGGATATCATCATTATTTTATAGATGAGAAAACTAAGGCCCCAAAAAGTTAAACAGCTGGCCTGTGGCAGTTTTCCTCAGTTTATGTTTAAAATGAGAATTATAAGTATATACCTACATATGTCCCTATAAGGCAGCTAGTTTCCTTGGGAAGGGATATCCTTTATTCTGAAGTTAGATCCTTTTTGTTGTTGTTGTTTTTGTTGCCCAGGCTGGAGTGTAGTTGGCACAATCATTGCTTACTGTAGCCTCCAACTCCTGGGCTCAAGTAATCCTCCTGCCTTCGCTTCCAAAAGTGTTGGGATTACAGATGTGAGCCACCATGGCCAGCCTAGATCCTACTTTTTATGAAATAATGGTGGGAATAATTTTTCTTTTTTAAATTCTCTCCTTGACAAAGCTAAAAACTAGTAAACTCGTATAGGCATACTATGTTTTTTTGAGATGGAGTCTTGCTCTGTCACCCAGGTTGGAGTGCACTGGCGCAATCTCGGCTCACTGCAACCTGCGCCTCCCAGATTCAAGAGATTCTCCCGCCTCAGCCTCCCGAGTAGGTAGGATTACAGGTATGCGCCACCATGCCTGGCTAATTTTTTGTATTTTAGTAGAGATGGGGTTTCACCACATTGCCCAGGCTGGTCTCAAACTCCTGAGCTCAGGCAATCTGCCCACCCTGGCCTCTCAAAGTGTTAGGATTACAGGAGTGAGCCACCGCACCTGACCAGCATACGTTTTATTGCCATTCCTTTTACTGCGCTTCAGATACTATGTGTGCATGTGTTTTTTTAACTGAAGGTCATTGGCAACCCTGTCTTGAGCAAGTCTATCAGCATCATTTTTCCAACAGCATATGCTCACTTCATGTCTTGATGTCACATTTTGGTAATTCTTGCAATATTTCAAACTTTTCCATTATTATTCTATTATGGTCATCTGTGAGTAGTGATGTTTGCTGTTAATATTGCAATTGATTTGGGGCACCATAAACTGCACCAATATAAGACGGCGAGTTGAAAAAATGTTGTATGTGTTCTAACTGCTCCTCATCTCTGTCCCTGTTCTCTGAGACACAACCATGTTGAAATTAGGCCAATTGGCCGGGCACAGTGGCTCACGCCTGTAATCCCAGCACTTTGAGAGGCTGAAGGCGGGCGGATCACCTGAGGTCAAGAGTTCGAGACGAGCCTGGCCAACATGGCGAAACCCTGTCTCTACTAACAAAAAAAAAAAAAAATTAGCCAGGCATGGTGGCACGTGCCTGTAATCCCAGCTACTAGTGGGGCTAAGGCAGGAGGATCGCTTGAACCTCGGAGGCGGAGGTTGCAGTGAGCCGAGATCGTGCCACTACACTCCAACCTGGGCAACAGAGCGAGACTCTGTTTCAAAAAAAAAAGAAATTAGGCCAATTAATAATCCCACAATGGCCTCTAAGTGCTCAAGTGAAAGGAGGAGTCACATGTCCCTCGCTTTCAATCAAAAGCTAAAAATGATTAAGCCTAGTGAAGAAAGCATGTCAAAAGCCAAGAGGGGCTGAAAGCTGGGCCTCTTGTGCCAAACAGCCACATTGTTAAAGCGAAGGAAAAGTTCTTGAAAGAAATTAAAAGTGCTACTCCAGTGAACACGAGTGATAAAGTGAAACAGCCTGCAGCCATAAAAAAGAGTGAGTTCATGTCCTTTGCAGGGACATGGATGAAGCTGGAAGCCATCATTCTCAGCAAACTAACACAGGAACAGAAAACCAAACACTGCATGTTCTCACTCAAAAGTGGGAGTTGAACAATGAGAACATATGGACACAGGGAGGGGAACATCACACAAAGGGGCCTGTCAGGAGGTGGGGAGCAAGGAAAGGGAGAGCATTAGGACAAATACCTAATGCATGTGGGGCTTAAAACCTAGATGACAGGTCGATAGGTGCAGCAAACCATCAATGGCACATGTATACCTATATAACAAATCTGCACGTTCTGCACATGTATCCCAGAACTTAAAGTAAAATGTAAAAATAAATAAATAAAATAAAGTGAAACAGCCTATTGCTGATATAGAGAAAGTTTTGGCAGGGTGTAGTGGCTCATGCCTGTAAACCTAGTGCTTTGGGAGGCCAAGGCGGGACAACTGCTTGAGGCCAGGAATTCGAGACCAGCATGGTCAACATACGCTGATCCTGTCTCTACAAAAAATAAAATAAAAATTAGCCAGGGATGGTGGCATATGCCTGCAATCCCAGCAACCTGGGGGGGTTGAGGTGGGGGGACTGCTTGAGGTTGGGAGGCTGAGGCTACAGTAAGCCATAATCATGCCACTGCATTCCATGCTGGGTGACAGAGCGAAACCTTGTCTCAAAAAAAAAAAAAGGGAAAGAAAGAAGTTTGAGTGGTCTAGACAGAAGATCAAACCAGCCACAATATTCCCTTAAACCAAAACCTAATCCAGAGCAAGACCCTAACTCTCTTCAATTCAACAGGGCTGAGAGAGGCGAGGAAGCTACAGAGAAAAGTTAGAAGCTGGCAGAGACTGGTTAACAAGGTTTAAGGAAAGTAGCCACCTCCATAACATAAATGTGCAAGATGAAGCAAGCAGCAAGTGCTGACGGAGAAGCTGCAGCAAGTCATCTAGAAGACCTAGCCCACCTTGATGAAGGTGGCTACTATAGACAAAACAGCCTTATGTTGGAAAAAGATGCCATCTAGGACTTCTATAGCTAGAGAGAAGTCAATGGCTGGCTTCAAAGCTCCACAGGACAGGCTGACCCTTGTTAGAGACAAATGCAGCTAGTAACTTTTTAAATTGAAGCCAATGCTTATTTACTATTCTGAAAATCCTACAGGCCTTAGGAATCATGCTAACTGTATTCTACCTGTGCTCTATAAATGGAACAAAGCTTGGATGACAGCACATCTGTTTACAGCATAGTTTACTGAATATTTTTAAGCCCACCATTGAGACCTACTGCTTGCAAAAAAAGATTCTTCTCAAAATATTACTGCTCATTGACAAGGCACCTAGTCATCCAAAAGCTCTGATGGAGATGTACAAGATTAATGTTGTTTTCATGCCTGCTAACACAACATCCATTCTGCAGTCCATGTATCCAGGAGTAATTCAGACTTTCAAGTGTTATTACCTAAGAAACACATTTCATAAGGCAACACTGCCATAAATAGTGATTCCTTTGATGGATCTGGGCAAAGTCCACCTTCTGAAAAGGATTCACCATTCTAGATCCCATGATCCCATTAAGAACATTCACTTGAGCTGGACGCAGTGGCTCACGCCTATAATCCCTGCACTTTGGGAGGCCGAGGTGGGTGGATTACATCAGGAGTTCAAGACCAGCCTGGCCAACATGGTGAAACCCCATCTCTACTCGAAAAACAAAAATTAGCTGGGTGTGGTGGCATGCGCCTGTAATCCCAGCTACTCGGGAGGCTGAGGCCGGAGAATTGCTTGAACCCAGGAGGCGGAGATTGTGGTGAGCTGAGATCGCGCCATTGCACTCCAGCCTGAGTGACAGAGACTCCATCTCAAAAAAAAAAAAAAAAAAAGAACATTCATTTGAGAGGCTGAGGCAGGAGGATCCCTTCAGGCCAGGAGTTCAACACCAACCCAGGCAATGTAGTAAGACTCCATCTCTTAAAAAAAAACAAAAATTAGTCCAGCATGGCAGCATGTGCCTGTAGTCTCAGGTACTCGGTAGGCTGAGGCAGGAGGATCCCTTGAGCCCAGGAGTTCAAAGTTGCAGTAGCTATGATCACACTACTGCATTCCAGCCTGGGTGACAGAGCAAGACCTCATCTCTTAAAAAAAATAAAAATAAAATAAAATAAAAAGAAGATTCATGATTCATGAGAGAGCTCACAATATCAACATTAACAGGAATTTGGAAGAAGTTGATTCTAACCCTCACAGACTGCTTTGAGAAGTTCAAGACTTCATTGAATAAAGTCACCACAGATGTGGTGGAAAGTGAACTACAATTAGAAATGGAGTTTGAAGATGTGACAGAATTGTTGCAATCTCATAATAAAACCTGAACAGATGAGGAATTGCTTCTTTTTTTTTGAGACGGAGTTTCACTCGTTGCCCAGGCTGGAGTACAATGGTTCCATCTCAGCTCACTGCAACTTCCGCCTCCTGGGTTCAAGCGATTCTCCTGCCTCAGCCTCCCGAGTAGCTGGGATTACAGGCATGCACCACCATGCTCGGCAAATTTTGTATTTTTAGTAGAGAGGGGGTTTCTCCATGTTGGCCAGGCTGGTGTCGAACTCCTGACCTCAGGTGACTCACCCGCCTCAGCCTCCCGAAGTGTTGGGATTACAGGCGTGAGCCACACGCCCAGCCAGGAATTGCTTATTGGTGAGCAAAGAAAGTGATTTATTTATTTATTTATTTATTTATTTATTTTTTGAGACATTGTCTTGCCTCATCACCCAGGCTGGAGTGCAGTGGCACAGTCTCAGCTCACTGCAACCTCCGCCTCCAGGTTTCAAGCAATTCTCATGCCTCAACCTCCCAAGTTTCTGGGATTACAGGCATATACCACCATGCCTGGCTAATTTGTGTATTCTTAGTAGATATGGGGTTTTACCATGTTGGCCAGGCTGGTCCCTAACTTCTGGCCTCAAGTGATCCGTCCACCTTGGCCTCTCAAAGTGCTGGGGTCACAGGGGTTGGCCACTGCACCCAGCGATTTTTTTTTTTTTTTTTTGAGACAAGAGTCTAGTTCTGCCACCCAGGCTGGAGTGCAATGCTGCAATCTCAGCTCACTGTAACCTCAGCCTCCCGGGTTCAAGCGATTCTCCTGCCTCACCCTCCTGAGTAGCTGGGACTACAGTTGCTCACCACCATGCGTGGCTAATTTTTGTATTTTTATTTTTATTTATTTATTTATTTATTTATTTATTTTGAGATGGAGTCTCACTCTGTTGTCCTGGCTGGAGTGCAGTGGCGCGATCTTGGCTCACTGCAACCTCTTCCTCCCGGGTTCAATCGATTCTTCTACCTCAGCCTCCTGAGTACCTGGGATTACAGGCATGTGTCACCACGCTCAGCTAATTTTTGTATTTTTAGTAGAGACGGGGTTTCACCATGTTAGCCGGGATGGTCTCTATCTCCTGAACTCGTGATCTGCCTGCCTTGGCCTCCCTAAGTGCTGGGATTATAGGTGTGAGCCACTGCACCTGGCCATTTTTGTATTTTTAGTAGAGACACGGTTTCTCCATGTTGGCCAGGCTGGTCTCCAACTCCTGACCTCAGATGAGGTCACCTCGGCCTTCCGAAGAGCTGGGATTACTGGCGTTAAGCCACCGTGCCTGGCCCGCCCAGCAATTTTTTAAGATGGAATCTACTCCTGGTGAGGATGCTGTGAACACTGCAGAAATGACAACAAAGGATTCAGAGTATTACATAGCTTAGCTGATAAAGTAGCAGCAGGGTTTCAGAGGATTGACTCTAATTTTGAAAGAAGTTCTACGGTGGATAAAATGCTATCAAACAGCATTGCATGCTATACAGAAATCTTTCACGAAAGGAAGAATCAATGAATGTAGCAAACTTCACTGCTGCCTTATTTTAACAAACTGCTGCAGCCAGCCCAACCTTCAGTAACCACCACCATGAGTCAGAAGCCATCAGCATCAAGGCAGGACCCTCCACTAGCAAAAAGGTTATGATTCACCAAAGGCTCAGATGATCACCAGCATTTTTTAAGTAATAAAGTATTTTTACAGGAGGCTGAGTCCAGAGAATCACTTGAGCCCAGGAGGTTGAGGTTGCAGTGAGCTGTGACCACACCACTGCACTCCAGGCTGGTCAACAGAATGAGACATCTCAAAAAACAACAACAACAACAACAAAAACAAAGGAAGTTGTGGGAGCTGGACACAGTGGCTCCGGCCTATAAACCCAGCACTTCCGGAGGCCGAGGTGGGCAAATCACTTGAGGCTAAGAGTTTGAGACCACCCTGGCCAACATGGCGAAACCCCATCTCTATGAAAAATACAAAAATTAGCCAAGCGTGGTAGTGTGCGCATCTCTAGACCCAGCTACTCCAGAGGTTGAGGCACAAGAATTGCTTGAACCCGAGAGACGTTGCAGTGAGCTGAGACTGCACCACCGCACCCCAGCCTGGGTGACAGAGTGAGAGTCTCTCTCAAAAAAATAAAAATTAGGCCAAGCGCGATGGCTCATACCTGTAATCCCAGCACTTTAGAAAGCCGAGGTGGGTGGATCACTTGAGGTCAGGAGTTTGAGACCAGCCTGGTCAATGTGGAGAAATCCCGTTTTTACTAAAAATACAAAACATTTAGCCAGGTGTGGTGGTGCGCATCTGTAGTTCCAGCTGCTCAGGATGCTGAGAGAGACTCGCTTAAATCTGGGAGGTGGAAGGTGCAGTGAGCCAAGATTGCACCACTATACTCTCTAGCCTGGGCAACAAAGGAAGACTCTGTCTCAAAAAAATAAACTTAAAAAATGAAAAAATTTAGGCCGGGAGCGGTGGCTAATGCCTGTAATTCCAGTACTTTGGGAGGCCGAGGCAGGTGGATCACCTGAGGTCAGGAGTTCGAGACCAGCTTGGCCAACATGATGAAACCCCGTCTCTACTAAAAATTCAAAAAATTAGCCAGGCGCGGTGGCAGGCGCCTGTAATCCCAGCTACTTGGGAGGCTGAGGCAGGAGGATTGCCTGGACCCGGGAGGCAGAGGTTGCAGTGAGCTGAGATGGCACTACTGAACTCCAGCCTGGCCAACAAGAGCGAAACTGTCCCCCCTCCAAAAAAAAAATTAATAAAATATTTAAATTTTTAAAAAGGTACTTTTAAATTAAGGTATATACTTTTTTAAAGACATAATGATACTGCACACTTAGACTACAGTACGGCATAAAGATAACTTTTATTTTTTAATTTTTATTTATTGTTATTTTTTGAGACAAGAGTCTTGCTCTTTTTGCTCAGGCTGGAGTGCAATGGTGTGATCATGGCTCACTGCAACCTCCACCTCCCAGGTTCAAGTGATTCTCCTGACTCAGCCTTCTGAGTAGCTGGGGATTACAGGTGCCCACCACCACGCCCGGCTAGTTTTTGTATTTTTAGTAGAGACAGGGTTTCACCACTTTGGCCAGGCTGGTCTCGAACTCCTGACCTTAGGTGATCCACCCACCTCCGCCTCCCAAAGTGCTGGGATTACAGGCATGACCCACTGCGCCCAGCCAAAACATAACTTTTTTTTTTTTTTTTTTTTTTGAGACAGTTTTACTCGCTACCCAGGCTGGAGCGCAATGGCGTGATCTCAGCTCACTGCAACATCCGCCTCTTGGTTTCATCAAGCGATTCTCCTGCCTCAGCCTCCTGAGTAGCTGGGATTACAGGCATGCGCCACCACGCCTGACTAATTTTGTATTTTTAGTAGAGATGGGGTTTCTCCATGTTGGTTAGGCTGGTCTCGAACTCCTGACCTGAGGTGATCCACCCGCCTCGGCCTCCCAAAGTGCTGGGATTACAGGCATGAGCCACTGCGCCCGGCCAAAACTTAACTTTTATATGCACTGGGAAACGAAAAACTTCGTGTGACTGGCTTTATTGCCATATATGCTTTATTGCAGTAGTCTGGAACTAATCCCACACTATCTCTGAGTTATGCCTGTATTTATTTTCCTACCACTATATTCTTTAGCTGGTCTCTTAAAGCCAAGTCCAGCCACGTGCTCACACCTGTAATCCCAGCACTTTGGGAGGCTGAAAAGGGAGGCTTGAGTCTAGAGTTCAAGACCAGCCTGGGCAACACAGCGAGTCCCCGTCTCTATGAAAAATAAAAACATTTAGGCTGGGCATGGTGGCTCACGCCTGTAATCCCAGCACTTTGGGAGGCCGAGGCAGGTGAATCATGAGGTCAGGAGTTCGAGACCAGCCTGGCCAATATGGTGAAACCCCGTCTCTACTAAAAATACAAAAATTAGCCGGGCGTGGTGGTGGGTGCCTGTAGTCCCAGCTACTTGGGAGGCTGAGGCAGGAGAATCGCTTGAACTGGGAGACAGAGGCTGCAGTGAGCCGAGATTGTACCACTATACTCCAGCCTGGGCAACAGAGTGAGACTCCATCTTAAAAGAAAAAAAAAATTTAAAAAAAATTAGCTGGGCTTGGTGGCATGCATACACCTGTGGTCCCAGCTACTCAGAGGCTGAAGCAAGATGATTGAGCCTGTGAGGTAAGGCTGCAGTAAGGTGTGATCATGCCACTGTACTCCATGGAACGTGGGTGAGATCCTGTCTCAAAAAAAAAATTAAATTAAAAAAAAAAAATAAAGCCAGGTCCAGGTAGTGCAGCACTAATAATGACACACAGTAAGCATATTAACTAGCACAGTTACCCTATGAGTAAACACTACTATATTCTCCTTTTTAAGACGACGTGCCTAAGGCACCAAGAGTTTAAAGGGCCTTGTCGGAGGGTGCAGAGCAGGTAAGAGGTGGGACTGGGACTCAAACCTAGGCCATGTGTCATGATGAGAAAAAGAGTAACGGAGGCCTCCACAAATGTGGACAACTGCTATTTGGCCTATGACCTGGTGTTAACATTTAGGTGTATGAGACACTTTCTGATAAGACCTTCAAACTATCTGCTACCTGGGGGCAAATTACAAGTTGTACAAAGACCAAGAGATAACAAATCAATAGCATGTGCCACTCCACTGATCCAAAATTTCATCACGCCGCCTTTGCAGCACCCTCACATGCTCGCTTACCTGAACATTTTAATTACCTAATTGTTCTCTTTCATTCTTCCAGCAAACTCAAAGGTTACCAACTTTAGCGTTATGGTATTTAGTTCTCAAAAAATAAAAATAAAAAGACTGTGGCAAGCAAAATAGGTATTTAAGCCCATTTTATAGACACGAGAACTCAGATTAAGAATAAATGACTTGTCCTAAGTCACAAAGTTGGTAAGATGCAAATGAAAACTAACAATAGGAAAGTTTCTTTCCTCTACATGGCTTGAGGAATCCCAAGAATCTGAAGACTGAAAGGCGACAGACTTCATCTATTCCAGGATTCTCTCATTCAGAAACTCATACTTTTATTCAATGAAGACTGAGCTCCTACTGACCTGTCAGGTCATGTTCTAGGTGATGTCACAGAACAAATGGAGGAACAAAAGACAAAAATCTCACAGAGGATCCAAAACACTTTATTTTGCAATTTCTTCCTGATGTCTGAACGCCAACCTCCTTGAACTGAAGATCTGTTACTCTCCCCGACAACAGAAAGAATGATCAGTAAATAAATATTTAATAGATATATGTGTAGACGTCTTGTTAAATAAAAACAACAATAAAACCAAATGGGGTAAACTTTAAAATTATTGCTTATCCAACACAAAATGGGGCCAGGTGCGGTGGCTCACACCTGTAATCCCTGCACTTCTTGGAAGGCCGAGGCGGGCAGATCACAAGGTCAGGAGTTCGAGACCAGCCTGACCAACATGGTGAAACCCCGTCTCTACTAAAAATACAAACATTAGCCGGGTGTGGTGGTGGGCGCCTGTAATCCCAGCTACTCAGGAGGCTGAGGCAGGAGAACCGCTTGAACCCGGGAAGCGGAGGTTGCAGTGAGCTGAGACTGAGCCATTGCACTCCAGCCTGGGCAAAAGAGCAAGACTCCGTCTCAAAAAAAAAAAAAAAAAAAGGACAAAACTGCCGGGCGCAGTGGCTCACACCTGTATCCTAGCGCTTTGGGAGGCCAACGCGGCTGGACCACGAGGTCAGGAGTTCGAGACCAGCCTGACCAATAAGGTGAAACTCCGTCTCTATCAAAAATACAAAAATTAGCCAGGCATGGTAGCAGGCGCCTGTAATCCCAGCTACTCAGGAGGCTGAGGCAGGAGAATCGCTTGAACGCAGGAGGCGGAGGTTGCTGTGAGCCGAAGATTGTGCCATTGTACTCCAGCCTGGGCAACAGAGCAAGACTCCGACTCAAAAAAAAAAAAAAAAAAAAGACAAAACATAAAACATGAGCTTGGATCGTTTTCTTTAAAAGTTCTTTCTCATAATAAGACGAAATCTGTCTTCCTAGTCAATGCATTCTTGCATTGAAATGCTTAGTCACACATAATTCTTTAAGATAAGATCAAGTAAAAACAATCAGGCCACTGGCCTTCTAAATTTTTTACATTCTGGTAAAGAAACAGTGTGTTCCTTGTGTTACCTGTAAGGGAAGAATTGCTTTTGTTTTATAAACGGCATAAAAATTCTCCCAGAGAGGAAGAGGCATGTTTTGTGCACTCTAAACCTTGTAGATACCTAGACCTCTACCTCTATCCTCTGGAACTACAAAGAACTAGTTTGTTCCCTCTTCTGCTTAACAAACTTTTGCTAAATTATTTAAATAAAATTAATTATAGACAGGACTTCAAAACAGGACTTTGGGAAAAAAAATTTAATTAATAGCTTAGCCAGGCGAGGTGGCTCACGCCTGTAATCCCAGCATTTGGGAGGCTGAAGCGGGCAGATCACCTGAGGTCAGGAGTTTGAGACCAGCCTCACTAACATGGGGAAACCCCGTCTCTACTAAAAATACAAAATTAGCCCAGGGTGGTGGCGCATGCCTGTAATCCCAGCTACTTGGGAGGCTGAGGCCAGAGAATGGCGTGTACCCCGGAGGCGGAAGTTGCAGTGAGCCGAGATCGTGCCACTGCACGCCAGCCTGGGCAACAAGGGCAAAACTCCGTCTCAAAAAAGAAAAAAAAAAAGCTTAAATAAATTTAAATCTCATTAAAATGATGTTTTTGGCCCATAAAAGGGAACACATCACTAATTTTATAGCCATTCCTGACTTTGACCGACGGCTTTTTTTTTTTTTTGAGAAAGAGTCTCGCTCTGTCAGCCAGGTGGGGTGCAGTGGCGCGATCTCAGCTCACTGCAACCTCCACCTCCTGGGTTCTAGCAATTCTCCTGCCGCAGCCTCCCAAGTAGCAGGATTACAGGTGCCCGCCACCAAGCCTGGGCTAATTTTTTTTTTGTATTTTTAGTAGAGATGGGGTTTCACCAATGTTGGCTAGGGTAGTTTCGAACTCCTGACCTCAAATTATCCGCCCACCTCGGCCCACCAAAGTGCTAGGATTACAAGTGTGAGCCACCATGCCCAGCCGGCTCCTTTCTCTTAAAACAAGCACACTTTAGGGGTTAGAAGGGAACCTTGTTCAAAGAGAACTAAGGGTTCAGCTCTATCTATCCACCATGGAGTAGACTTGAATTCTCTTCATCTCTGGGCTGAGATCACACTGGGCGAAAGCATTCTGGAAAGTGTAAAGTCCTTTCCAGACTTTCTGGAAAGTGTGTTAAAAAAGCACTCTGGAAACTGTAAAGTCGGCCAGAGAAGTCAACAGAGAGCAGAGACTCTGGGCCAGACTGCTTTGGGGACCTACTAGCCATGTGGCCTTGGGCAAGTCCCCTCTCTGCAACCTCGGTTTCCCACCTAGAAGGTAAGAATACCACCTACCCCAGAGGGTTATTGTGAGGAGAAAATGAGATAACATTTTTTAGTCTTCTGGTATGTAATAAACAGTTCATTGTTATTATTTGGTAATATTATTAGTAATTAATTTTTTTTTTTTTTTGAGACGGAGTCTTGCTCTGTCGCCCAGGCCGGAGTGTAGTGGCACAATCTCGGCTCACTGCAAGCTCCGTCTCCCGGGTTCACGCCATTCTCCTGCCTCAGCCTCCTGAGTAGCTGGGACTACAGGCGCCTGCCACCATGCCCGGCTAATTTTTTTGTATTTTTAGTAGAGACGGAGTTTCACCGTGTTAGCCAGGACGGTCTCGATCTCCTGACCTTGTGATCCGCCCGCCTCGGCCTCCCAAAGTGCTGGGATTACAGGCTTGAGCCACCTCACCCAGCCTTATTAGTAATTAATTTGATTATTCTCTAAGAAAGGGTGAATGCCTTACCTTCAAAGGTACTAGAGTCCAACAGATCTTACCATGAATTTCTTGCTTTTCAGCTCAATTTTTCTTTCATATGTTTATAAGAAAAACCAAACACAACACAACCACACTACAAAAAAAAAAAAAACTTGTTTAATCTTTTTTTCCCTGAATCAGAAATAGTAAAATCATTGTGGAAAGCTTGGGAAAATTAAAAAAAAAGTTTTAATCACCCATAATCCTACAACACAGAGTTAACTAATAACACTTCAGCATATTTCTTCCACTTTTTCACATATATATTTTAAAATAACTGGACTCATGCTGTTTATAGTTCTATATCCTATTTTTTCCCACATTTAATTTTATTTTGTGTGCACTTTCCCACGTCAAGTATTCTCAAAAACATACTTTTTTAATGACTCCATAACCTTTCCACAAAGCAAACCATTCCCCTAAGGTTAAAACATTTAGATTTTTTTTTAAATTTATAAACATTCATATAGTTAACATAGTTAACATCTCTTTTGTATACAATCTTGATTCACATCTCTCTTTCTTGGTCCCTATATATTCTTTGTTTTGTGTGTGTGAGACAAAGAGTCTCACTCTGTCACCCATGCTGGAGTGCAGTGGCATAATCTCCGCTCACTGCAACCTCTGTCTTCTGGGTTCATGCGATTCTCCTGCCTCAGCCTCCCGAGTAGCTGGGATTACAGGCACCCGCCACCATGCCTGGCTAATTTTTTGTGTTTTTAGTAGAGACAGGGTTTCACCATGTTGGCCAAGCTGGTCTCGAACTCCCGACCTCAAGTGATCCGCCTGCCTAGGCCTCCCCAGGTGCTGGGATTACAGGCATGAGCCACTGCACCCAGCCCTCTATAGATTCTTATAAGTAGATCAAGGATTGTACGTTTCTTAAAACATTGCTGGACGGGCATGGTGGCTCACGCCTGTAATCCCAGCACTTTGGGAGGCTGAGGCAGGTGGATCACATGAGGTCAGGAGTTCAAGACCAGCCTGGCCAACATGGCGAAACCCCATCTCTACTAAAAGTACAAAAATTAGCCAGGCGTGGTGGCACGCACCTGTAATCTCAGCTACTGGGGAGGCTGAGGCAGGAGAACTGCTTTAACCTGGGAGGTGGAGGTCGCAGTGAGCCAAGACCATGCCACTGCACTCTAGCCTGGGTGACAGAGCAAGACTCCATCTCAAAAAACAAACAAATAAAACATTGCTAAACTACTTTCCTGAAAGTTCACACTTGTTTGCAGGCCTGATAGCAATTTCAATACCAGTCCCATTTCACTCTCATTAGCAGTGACCACTATCTCTTTTCTTTTAATTTCCAGCAAACAAAGATCAAAATAATCTGGAATTAACAACACGAGTAGAAAAGATGTTGTTAAAAGAATGCTTTCACACTTGTGACAGTTTATACAATGAAATCACCGTTATCCCATTCTTTATCAGGTATTTGACCCTGCCCAGATGGGTAAAGTTAGAAACATCCTACATGTTCACATTTGTATATTAAATATAAAGTAATAATTGAAGTGCCTTATATAGAGACTCTCAAATAATTTCCGGCTCAGTAAGAACTATGTAGAAAAGGGAATTATGCCCCATCATATGAAAAAGGGGCTTGTACAACATGCAAAAAATTCAGAAATGGACACTTAAGATTTACGTACTTTTCTACATGTAGATTATACCTTATTTTTTTTTAAGAAAAAACTTAAAAGGGGATTTGCACACAAGAAAATATATACACCTTGTATATACATAACATCAAATCACAACTACTTTAGCTAAGGCTGCCATTTTTTAAGCCTTTATGGTTGTTGCGTGGCTACTACTAGGTACATGCCAACAGCCAAGACCTACTCCACAGCAGTCAGGAGTCTTTTTCTCTTCTTCCTCATTTATCAAAGGTTTTATCTACGTTCCTCAGTTGACTGACCAATCAGAGGAAGAAATTTTTTTTTTTTCTTTGAGACTGAGTCTTGCTCTGTCACCCAGGCTGGAGTGCAGTGGCACGACCTCGGCTCACTGCAAGCTCCGCCTCCTGGGTTCACGCCATTCTCCTACCTCAGCCTCCTGAGTAGCTGGGACTACAGGCGCCCGCCACCACACCCGGCTAATTTTTTGTATTTTTAGTAGAGATGGGATTTCACCGTATTAGCCACGGTGGTCTCGATCTCCTGACCTCGTGATCCACCCGCCTCGGCCTCCCAAAGTGCTGGGGATTACAGGCATGAGCCACCGTGCCCAGCCCAGAAGAAGAAATTTCTTATACATTGACAGCATTAAAAAAAGTATACAAGCCGGGCGTGGTAGCTCACGCCTGTAATCCCAGCACTTTGGGAGGCAGAGGTGGGCGGATCACAAAGTCAGGAGTTCGAGACCAGCCTGGCTAACACAGTGAAACCCCGTCTCTACTAAATAAAATACAAAATATTAGCCAGGCATGGTGGCGGGCGCCTGTAGTCCCAGCTACTTGGGTGGCTGAGGCAGGAGAATGGCGTGAACCCAGAAGGCGGAGCTTGCAGTGAGTCGAGATGGCGCCACTGCACTCCAGCCTGGGCGACAAAGCAAGACTCTGTTTCAAAAAAAAAAAAAAAAAAAAAGTACACAGTGATTTCAGGACATTAAAAAGGTTACCATAAAAGCAGCATCCACCAGCCTCTACCTACAACGTTAACAGGCATTTCTGAAAAATAAAGACCTAGTGATACATTTTATCACCAATCATTTAGGTACGCTATTCCCAGTGAAATAATTCCCTTGAAGTGAAAGCTACTCTAGCAGAAGATGCTGATTTCAAGAATCTAATAATCTTGTATTAATGCAGTGCTGACTTTCATTTGTACACAATCAATTTGTTACTGAACAAAGAACTCTTTTTAATTGCCCATGGCAATTAATGGTAATCATTTTCCTTTGTCTCATTCCTAAGTAGTGCAGGCTGCAAGAGATAAAGCCACAGTTTTGACCTTTCTTTTAAATGAAAATGGGGGAAAAGCACAATGCAACTATATACATACACACACACAATGCAAATACACACACACACACACACACACACACACACACAATTTTTTTTCTTGAGACAAGGTCTCACTCCATCACCCAGGCAGGACTGCAGTGATGCGATCATGGCTCACTGCAGCCTTTACCTCTGGGGGTTAGGCGTTTAGGTGATCTGCCCACCTTGGCCTTCCAAAGTGCTGGGATTACAGGCGTGAGCCACCACGCCTGGCCAACTATATATATACACCTCAGGAGGCTATTAGCTGTAACTAACCAGCATACTTTTAGACTAACATTTTTTTAAAATGCAAAAAGTTACTAAATAAAGTATCATGTCCAGATGTGGAGTCTCAGGCCTGTAATCCCAGCACTCTGGGAGGCCAAGGCAGGTGGATCACATGAGGTCAGGAGTTCAAGACCAGCCTGGCCAACATGGTGAAACCCGACTCTGCTAAAAATACAAAAAAACTAGCCAGGCGTGGTGGCAAGTGCCTGTAATCCCAGCTACTTCGGAGGCTGAAGCAGGAGAATCGCTTGAACCTGGAAGGTGAAGGTTGTAGTGAGCTGAGATGGTACCACTGTGCTCCAGCCTGAGTGACAGAGCAAGACTACGTCACCAAAAAAAAAAAAAAAAAAAAAAAAAAAAATCACGGTGAGCTCCACCTAAATAACTCAAGAGGAAAGATGTATTTCTATCTGTATGTTTCTTTTAATTTTTATTTTTTAATTGTAAATTGGCAAATTGTAGTTGTATATATTCTATGTATATATTTTTAGTTGCCTAAAGAAAAATCTCTCCATTTGTAGCTACCCAAATACTTTTCTACTTGCTGAAAAAAATGTAGATTTAAGGAGTCATTACATGACCAAACATCTCTACCTTCTTCCTGTTAGACTAGTTTACTTACACAGTTTTGTTACACCTGTGTTTGAATTCAGGTCAGACATAAAATGCTCAACTTTTCCAAATATGCTGGCTAAAAAGGCAAGCTGGTACTTGTGGTGTACATTCTTTTCAAAATACTGTGATATGGAACCTACTGTGTGCTCAAATCTCTGAATATGAAAGTCTTCAAGACTATTAATACAGGATCACATCCCAAGGAGCCAGACATTAATCAGAATAGTCTATTCAACATTTACTTCCCTTCACCCTATATAGTTAATTGTTTACAATTGACCATAAATTCCTTAAGGTGATGAACTATGCTTATTCTTATACCCAGAGAGGCAGTGTAGCCTAATAAAATAAACAAATTTTGAAATCAGACAGATCTGGATTCTTCACACTGACTTACTACTTATTAACTGTGTCATCATGATCAAGAAATTTACAATGCAGCAAGTATGCAGATTAAAGTATACTGGGCCAGAGCCAGGCGCGGTAGCTCACACCTGTAATCCCAGCACTTTGGGAGGCTGAGGCAGGTGGATCACCTGAGGTCAGGAGTTCGAGACCAGGCTGGCCAACATGGCAAAACCCCGTCTCTACTAAAAATATAAAAACTAGATGGGCATGGTGGGCGTGCGCCTGTAATCCCAGCTACTTGGGAGGCTGAGGCACAAGAATCGCTGGAATCCAGGAGGCGGACTTTGTAGTGAGCTGAGATCTCGCCACTGCACTCCAGCCTGGGCGATAGAGCGAGACTCTGTCTCAAAAAAAGAAAAAATTTAAAAAAAGGCTGACCAGGAGAGCATGCCCTCTAAGCATTTAAAGCCTGCAAATGGCCATTACAGTTGGTACAAACATCTCCAAAAAAAAAACAACAACAACAACAACAAAAAACTTTAGCACCTGTTTATCTTCTGTCAACATGGACACAATGGGGGCCTACCAAGTACAAGGTATTTTTGCTAGGTGTGATAGGAAATCAAAGATAATATAAGAGGCTCCTCATCCTCAGGAGTTTACTGTCTATCTAGAGAGAGAGATGACAATCAAGTATTATTAGCCACAAAATAAGGCAGAATGGGAACCAACTAGTATAATCCCTTCATTTTTCAAATGAAGGAACTGTAGTCCAGAGAAATGAAAATGATTTGGCTAGTCACAAAGCTAGTAAATGACAGGGCTAGGGCTAGGACCCAGGTTTCTTCAATGTTCTTTACATCATAGGAAGCCGCCTCTCAATTGTCCAAATGCAATTACCAGTTTACTACAGTGGCCAGGACGAGGGCATCATCCAAGTAAGAATGCAGAGATATCAGGAGAGCAAAAGAGGCAGGAAATACCTGCAGATCTATAATACAACAGTCACAACTGCTGCAAAGTACATAAAAAGAAAATGTTCGTTTCAATAAAGGAAGATGAGAGAGATAGGCAAGTCTGGCTATTTTCAACTAAAATAAATATTACTTTCCTGTAATGATACTTCATGGCTGAAAGTATCTGGTTCTCTGCTAATATATCAACTTAATGGCATTTCTCAGTATCAGAGAAGCAAATAAATGAAAATTAGATTGACAGATGCCAAAAGTTATCTTCAAGAATTCTTTATAGATGAAGCCTGATAAAGCACTGGATCAAAAGTTTTGGGAAGATGAACACGAATTATTTGTTTGCATTTCTTAATGCCAGCAATACAAGTGCTGTTCAGACCATTGCTGTTTGAGAGCCTAGGTCAACAATGACTCAGCTTGAAAAATTCCATATCGTTTTTAAAAGAGGTATATGGTTTTAGTTATGTAGCTAATATAATCTGGATAACCCCATCCCCCTAAATTATAAAGTAATCTCCATGTGAATGGTTGAAAAACAGGCAGTGTTTATTTTATATCTGAAAAAGTATACAACAAAGGTAATCCAGTTCATTTTACTGCATCTCCCAGGGAAAGAGCCCCCTACACAGACTCTGGGTTACGGGACTTGATGACAGGCAGTTGGGGATTGGCAGGTGAGAGAGGAATCAAAGAGTAGCAACAGGAGCTTAGTCCTAAGCTCCAACTCTAACTTGGTAAGTGACCCAGGACAACAAGAATCTACAATCAGACCTGGACAGCACTCCAGGCTTCAGACTAGGAAGGTGAAGCCCAGAGAGGTCAAGCAATTTGTTCAAGGTCCCAGCTAATTAGGACAAGGCCTAGATCAGAAGCCAGGTCACTGCCCTTATATAAATCCAGTACTTTTCTGCTGTGGCAGGAAGCCTGTCACAATGCCCTATGCCAGCCTTCCATTCCTCCATCTGTAAATGAGGAGGCTAGACTACGCGCTGATTTTCCCACTGAGTTCCAATGAACGCAAGGCGTCAAAGGAGGTATTTGTGCTAGTCACCTTCTCTCTTCATGCAAAGAATCTCAATTTTACCTATTTTACAGATCGTGAAAAAGAAATCTTACCAACTGGACATCATGGATAGTGCTGTGATGAATAACAAAAGATTTTTTAAAAAAGGGAAAAACAGGCCAGGCGCAGTAGCTCGTGCCTGTAATCTCTGCATTTTGGGAGGCCGAGGCAGGTGGATCACTTGAGGTCAGGAGTTCAAGACCAGCCTGGCCAACATGGTGAAACCCCATCTCTACTAAAAATACAAAAATTAACCTGGCGTGGTGGTGCATGCCTGTAATCCCAGCTACTCGGGAGGCTGACACAGAAGAATCGCTTGAACCCAGGAGGCAGAGGTTGTGGTGAGCTGAGATTGCGCCATTGCACTCCAGCCTGGGCAACAGGAGGGAAACTCCATCTCAAAAAAAGTCACGATTACTGTGTAAATCAAGACATTGTTTAGACTGCCAGGTGGTGACCGACAAAAGTCACAGCAGATCACAGGAAGACGCTGCAAGCGGCCTAACACCTCTCAGGAGACCACAGTGGACCAAAGTTGGGAAGCAGACCAGACTAGATGGAGACGAACAACCACTCCGACCTTTTCAATCTCCAACTATATTGACCTGACGCCTCACCTCCTCACATGCAGACTCACCAAACATCTATTAGGCTATGGTTTACTGTCACCTGTGCAACCCCCACCCTTCCCAGGCTGTGTCCTTTGCCAAAAGTCACCATCAGGTCCATGGATCTGCCCATGAATCTGCACACCGACAACTTCTTTCAACTTCTTCTCTTCTGGATCAATAAGAATGAGTATTTTCTGATTTGTCACTGTTCTAAATGCATCGACCTTCATCATGCCAAGGAAAATGGCGGGCAGGTAAAAGGGCGGGTGGGGAGCATGGCCAAAAAGAGGTTAGTTGAAAACAAGATGATAACTTAAATGAGGAACTTTGATCAGATTAGTTTTTAAGTCTTTACAAAGATTTTCTAGGCAGGGCAAGAGCCCTTGAAAACATGTTACTACCTTGAAAGCAGTTGTCTACCGCCATCTCCTGCTCCAGTCCCCCCACTCCAAATGGCATATTAACTGTGCCAGAAGGCCAAGGCTACCACCTCACATTTCTGTAGCACCCAATCCCATCATGAAAGCAAATGGCAATGCTGGAGTTAGGGCCTCTGCTAGCCTCAGAGAAATCTGACAGTCTTTAAGAACATCGGTTACCAGTTAAGGTGGAAAAATCAGCTCTCTATTCTGTGTGTCCTCTCTCCCTATTATGTAAACTTAGGCTTTTGGCATGCAGGAACTTTTCATGCTGCCAATGATATTAAAACTCTGGGACACACATTTAAGCAGTACTGCATACACAGTTGTTTTTATTCTTAATTATCTGTCACTTCCATATTAATAAAAAACAAAACAACTATTGACACCAACATGGGTAACACAAACTCTAAGATAAATTCAGAAAATTAATCATGACACACAAGGCTAAAAATTTACCAACGGAAATGAACCAAAAATCTTTAAGTCAATAATGGTGAAAACCCATGCCATACATAGATTATTAAAATTACCAGATTCTGTCAGAAAATTTTAAAAAGTTCAAGGGACCATACAAATCTACTATCAGCCCTCTTCACTGTCTCATATACAAATGCCCTAATATTTGATGAGTGAATGGTCCAACTCTGTAGATGACAGTGAATGTTTTTATTTCAAATGTGTCCACACAGAATTATTTCTAAATAAGTACTAAAATAAACAAAGTTTGATCATAGCACAGTTAAGAAAGTCCTTCCAGTAAATGCTCCTTCACAGTTGGATGGCTACTTTAATATACAATTGCCCTAGGCCACAGCAGGGAAAAAAATCAGGCTTTTGATTTACTTAAGAAATAAAATAAATAAACCTAGAACATGCAAAAGATCCCCTTTCCCAAGTTAAGGAAGGAAAATGGTTGGACAGATTTTCTGTAAAAACCACCTCTACCCCTGAATGAACTAAATACCCCCCCACAACCATAGAGTCATTAAAGAAAATCGCTCAGGAATGGTAGCCAAGACGCATTTCTCAGATAATAAGACTAAAAATCCAATCACATCCGCCAGTTCCTGGCACCCCTTTCTAACTCTACCCAATCAGGTCACTCAAAAAGCTTAAGGAATGTCAGGGCCCACCCACACACCCCTTGTACGGCAGGCAAAGAGCCCCAGAATCTAGCATGGATCTGCCCAGAGGCACTCAGCTCCTGTGGCAGGGAGTGCCTGCAATACCAGAGGGCAGAAATCTGAGTGACATTTGGCACTCTCTCTTTCAACAAACAACCGCAAAGTGCTTTCCAAACCCAAGCCCTCACCATTTTGAAGACCAGGAAGCTGGAGCCTTTCCCGGGGCAAAGATGAAAAAGAAATAAGCCCACCTTCCCCATCCCCTCCCACAAGGTCACACTGCAAACCAGAGGCCATTAGGGAAGGCAATACTGTAGCTTCCCTAGGTCCAACTGTGGCCATAACCCCTGGTGGGATCGGGATAATTTGAGAACTGGCATTTCCCCAGCTAGAGGTAAAACTATATATTGAAATAACTTGTTAGCTGGGGGGGAGGGGCGAAGGCGGGGGGGAAGGGAAGGACACTCCTAGGGTTGCTGGCTTAGAGGTGGAAGGGGAGAGAGGGTACTCTATGCAATGGCTCAGAGAAGGAAGGAGGGAAAGTGAGAAAGAGAATAAAGATCTGCGAGCAGCTGCAATCCCCTTTTCCAAAGGACACAAAGCTGCAAAGCCCAGAGATAGGAAGGGAGAGAGCAAACAGCAGAGGAAAGAAAATGGGGCAATGGAAAAAGATCTACCTCCCCCCACACTACTAACCTAGTGGAAGTGGGGGAAATGGGGGAGACACTCCCAGACTCCAGAGAGTAGTAACAATCAACCAACCCCCACCTATTTACCCAGATCTCTCAGGATCCCTGGGGAGAGAACCCTCAGGGTTAGGGCGCAGAGAGAGAATCTGCAGTCTCAGAGCCTGGAGAGCCTAAGGCCCAATCCAGCCCCTTTGCCTCTGCAGCAGAGGGATGGAAAGAAAGATATGCCTGAAAGGGGAAGTGCTCAATGGGGAATGGGTGGGCCACGGGTGGTGAGCTGCGAGGAGCAGGTCTGATAGGAACTAAATGGGAAGAGAAGGAGCCTGGCAGGATACAAGGGGAAGGAAAAAAAAAAAAAAGGTGAGGAAGGAAACAAGTCCAAGAGGAACAGAATTGGGAGAGGGATATCAAAGGGGAGTGATAATCTATCACAGCACTGAGGCAGCTCCAAGAGGAAGGTGGGGGGGAATACATAGGAAAGAATGATTAAGAAGACATCGTAATGTCACAATTGGAGTGAGAACTCCAAAAGAAGACAAGAGGCAGAACAGTGGAGGGTGGGCAAATAAAGCAGAGTGAAGGGTGAGGGCTGAATCAAAATGGTGGGGGGAAGAGACTGTCATGTGGAAAACTTAAAAGACTCGGGAGGGAACAGAGAGGGGACACAGTGACAAGAACCCCAGTGTTAAAGGACCGCTCCAAGAAAGGACGGCAATACAGAAGTTAAAAACCGGTCTAAAAATATGCGGGCAAGTGGACAGCTCCGAAGGAGCCGAGCTGGGGAGGGAAACACTAAATAAAGAGGATGGAGCAGAATTGAAAAAAACGAGAAGAAAGTGTAGGTACAAAATGGATCTAGGGGCAGGTCTGTGAGATGCAGAACAGGAAGGGGATGGGTGACCAGCCCGGGAGGTATCAGAGGTATAGTGAGGTTAAAGGGCATGTCTAAGGGCTAAAACGGGGAGGAGAGGAATTGGAGCAAAGAGGGGACAGGAAGCAGTTTTCAGGCAGAGAACTGAAGGAGAGACAGGCCAAAGAAAGGAGAAGCAAATGAATGCAGTAGCTCAGAGGAGTGCCAAAAAGGAGGTGGGGAAGAGAGGAAACCTCCAAGAGAACACGGGCTGAAACTGAAGGCAGTCTGAGTTAGGGATACATCATTTAAGTGAATAGCAGAAATGGGAGACCTGCAGAGTCAGAGAAGGGGGAGGAGGCTGCTTCCCGGGAAGGCAGAGTCAGAAGCAAGCAGGTGAGGGGAGCGCAGCAAGATCTGAGGTCGGGCAAGGGGCAGAGCTGAGAGGCAGAAAGGTCTGGAAGAGAGGAAAGGGTCTGAATGGTAAACGGGAACAAGAGCTGAGAAGGGGAACAGGCAAGCACGGTGCAGCCAAGTCCGAGGGGATCAGGGGAATGAGCTGGGGCACGGAAGGGTCAGAAAGCCAGCCGAGGGGCATCCCGGGGTGCAGCAGGCTCTGCGAGAGGGCAGACAAGAAATGCGGGTAGTAGGGCCCACGAGGGAACGGGATTCAGTCCAAGGGGAAGACCTGGGGCAGCAGTGCCTGGCCGAACAGGGGTCTCAGATGGATCTCCAAAGGGTTGGAACCGCAGGTCCTAAAGGGACAGCTCCCAGGGTGCAACAGATTCTGAGACAGGAATAATAGCACAGAAGGTAGGTCAAAGAAGGGGCCGAGGACAGATCTGAAGGGTGGTGAGAGCAGAATCGAGAAGAGGGAGAAGCGTCACGGATCTCAAAAGTGGGAGCCACAATTAAGAGATGCAGAATGGTCAATGAGGAGAAGATGGGTCCCAGGAGCACTGCAGAGCCCGGGAGGAGCGAAGGGCATTATGGAGGGGTGGAAGGGGGAAGGGGGGCGCAGAATTGGGAACCGGTTGGCTGAAGTCGGGTAGGCTCCGAGGCAGACACCGAGATCCCAACGGGTCGGGGATGGGGGCGGCGGCGGGGACAGCAGGGCTGGGGCGGGCAGGGGCAGGTCCAAAGGGCAGGAGGGCCCCACGGGCCGGGCCGACGCGCGAAGCGACGGGGACGGCGGGGCCCGGGGGGCTGGGGGGGGGGCCGCTCCTCCCCTCCCCCTCCAGCTCCTCCATTGTTCGCGGGCTCCGGGCCCCGCCGTCCCCGCCTCCCCCTGGACCCCGCAGCGGGGCGGCGCCCGGCCTCGCCGCCCGGGGCCCGTGAGCTCGCGCACTCACCAGCTGGGCGCCCTCAGCGCGGCCCCGGCCTCCAAAATCCCGGCAGCAACGACGGGGGCCCCGGCGCCATGTTCCCCTGCTCCTAGTCCAGCGGCGGCTGAGGCGGCGGCGGCGGCTCCGGCGGCGGGGGGCCGGGCGGACCCTCCCTCGCGGGTTCCCTCCTCCGCCTCCTCCACCTCCTCCTGCCGCCGCGCCGCGGCTCTCCCTCGGGGCGGGGGGCGGGGAGGGGAAGGGGGGAGGGGCGGCAACCAGGGGGAGGGCGGACCAGCCTCGCTCACTCCCTCCCTCCCTCCCTCCCTCGCAATGGCGGCAGCGGCGGCACCTCCTTCCTGCGACGGCCGCTCCCGCGCGCGCGCCCCCTCGCTACTGCGCGTGCGCGGCGCGTGGACCGTTGCAGGGGTATAACGGCCCCTGGGCGCGCGCCGCGAAGGGACAACCAGCGAGGCAGTGGGAAGAGGTCAGAGCGCGTGCGCACCCGAGGGGCTTACTGCCACAGCCGCTGCCTGAGGTTAGGAACGGCCGCGGACGGTGCAGTGCGCGTGCGCCCCCGAAAATGCCGCTATTGCGGCGGCCGCCGTCGCGACTGAGCGCGAGGCGACTTGCAAACGAGCAGAGGGAGCGGGATGGGCGAGCGCGCGTGCGCGGGGGGCTGCCAGCCGGCGCAGCTGCTGGCGCAGGGCGGAGGGAGTGGTCCGCAGGAGCTGCGCGCGCGTCTCAAGCAGCCGATCTACTGCCTCGCGCTGGCTCCTGGAGAAAGCCGAAGGAGAGAGGCATGGCCCGGTTTTGGGGGTGGGGGGCGAAGGGCGCGATCCCGCTCGCGCGGGACCTGACCAGCCAATGGGAAGCAATGGGAGGTGGGTTTGCCGCGCGAGCCGCAGCCGCCGGGATAACGGAGGAGGCCAGAAGGAGCGACGTAACGTGGGGCGGTGGGGCGGGGCTGAGAAGGAGGGAGCGCACCAGAGAGGGAGTTGATTGGAGGATATGAGGAGGCGTGGCCCGCCTCAGCCCAATCCGAGCCCCGCAATTCGTCGTCCCGGAAGAAGAGGCGGGGCTGGAGAGCGCGTGCTCTTTCTCCTGGCTGTGAAGAAAATCTGCAGCCAACGCGCGCGTCCATGCAACTTGTTTTTGGTTCTGTGAACGACTGATCCCCAGGAGAGGGAAGACGGCCTGGTCCTGTGTGCAGCCCAAGCCTGTCACTTAGCATTGTGCAAATGGCTACAAATCGAATGTCAATTAGGGCGCCTGAAGGGAAAAGAGTAGTGATGGGAGAGGGCACCGCTGTAACCCTTGACTCCTCTGAACTGAGGAGGTGTTCCTCTGGGACTCCTCCGGAAGTACAGATCGTGGAAGATGAGCTTCCCGGGCGCCGAGCCAATATTTGTGGAATGCATGAAGAAAGGCTGTTTCCTATTACATTTGGCATTTCTGCCATCAGTCTCTTCATCTATAAAATGGGATAATAATCGTACCTCTCTCGTAGGGCTGCTGTGAAAATTAAATAGATTATATTTTGCAAAGCTCTTGAAATCATGCATTGCATACATAGTAAGCGCTCTGTAAGCGTTGATAAATAAAATTACAGGGGCTTGTTTATTCCATTAATAAAGATTTTTATATTAAAGGATGTTTCCATTGACTTTTTTTTTTTTTTTAATGTAGCACTTTTAGGGCCAGGCGCGGTGGCTCATGCCTGTAATCCCAGCACTTTGGGAGGCCGAGGCGGGCGGATCACTTGCGGTCAGGAGTTCGAGACCAGCCTGGCCAACATGAAACCCCGTCTCTACTAAAAATACAAAAATGAGGTGGGCGTCGTGACGGGCGCCTGTAATCCCAGCTACTCGGGAGGCTGAGGCAGGAGAATCGCTTGAACTCGGGAAGCGGAGGTTGCAGTGAGCAGAGATAGCACTGGACTCCAGCCTGGGCAGCAGAGGGAAACTCCGTCTCAAAAAAAAAAAAAAAAAGGCACTTTTAATGCATTCAGTCTGATTTTTAGATGTTAGTGGCTTGAAACAACAACAACTTTTCTTTAAGCACTGCGGGGCTGCCAAATCGAGTGCGTGGACTGTCATTACAAACCGTGATGTGTAAGGGACTTTTGAGATTACTTGAGGAGACACAGGAAAGACAAGGTGGGGGGCAGTGAATTCCTGATACCTGTATTTCAAATTAATGTCTTTACAACGCCTATGCAGTGTTCCGAGTCTTTTCAATCTTAAATTTGTGAGCTGGCAGCATCTGGAGAACAAGGACGCTTGGGCTCACTCTGGATCCCCCAAACCCCTTGGGAGCCCATCAGCTCTGATTTACCCTTCAACTCTCAGCTTGAAGTCACCTTCTCAGGGTAGTCTCCCAGATTTGGCCTGATCCCTCGTTCTTTAATAATAAAAATGAGTACTTCGTGCCAAGCAACAGTCTTTTTTTATTTTTATTTTTTATTTTGAGGCAGAGTCTGGGATTACCAGCGTGCGCCCCGCTAATTTTTGTTTTTGTTGTTTTCTCAAGACAGAGTCTTGTTCTGTCACCCAGGCTGGAGTGCAGTGGTGTGATCTCGGCTCACTGCAACCTCCACCTCCCGGGTTCAAGTGATTCTTCTGCCTCAGCCTCCTGAGTAGCTGGGACTACAGGCGCCACATCTGGCTAATTTTTGTATTTTTAGTAGGGACAGGGTTTCACCTGTTCGGGCCAGGCTGGTCCCGAAGTCCTGGCCTCAAGCCATCCACCCACCTCAGCCTCCCAAAGTGCTGGGATTACAGGTGTGAGCCACTGAGCCTGGCCGCAACAGTCTTTTTTGTTTGTTTGTTTGTTTGTTTTTTGAGATGGAGTCTCACTCTGGCATCCAAGTTGGAGTGCAATGGCGAGGTCTCGGCTCACTGCAACCTCCACCTCCCAGGTTCAAGCGATTTTTCTGCCTCAGCCTCCCGAGTAGCTGGGACTACAGGTGTGTGCCACCACACCTGGCAAATTTTTGTATTTTTAATAGAGACGGGGTTTCACTATGTTGGCCAGGCTAGTCAACATTCTTTTTATTTGTTTTTTTTTGTGTGTGGATTTTTTTTTTTTTTTTGAGACAGGGTCTTGCTCTGTTGCCCAGGCTGGAGTGCAGTGGACCAGTCATGGCTCACTGCAGCCTCAACTTCCTGGGCTCAAGCAATCCTCCTGAGCAGCTGGAACTACATGCTCTCACCATGACACTTGGCCAATTTTTTTTTTCTTTTGGTAGAGATGGAGTCTTGCTATGTTGCCCAGGGTGGTCTCAAACTCCTGGCCTCAAGCAGGCCTCCTGCCTCAGCCTCCCAAAACGCTGAGTTTACAGGCATGAGCCGCCATGCCTGGACATGCCAGGCAGCAGTCTAAAAGCACTTTAGACCCATTAACTCACTGAATCCTCACAACAACCTTATGAGTAAGTTATAAGGTACAGAAAAGTTACACAGCTAGTAAGCAGCAGGTTTGAGACACAAACCCAGACAATTGGGTCACGTTGCTACACGTAGCATTTCTTCAGGGTTCAAGGTTTGCAGTTCTGTGTTGGATCCCAGCACTTTAGGAGACTGAGGAAGAAAGATCACTTAAGCCCAGGAGTTCAAGGCTTCAGTGAGCTATGATTGTGCCACTGCACTCCAGCCTGGGCCACAAGGCCAGACCCTGTCTCTAAAAAGATTAAATGAAGTTCTGTGTTGGTATCACCATTTTATGTGTGAGCCCTCTGAAGGCAGGGGACCCTGGCTAGTTCCAAAGTCTGGCCAATGACCCACAATTAAAACTTGTTAATAAATAAAAGTGAATGAGTCGGCCAGGCACAGTAGCTCAGGCCTGTAATCCCAGCACTTTGGAAGGCTGAGGCGGGTGGATTGCTTGAGGCCAGGAGTTCGAAACCAGCCTGGACAACGTGGCGAAACCCTGTCTCTACAAAACGTACAAAAATCAGCCAGGCATAGTGGTGCACGCCTATAATCCCAGCTACTAGGGAGGCTGAAGCAGGAGAATCGCTTGAACCCGGGAGATGGAGATTGCAGTGAGCCAAAATCGCACCACTGCACTCCAGCCTGGGTGACAGAAGGAGACTCCGTCTCAAAAAAAAAAAAAAAAAAAAAAAAAAAAATCCAATGCTAAACAAGGGGGTGGTAGGCACTGGGGACATGGTAGCCAGAGACTACATGGTTGTCCTTCTAGCCTTCTTTGAGATGCTAGCTCAGATGTCCCCTCTTCCAGGAGGCCTTCTCTGATGCAACAGGCTGGGTCAGCTGCTCCTTCCAAGCTCCCACAGTCCCTTTAGGTCTCCCGTCCAAGCCCTGGCCACCTTGGGTGGTCCATATCTGGTGATAGGTCTTTCCCATCGGACTGCAAGGCCCCTGAGGGCAGGGCCAGGGCTGTTTCAGTCATCGTCGATGTCCCTAGCACGGATCCAGGCACAAGGCAGGGGCCCAGGCATTGTTTTACTGCATGAACGGAACCATCAAGGGGTGCATTCCCAGCTCTGCAATTTTTTCCAGTGCGCAAGAGGGCGGATAGTAGTTGAGCAAGCCAACCACAGGAAGCGGGCTTCCCTGGGGGCAGCCGCCTCCGCGCACCCGGCTAGCCTCCACTCCAGGATAAATAAACAAACGAGTAAACAATTAACCGACCGAGAGAAGTGCCGACTGCCGGCTTGGGCCGCTGTCAAGATTTCCCAAGCATCGGCCTACGGGCCGAATGGCTGGAGGTCACATTAACGGGAGAGCCGCTGGTGTTGGTTGATAAGAGGCGGGCGTGGGATTCTGGACCTGTATTGGAAACCTGCACAGGCAGAAAAATTCACAAAAGGATTTTGTAAAGAGGGTGGGACTCTGGGGTATACACTCTATTCATTCCTAAGAGTCTGAAAGAATCAGAGAGGGTGGGGACCAGGTCTGCGTGTGACGGAGGAGTCAGTGAGCCCACAGCGCCGCCTGCAAACCGAACAGGGGAAGCTGCAGCTGGAGGATTGCCGCGGGGGCTGGCAGAGCGGTGGACTCTTCAGCCATTGGCCCAAGGGCAGCCAATCACGAGGCAGGAACGGGAGGCGGGGATGCTCAGATTCACCGCGGAATCCCAGTGCCTGGGCCCCTTGCTTAGTAGATCGACGCACTAAATATCTACTGGATGAATGCATAATAAACATCTATTTTTTAAAAAAAATTTGAGACAGGGTCTCGCTCTGTCGCCCAGGCTGGAGTGCAGTGGTGCAATCATAGCCTACTGCAAGCTCTTCCTCCCCAGCTGAAGGGATCCTCCCACCTCAGCCTCCGGAGTATCTGGGACTATAGGCGTGCGCCAGTGCACACGGCTAATTTTTATATTTTTTGTAGAGACAGGGCCTCGCCATGTTGCTCCGGCTGGTCTCGAACTCCTGGGCTGAAGTGATCGGTCCACTTCGGCCTCCCAAAGTGCTGGGATTACAGGCGTGAGCCACCGCGAACAGCCAACCTCTCTCTCTTTCTCTCTCTCTCTCTTTTTTTTTTCCTTGAGACAGTCTCGCTCTGTCGTCCAGACTGGAGTGCAGGGCGTGATCTCCGTTGACTGCAACCTCCGCCTTCCGGATTCAAGCGATTCTCGTGCCTCAGCCTCCCAAACAGCTGGGACTACAGGCGCGCTGATTTTTTGTAGTTTTATTAGAGACGGGGTTTTGTCATATTGCCCAGGGTGGTCTTAAACTCCTGAGCTCAGGCAATCCACCTGCTCCGGCCTCCCAAAGTGCTAGGATTACGGGCGTGAGCCACCGCGCCCTGCCACAACCTCTCTATCTTTATAAACGTTTAAAATTGAGGCCGGGCGCGCTGGCTCGCGACTGTAATTCCAGCACGTTAGGAGGCTAAGGGAGGAGGATCACTTGAGGCCAGGAGGAGTTCCAGACCCTGTCTAGCAAAATAAAAAAATAAATAATTGTTCCTTCGGGACTTATCTTTTCTATGTCTGTGCCATGTAGCCCCAGACTCGAAACCACTCAAGCCATGAGACTCCTGAGGGTAGAGAAAATGTTTTGATCTTCTCCCTACCTGTGTTCTTCTGCCCAGCACTCTGCCCCATCCTGGACACTAATCCTTGCTTGGTTAATTTCCACTCGTCTTTTTTTTTTTTTTTTTTTTTTTTTTTTTTTTTGAGAAGGAGGCTTGCCCTGTCGCGGAGGCTGGAGTGCAGCAGCGCCATCTCGGCTCACTGCAATCTCTGCTTCCCGGATTCAAGCGATTCTCTTGCCTCAGCCTCCCAAGTAGCTGGGATTACAGGCGTGCACCACCACACCCAACTAATTTTTGTATTTTTAGTAGAGACGGGCTTTCACCATGTTGTCCAGGCTGGTGTCAAACTCCTGTCCTCAAGTGATCCGCCCACCTTGGCCTCTCAAAGTGGTAGGATCAGAGGCATGAGCCACTGCGCCTGGCCTTTATTTATTTATTTATTTATTTGTTTGTTTATTTATTTATTTGAGACGGAGCAGCCTGTCGCCCAGGCTGGAGTGCAGTGGCACAATCTCGGCTCACTGCAACCTCTGCCTCCCAGGTTCAAGTGATTCTCCTGCCTCAGCCTTCCGAGTAGCTGGGATTACAGGCATGCACCACCATGCCCGGCTCCACTCGTCCTTCTGATCTCAGCTCAAATGTCACCCCTTCTAGGAAGCTGTCACTAACTCTTCAACTCAGCTAGGTGCCTGTTATGAGCCATTGTGGCAGCCAGCCTCCAAGATGGACCCCAATGAGTCTCACCTGGTATTTGCATTGCCTCCTGCATTGGACAGGGCTGATTAGGTACCAATGGAACATTGTGGAAATGACAGTGTCATAAAAGATCTGAGGCAAGGCCATAAAAGACATAGCAGCTTCCGCCATGCTCTTTCTTAGATCACTCACTCTTTGGGAAAACAGCTGCCATGTGAGGACATTCATATGTCCTTGTGGACAGATTCACGTGGTGAGGAGCTGAGGTCTCTGGCCAATAGCCAGCATTCATTTGCCAACCACAGGAGCGAGCCACCTGGAATACAGGTCCTTCAGCTCCAGTCAAGCATTCACATGCCAGCCTGGAAAATATAGCAAGACCTCTTCTTTCCAAAAAATTTAAAAATTAGCTGGGCATGGTGGCACGTGCCTGTAGTTCCCACTACTCAGGAGGCTGAGGTGGGAGGATTGCTTGAGCCCCGGAGGTTGAAACTGCAATGAGCTGTGATTGCACCACTGCATGCCAGCCTGGGTTATAGTGCGAGACCCTGTCTCAGAAAAGAAAGAAAGAAAAAAAGATAGTGTTCTCGTGGCTGTAGCACTGGCTAATATCTTTTTTTTTTTTTTTTTTTTTTTTTTGAGATGGAGTCTCGCTCTGTAGCCCAGGCTGGAATGCAGTGGCGCGATCTTGGCTCACTGCAACCTCTGCCTCCTGGGTTCAAGCAGTTCTCCTGTTTAGCCTCTCTAGCAGCTGGGACTACAGTTGCACACCACCATGCCTGGCTAATTTTTGTGTTTTTAGTAGAGATGGGGTTTTACCATATTGATCAGGCTGGTCTTGAGCTCCTGACCTCAGGTGATCCACTTGGCTCTGCCTGGCCTTCTTTTTTTTTTTTTTTTTTTTTTTTGAGACAGAGTTTCACTCTGTTGCCCAGGCTGGAGTGAAGTGGCACACTCTCAGTTCACAACAACCTCTGCCTCCCGGGTTCAAGTGATTCTCGTGCCTCAGCCTCCCAAGTAGCTGGGAGTACAGTCACACGCTACCATGCCCGGCTAATTTTTGTCCTTTTAATAGAGATGGGGTTTCACCATGTTGGCCAGGTTGCTGTTGAACTCCCAACCTCAGGTGATCCACCCACCTCGGCCTCCCAAAGTGCTGGGATTATAGGCATGAGCCACTGCACCTGGCCTTAAATTTATTTATGTTATGTCATTTAAGTCCATTTTTCCTGCTAGACTGTGAATGCTGTGAGGGTGGGGGCAGTGTCTGTTTTCTTGCTGCAAATGCATTCATTCATTCAGCAAATGTTTATTGAACACCAGAGTTGTGCCAAGTATTAAGTTGAACACTGGAGATCAGGACTGGGACTAAGGGGAGGCAAGTGACGTGTTGAGGGCACAAAATTTAATGAGGCACATATTCTCAGTCCTGTGTAAGACAGGAATTGGCATCTAAGAGTGAGGTCCTTTTAAAATTTTGCAACCTGGACACTTTGCTTGTGTCATCCTAGTATCAACCCTGTTGGAGACAGAAAAGTACACAAGACAGAAATGATCTCTGGCCTCTTTTTGCCCCTATAATATTCAACAACTATGTGTTGGTTATTCTGCCAGTACTATACCTTAAATTTACATAATTCTACAATACATTTTGTTTTATTTATTTAATTTATTATTATTATTTCTTTGAAATGGAGTCTCTCTCTCTCTCTGTCCCCCAGGCTGGAGTGCAGTGGCACGATCTCGGCTCACTGCAACCTCCATCTCCAGGGTTCAAGTGCTTCTCCTGCCTCAGCCTCCCAAGTAGCTGGTATTACAGGCAAGTGCTACCAAGCCCGGCCAATTTTTGTATTTTTATTAGAGGTGCTGTTTCGCCACGTTGGGCAGGCTGGTCTCGAACTCCTGACCTCAGGTGATCTGCCTGCCTTGGCATTCCAAAGTGCTGAGATTACTGGAGTGAGCCACCATGCCTGGCATGCTTTGTTCTTATTAGGGCCAATCTCCCCTCAGTACTAATAGTAATAACTTTATTGACTGCTTACCATCTGTCATGTTCTAGGTAATGAAGATACAGTTATCAGACAGGGTCCCTGCCCTCAACAACTCACTACCTAATGAGAGATCTAGACAAACATACACACATACTCATAGGGCAAATAAAATAATTTTTAAAATGTAATAAAGGCCATTTAAAAAATCACGCCTGTAATCTCAATACTTTGGGAGGTGGAGGAGGGAGGATCGCTTGAGCTCAGGAGTTCAAGAGCAGCCTAGGCAACATAGCAAGACCCTGTCTCTACAAAAAGTACAAAAAATTAGCCAGGTGTGACGGCATGTGTATGTAGTCTCAGCTACTCGGGAGGCTGAAGTGGGAGGATCACTTGAGCCCAGCAGGTTGAGGCTTCAGTGAGCTGAGATCATGCCACTGCGCTACAGCCTGGGTGACCAAGGGAGACCCTCTTTCAGAAAAAAGCAAAAACAAAGACACACCAAAAAAACACTAAACTAACTGCTGACCTGGAGGGTTTTTTTTTTTTTTGACAGAGTTTCGCTCTTGTCATTCCAGCTAGGGTGCAATGGTGTGATCTCGGCTCACTGCAACCTCTGCCTCCCAGGTTCAAGCAATTCTCCTGCCTCAGCTTCCCGAGTTGCTGGGATTACAGGCACCTGCCATCACACCCAGCTAATTTTTATATTTTTAGTAGAAATGGTTTCACCGTGTTGGCCATGCTGGTCTCGAAGTCCTGACCTTAGGTGATCCACCCACCTCAGCTTCTCAAAGTGCTGGGATTACAAGCATGGGCCATCATGCCCCCGCCAAACTAGAGATTTTTTTTTTTTTTTGGAGTCTCTCTCTATTGCCCAGGCTGGAGTGCAGTGGCGAGATCTGGGCTCACTGCAACCTCTGCCTCCGGGCTTCAAGTGATTCTCCTGCCTCAGCCTCCCGAGTAGCTGGGACTACAGGTGCGCACCACCATGCCTGGCTAATTTTTTGTATTTTTAGTAGAGATGGGGTTTCGCCATGCTGGCTAGGCTGGTCTCGAACTCCTAACCAAGTGATCTGCCTGCCTCGGACTCCCAAAGTGCTGGGATTACAGGAGTAAGCCACCGCGCCGGGCCGGTTCAAATTTATGCTTTTAAACTGTTGTCTCCCGAGAGACACACGCAACGTATTTTAAGCAAAACACTGGCTTGGTGTTGTGGTGGCTCATGCCTGTAATCCTGGTGATTTGGAAGGCTGAGGGTCGCTTGAAGCTGAGTTCGAGATCAACCTAGGCAATATATCTAGACCCCTGTCTCTATTTTTAAAAAAATTAAAGAAATCACTGGATGAGGAATGGAAAGACATTTTCTATCTCCCCAGGACAGTTTTTTAAAATTTAAAACTACTATTCCCAGCATGCCCTTCTCCCCTGGGTGGGGGGAGGGGACCTAAGAGAACTACATTTCCCTGAATGCAACGCCTTCACCGCTGGTTCTTCAGCATCTCGGGAATTGTAGTCCTCTGTAAAGATGTTTGTCCACAAATCCCAGCATGCACTTGGGATCTGACTCGTTTGGTAGGAAAAGGACTGGCTCTGACTCTTCACCCATCTTCACCCAGGCTGGCCCCTTTGGTGAAACTACAACTCCCAGGGGTCTGTGCGCGAGAAGGCAGGCGGGTTTTTCTACCGGAAGTCCGCTCTAGCTCTGGGCCCTACAACTGCACCCTGAGCCGGAGCTGCCCAGTCGCCGCGGGACCGGGGCCGCTGGGGTCTGGACGGGGGTCGCCATGGTAACGGGGGAGCGCTACGCCGGGGACTGGCGGAGGGGGGGCCCACGCGTAAATAGCCGAGGCTGGATCGGGCGCTGACAAGTCCCTTCTCTGCCGCGGATGGTCTGGGTCAGGCGCGGGCTCTGGGGATTGGGACCGATCCAGGGCCGGGAAGGAGGGCACAGGGCGGTGATTCTGCGCGCGGGGGTTACCAGGGGTCTCGCGGCGACGGGCATTGGGGGTGGTGTTCCAAGGGGAAAGGGCTGTGCAGGTGGGAAACGTTGTAGATGGTTGGAAGCTTTGAAACGAGAGGAAACTCGTGAGACACAGTCTTGTGGGTAGCGAGAAGGCATTGGAGGTGGGGAGAGGGCGTCCGAAAGAGGAAGGCGCTCTGGAAGTGTGGCGGGAGCGCTGGGACGAGAACGCGAGACCTTGGAAAAGGGGAGGGAGGTTTTCTTGATGGGAGGAGTCTCTAGAGACAAGGATCTGATTGCAGGTGGAGAGGGGATGTTGAGACAGGGGCAGGAGACTGCCTGTGAGAGAGGGATGATCTCAAGAAGAGACCTGGCACAGGAAACCAAAAGGAGGCAACTGTAGGGAATGAAACTTAAGGGTCTGGGAAAGCGCTGTAAAAGGAGAGAGGACCTGGAGGTAAGATGGACACTCGGAAAGAATGGGGAGCAACTGAATAGGTCTTTCCAAGAGGAGAGATCTTGTGGGGTGGGGAGTAGGCTTGAAAGTGTGAGACCTGGGGAGGAATCTTTGTTGGGGCAAAGACTCAACATTGGATTTAGGAGTGCCCCTATCCCCCAGGTTGGGGCTTTGGATCTAGGAAAGGGTTCTTTGGGCTGGAAGTTGGGAAAGAAAACGAATGAGAAAGAGTGTCAGAGCGGGGGCGGAGTCTCCTCCAGGAACAGGGTCCTTGGAGGCAAAATGTGACCTTTTGAAGAAGGGAGGAAGCTTGGGAGTGGGACAAGGGATGTCACCAGTAAAAAGCCCATTGAGGCCCCAAGGAGGGGAACTGAGACTGAGAAAGTGGAGGTCAAAAGGGAACAACTCCAGAGGAGGGGGATTGGAGACAGGGAAGGTTGGGGGGCATCTAGAGGGGACAGCAGAGGCGTGAGGATGCAGAGATTCAGGACGGAGGGGACTTGAGATTCCAAATGGGAAGAAAACAGGGAGAGGTATACAAGGGAATTTGGGAGTAAGAGGCAGAGCTTTTTGTCAACTCTGTGGGTTTGCTTCTAGTTCTCCTAACTGTGTGAATATGTCTCCGGCTCTGCTCCCAGGCTGTGGCTGCCTGGTGTAGGCCCCCCAACGTCCCTTCCTGCCTGGGACCCCTGCCCTGCTAGGAAGTGGTTTTCCCTGGCTCAGCAGGAGTTCTTGGAAGGAGAGTGTAACATCCTGTTCCGGTCCAGTTTGGTTGGTTGGGGGAGGGAGGATAGAGTGTGTGGAGAATGAGGCTTAGGAAAGACTCTCAGGCTGGGGCGGTGACTCATGCCTGTAATCCCAGCACTTTGGGAGGCTGAGGCAGGCGGATCACATAAGGTCAGGAGTTCGAGACCAGCCTGGCCAACGTGGTGAGACCCCGTCTCTACTAAAAATACAAAAATAAGCCAGGTGTGGTGGTGGATGCCTGTAATCCCAGCTACTTGGGAGGCTGAGGCAGGAGAATCGCTTGAACCCGGGAGGCAGAGGCTGCAGTGAGCCGAGATTGTGCCACTGGCCTAGGCGACAGAGTGAGACTCTGTCTCAAAAAAAAAAAAAAAAAAAAGGCTGGGCACAGTGACTCGCGCCTGTAACCCCAGCACTTTGGGAGGCTGAGGCAGGCAGATCACAAGGTCAGGAGTTCGAGACCAGCCTGACCAACATGGTGAAACCCTGTCTCTACTAAAAATACAAAAATTAGCCGGGCATGGTGGCATGCGCCTGTAATCCCAGGTACTTAGGAGGCTGAGGCAGGAGAATCGCTTGAACCTGGAGGTAGAGGTTGCAGTGAACCGAGACAGTGCCACTGCACTCCAGCCTAGGCAACAGAGTGAGACTGTCTGAAAACAAAAAAGAAAAGAAAAAGACAGGACTAGAGGGCTCTCTTTCCTAAGAGAGAAGGCTCCCACAAGTTGGGGTCAGGTGGTTCAGAGCAAAGCCTTTGGACTCCCACCTCTGCTTTCTGGCTGTGAGACTTCCTTTCCCTAAATCTCAGTTTCCTCATCTATAAAATGGGCATGAGCATGCCTGTCTCAGACAGAAATGGGCCCAGAACTTCTAATGGAGTAAGCTTTGGCCATGGTTTTCTGAACATCACATAATGGAAAATATAATGCTGCTAAGAGCTGGTTCTTATGTAACACTTAGTACGTGCCAGTCACTGTACTATACCTCTATGTTTTTGTTTTTGTTTTTTTGAGACAGCGTCTCGCTCTGTCACCCAGGCTGGAGAGCAATGGTGCAATGTCAGCTCACTGCAACCTCTGCCTCCTGGGTTCAAGTGATTCTCATGCCTCAGCCTCCCGAGTAGCTGGGATTATAGCCGCCTCCCCCCTGCCCCCCATCACACCTGGCTAATTTTTGTATTTTTAGTACAGATGGGGTTTCACCATGTTGGCCAAACTGGTCTCGAACTCCTGACCTCAAGTGATCTGCCCGCCTTGGCCTCCCAAAGTGCTGGGATTACAGGTGTGAGCCACCGTGACCGGCCAGGAATATCCTTTACTCCTCACAGTAAACTCAGGCACCAAAGTGGCACCAAAGTTAAGTCATGAAAGTGGCAGACGCTTTGGAAAACGGTTTAGCAATTCCTGAGAAAGTTAAACATAGCGTTACCCTATGAGCCAGCAATCTCACTCTTAGGTATATACCCAAGAGAAATGATCCATCCACACGAAAACTCATACACGAATGTTCATAGCAGTATTATTCATAATAGCCCTAAAGCAGAAACAACCCAAATGCCCGAAGTACGGCCTTATCCATCCAACAGAGGATCACTCAGCCACGGAAAGGAATTGCAGCTCTGCCGCTTGCCACCCCACAGATGAGCCTGGAAAACGTCACGCTGAGTGAAGGAAGCCAGACACGAAAGCCACAGAGTGCATGATTCCACTCATATACAATGTCCAGAACAGACACATCCACAGAGACAGAAAGGAGACTCGTGGCTGCCAGGCCCTGGGGGAACGGAGAGTGACTGCTAATGGGTGGGGAGTTTTTTGGGGGGAGATGATGAAAATGTTCTGGTATTAGATAATAAATTAGATAGTGGTGATATTAGGTGGGGTGCAGTGGCTCACGCCTGATGCAGCACTTTGGGGGGATGAGGTGGGTGGATCGCTTGAGGCCAGGAGTTCGAGACCAGCCTGGACAACATGGTGAAACACTGTCTCTACTAAAAATACAAAAAGTTAGCTGGGCGTGGTGGTGTGCACCTGCGGTCCCAGCTACCTGGGAGGCCTGCACCCAGGAGGTGGAGGTTGCAGTGAGGCGGGATCGCGCCACTGCACTCTAGCCTGGGCAACAGAGCTAGAACCTGTCTCAAAAAAAAAAAAAAAAGTGGTGATTTTTACACAACTGTGAATATATACTAAGTGAATATACCAAAAACCATTTAACTGTCTACATTTTAAGTGGATGGATTTTATGGTGTGTGAATTACATTTCAATTTTATAAAAAGTTAGGAAGCAAAGAGAAAAAAAGAAGTGGCAGAGCTGAGACTTAGCCCAAAGGAGTCTGAACCTCAAATGTTTATTGAGTATCTACCACCTACCAGCCACCGAACTAAGTTTATAAACTTTTTTTTTAACCTTTAAAAAAACCCTGGCTGACTGGGCGTGGTGGCCCATGCCTATAACCCCACACTTTGGGAGGCAGAGGCGGGCGGATCACCTGAGGTCAGAAGTTTGAGACCAGCCTGGCCAACATGGTGAAACCCCGTCTCTACCAAAAATACAAACATTTTCCAGGCGTGGTGGCGGGTGCCTGTAGTCCCAGCTACTCAGGACACTGAGGCAGGAGAATCGCTTGAACCTGGGAGGCGGAGGTTGCAGTGAGCCGAGATTGCGCCATCGCACTCCAGCCTGGGTGACAGAATGAGACACTGTCTGAAAATTTAAAAATAACAAAAAATATAATGAAAAAACCACCCTGGTGAGATGAATCTTCTTGGGAGACTTGTTTTGCTGGTGAGGAAACAGGCCTAGAGGGGCAGACAAAGCAGGGCACAGTGGCTCACACCTGTGATCCCAGCAGTTTGGGAGGCCGAGGTGGGAGAATTGCTTGAGTCCAGGAGTTTGAGACCAGCAACGTAGCAAGACTCTGTCTCTACAAAAAAAAAAAAAAAAAAAAACAGAGAGAGATAAGAGGTGGTGGAGGAGCCTGGGACTCGGGGCCCTGGAGCTGACTCCAGAGTTGGAGACTTGTGGAAGGGAAGTCACTCCACAGGGGTGCTGGAGGGACCCGGGATGAAGCGTGTGGCCAGGCCGGCCTGGCTTGGGTCTGGGGAGCAGCCGAGACCCCTGGAAGTCAGGCAGCAGGGAGGCCCTGAGCCCTATCTCCCCTCTGGGTGGATGGGTGGGGCCGTTGGGCAGCACCCAACCCGCCCTCTCTGCCTCTCTCACTTCCTCCTTCTCCTCCTGCTGCCCCCAGATCCGCTTTATCCTCATCCAGAACCGGGCAGGCAAGACGCGCCTGGCCAAGTGGTACATGCAGTTTGATGATGATGAGAAACAGAAGCTGATCGAGGAGGTGCATGCCGTGGTCACCGTCCGAGACGCCAAACACACCAACTTTGTGGAGGTGACGCCCGCTCCATGCCTCCTGCACCCCGCTGCTTCCTCGTGCCCTACTTCGCCACTCCCTGCCCAGCTTCTAGTTGCAAGAACCCCTTGGACCCTCTATCCATCCTATATCATTCACTCAACCTGCTTTGAGCTTGCTTGCTTCTTCCCTTCCTTTACTTGTACTTTTCATTGTGAAAAATCATAAACATACAGATTAGTACAATGAAAGAAAAGTAGATTGGAGATTCGTATACCTACTACCCAGATTTAATCAGTATTAATATTTTGCCTTTTTGTTCTGCATTGTTATTATTAATTTTTTTTGCCTACGATTAAAAAAGAATTTTTTTTTTTGGTCAAATTTTTTTTGCTGGTGCGTTTTTCAAACTTCCTATAGAATGTTCAAACACAGAAAAGTAGAGAGAATAGGCCAGGTGCAGTGGCTCATGCCTGTAATCCCAGCACTTTGGGAAGCCAAGGTGGGAGGATTGCTTGAGCCCAGGTGTTCAAGACCAGCCTGGGCAATGTAGCAAGACCTTGTCTTTATTTTTTATTTGATTGAATTGAATTAATTAATTAATTAATTAATTAATTACTTTTTTTGAGACAGAGTCTTACTCTGTCACCCAGGCTGGAGTGCAGTGGCATGATCTCAGCTCACTGCAACCTCCACCTCCCAGGTTCAAGCAATTCTCCTGCCTCAGCCTCCCAAATAGCTGGGATTACAGGCGTGCACCACAACACCAGGCTAATTTTGTATTTTTGGTAGAGACGAGGTTTCACCATGTTGGCCAGGCTGGTCTCGAACTCCTGACCTTGTAATCCACCCTCCTCGGCCTTCCAAAGTGCTGGGATTACAGGCATGAGCCACTGCGCCTGGCCTTTTTTGCCTTTTTTTTTTTTTTTTTCTGAAATGGAGTCTGTCTCAGTCACCCAGGCTGGAGTGCAATGGGGGCAATCTTGGCTCACTGCAACCTCCTCCAGGGTTCAAGCTATTCTCTGCCTCAGCCTCCCTAGGAGCTGGGATTACAGGTGCTCGCCACCACGCCTGGCTAATTTTTGTATTTTTAGTAGAGATGGGGTTTCACCATGTTGGTCAGACTGGTCTTGACCTCCTGATCTCAAGTGATCCACCCGCCTTGGCCTCCCAAAGTGCTGGGATTACAGGCGTGAGCCACCATGCCTGTCCCTCTTTAAAAAATTTTTTTTGAAACAGGAGCTCATTCTGTCACCCAGGCGGGAGTGCAGTGGCACGAACATGGCTCACAGCAGCCTTGACTTCCTATGTTCAAGCTACCCTCCCACCTCAGCCTCCTGAGTAGCTGGGACTACAGGCTTGTGCACTACCAAGCCCAGCTAATATTTGTATTTTTGGTAGCGATGGGGTCTCACCATGTTGCCCAGGCTGGTCTCAAACTCTTGAGCTCAAGTGATCTGCCTGCTTCGGCCTCCCAAAGTGCTGGGATTACAGGCATGAGCCACTGCGCCCAGCCAGGATGCAGGTTTAAATGGTTTGGTTAGGATGGCATTGCTGAAAAGGTGACATTGGAGCCAAGACCTGAAGGACTTGACGGGGAGGAAGGAGCCAATGTCTGAGAGGAACATTTCAAGCCAAGGGAACAGCAAGTGTAAAGTCCCTGGGGCAGGAGAATACTTAGGGCGTTCCAGGGATAGCAGGAATGCAGCCAGGAAGGGGAGGAGATGAAAGAGAGAAGATAACAGGGTAATCTCTTGGTGCAGGGCTGCAGGGAAGACTTGGGCTCTTACTATGAGTCAGATGGGAGCCGTAGAAAAGTTGTTTTTGCCGGCCGGGCGCGGTGGCTCACTCCTGTAATCCCAGCACTTTGGGAGGCCAAGGTGGGTGGATCACAAGGTCAGGAGACCAGCCTGACCAACATGATGAAATCTCGTCTCTACTAAAAATACAAAAATTAGCCGGGCCTGGTCGTGGGTGCCTGTAGTCCCAGCTACTCGGGAGGCTGAAGCAGGAGAATCGCTTGAATCCAGGAGGCAGAGGTTGCAGTGAGCCGAGATCGTGCCATTGCACTCCAGCCTGGGCAACAGAACAAGACTCCTCTCAAAAAAAAAAGAAAGGTTGTTTTTGTTTTTTGGTGTTTTTTAGAGACACGGTCTTGCTCTGTCTCCCAGGCTAGAGTACAGTGGTGCAATTACAGCTCACTGTACCCTCCCAGGCTCAAGCAAGCCTCCCACCTCAGCTTGCCAAGTGGCTGGGACTACAGGCATGCACCTCCATGCCCATCTAATTTTTAAATTTTTTTTTCTTTTCAGGTGGGTTCTCACTCTGTTACCTAGGCTAGAGTGCAGTGGTGCGATCTCAGCTCACTGCAACCTCTGCCTCTCGGGGTCAAGCAATTCTCCCACCTCAGCCTCCCGAGTAGCTGGGACCATTGGCATGTGCCACCAATGCCGTACTAATTTTTGTATTTTTGGTAGAGACAGGGTTTCGCCATGTTGCCCAGGCTGGTCTCGAACTCCTGAGCTCCAGCGATCCGCCCACCGCAGCTTCCCAAAGTCCTAGGATTACAGCCATGAGTGACCACGCCTGGCTAATTTTTAAATTTTTCGTAGAGATGGGGTATTGCTATGTTGTCCAGGCTGGTCTTGAACCATGGAGGGTTTTGAGCAGAGCATGGCCATTGGCCGACTTGAGGCTGCGCTATAGGGCAAGAGCATAGAGGAGACTGCTCGGAGAGAGGTGGCTGCAGTGGTCCAGGTGGGAGATGCTGGTGACCGGACCAGCATGGAAGCCGTCGGTGTGGCCAGGAGCGTTTTGGAGGTGGACCCAGCTGAATGGCCAAGAATTGGATGTGGAATGTGAGAGAAAGCAGAGCCAGGGCGACAATTAGATTTCCCACTTGAGCCCCCGGGTAGGATGGAGCTGTCATTATCTGATATGGGCAGATGGGAAGGGCAGGCGGAGGTGAAGATCAGGAGGGAAGTGTTGGGGGTCTGGCCCCGAGTATCGTCCACATCCCAGCAGAGATGTCCAGGAAGAAGTGACGAGTCAGGGTTCTTGGAGAGAGCTGGGTAGGATATGGAAACGGCATTTCTGCACATAGAGGGAAACCGAGGCCAAGGAGCTCACCGGGGAAGTGAGGATAGACCGAGGAGAGCACCAGAGGGCCACGTCTGCAGGCAGAGAGATGAGGGAGAGGAGAACCAAGAGATTGGGTGTCCCAGCAGCCAGGAGGGGGACAGGGTTGGACTTACCTCTCCAGGAGGAGGTCACTGGTGGTGTCACCAAGAGCAGCAGGTGGGAAGGGGGAGAGGAACTGGGTGTCGGGTGTTCTGGCTGTGTGGGCACCTTGCTGCTAATGTAGTGGCTGGTCCTGTGCTGAGGGCTGGGGCGCGGGAGGGGTCAGTGAGGCCCAATGATACAGGGGCAGCCGGAAAGTCCGGCTGGGCAAATGAGAATGTTACAGAGGAGGCTGACCCTCAGGTCTTGAGTTCCTCCATGCCTCCAGGATCCAGGCCCGCCCATTCATTCAGTTGTTCCTTTGTGCATGTATTCACCTAATGTTTCTGTGTGCCTCCTCTGTGATCAGCCCAGTGCTAGGTTCACAGCAGCACTGAGACAGCCTTGTGCTGCTTTGGGACTCATAGCCCAGGAAGGAACACAAGCCTGTCCTAGACAGTGACAACCACAGTAGGCAGGGCTGGGATCGAGGAGCCTGGCTGGGGGAGGGCACCTGACCCAGCCTGGGGGTCTGGAGGGCTTCCTGGAGGGGACTTGTGAGTGAAGATCAAAGGGAGGAGTAGGCAACTGGAAGATGCGGGCTATCCCTCTTGTTATTATTATTATTATTTGAGACAGGGTCTCACTCTGTGCCCCAGGCCGGAGTGCAGTGGTGCAATCATAGCTCACTGCAGCCTCCGCCTCCCAGGCTCAAGGGATCCTCCCACCTCAGACTCCTGAGTAGCTGGGACTACAGGGACCTGCCACCACGCCCAACTAATTTTTTGTATGTTTTATAGAGATGGGTCTTGATATGTTGCCTAAACTGCTCTTGAACTCCTGAGATCAAGCCTTGGCCTCCCAAAGTGCTGGGATGATAGGCATGAGGCCCGGCACCTGGCCGTCGTCCAATCTCTGTCTGACTCGCACTGTCCCGCCTCCCGCTTTCCTTTATTAGCAGCCCAGTGAGGACATTGGTCCCGCCTGAACCATCCAGGATTATCGCCCCATCTCATGCTTCTTAACTTCGTCACAAGTTGAGACTGCAGAGTCCCTTTTTGCCATATAAGGTCCCATATTCACAGGGTGTGGGATTAGGATGTGGATGTCTTTGGGGGCCATTACCTGTGCCAGCCCTTTGCAGGGCAACATGGAGGACACAGTGTGACAGCTCCAGCTTCCCCCACAGGCTCAGTCCAATGGGGAGACAGACCCATCCCCAGACAGTGGCGACCAGCAGTGGTCAGGCTGGGGCAGGGCAGGGGTGGGGCAGTGGCGTGGGATGTTCAGAGGGGACACCTGCCCCAGCCTGCAGGATGAGAGAATGTGCTTCTCTGAGAGAATGTAGCTGGAGGAGAGATGGGGGTCTGCAGCAGATCCCTGAGAAGCCTCGAAATTTAAAACAGGAAGGGAGGCTGGAAAGATGGAGCAGTAGCTGGAGGCGGAGGAGGGTGAGAGCCAGAAAAGCTGGATTGCAAGAAGAGAGGAGCACTGATGATCAGTGTCAGCTCATTTACCCGTGGATTACATGTAGGCCTTACTGTAATCACACCAGAAAACATACTCAGGCTGGGCTCACGCCTGTAATCCCAGCACTTTGGGAGGCAGAGGCAGGTGGATCATCTGAGGTCAGGAGTTGGAGACCAGCCTGGCCAACATGGTAAAACCTCATCTCTACTAAAAATACAAAAATTAGCCAGGCGTGGTGGTGCACACCTGTATTCCTAGCTACTCAGGAGGCTGAGGCAGGAGAATTGCTTGAACCTGGGAGGCAGAGGTTGCAGTGAGCCAAGATTGCGCCGCTGCACTCTGGCCTGGGCGACAGAGTGAGACTGTCTCAAAAAAACCAAAAAACAAAAAAAACCCTGAAAACATGCTTGGAGTATAGCAATGAACAAGAGATTGAGCTGAAAAAATGAGTAAAAAGCTATTAGCTGGGTGTGGTGGCGCGCCTGTAATCCCAGCTACTCGGGAGACTGAGGCAGGAGAATCGCTTGAACCCAAGAGGCAGAGATTGCAGTGAGCCGAGATCGAGCCACTGCTCTCCAGCCTGGGCGTCAGAGCCAGACTCAAAAAAAAAAAAAAAAAAAAATGCCGAAGACTGATGCTGGCACTCATAGCTGTCAGCAGGTGGCGACACAGGCACACCCCAGACCTAGAGCTGCTGTTTTTTTGTGTTTTTTGAGACAGGGTCTCCCGGGCTGGAGTGCAGTGATGGGAACGTGGCTCACAGCAGCTTTGACCTCCCAGGCTCAGGTCATCTCCCCACCTCAGCCTCCCGAGTAGCTGGGACCACAGGTACACGCCACCATACCCAGCTAAGTTTTGTACTTTTGTATAGATGGGGTTTCACCATGTTGCCCAAGCTGGCCTGAAACTCCTGGGCTCAAGTGATCCTCTCGCCCGGCCTCCTGGAGTGCTGGGATTTTTTTTTTTTTTTTTTTTGTAATGAACCTGACATTGAGAACATATAGAACTGAACTGGATTTTCAGGTTTTGGCCAAAGACATTGTACTTTGCAACCCAGTATGCATATATATCTGTCTTTGTCTACTTAACACGCGCATAAAATGAGAATCCATGTCCCTGATCCTGGCATGTTTGTTCACGGTGTGTGTCTGTGTTACTATTGCTAACTGTGTATATCGCATTTCAGTGAGGGCAGGACAAGGACCCAGGATCGTCTTGGTGGCAGTGGTAACCCTCCTCCCCACACTGCCTATCACAGGCCTGGCATAGAGTAGCTGCTCAGGAAGTATTTGTTAAATAATTGAGTTAATTAATTCCAGGCTAAGGGATGTGACTGTCTCCAGAGGTAGCAGGAAGTCACAGAAGGGAGTGGCAAGGTTGCATGGACACTATTGAACACGTCAGGCTCCCGCCCAGCCCCGGGCTTTTGCTATCTGCTTAGAACATTCCTGCCTATCCTCCAGCTCTCAGCTCCGATACCCCCTCCTCCAGGAAGCCCTCCTGACTCTCCAGGATCAGAGGGGGTTAGGCACCCTCTTTGGGCTCTCACAGCCCATCCTGTCCATTCTGGGGATGCCTGCCCCCGCTGCACTGTGAGCAGGGTTAGGGCTGTCTCGGTCACTGCTGTGACCCCAGCACAGGGCCAGGCACAGAGCTGGGCCTCGGGACCACGTATGGAGTGAAGGAGTGAATGTTTTGGCCCCACTCTGTCTGGCACGTTAGGTCCTGGCAATCTCCGTTGCTGACAGCCTCTCTGTTCTGCAGTTCCGGAACTTTAAGATCATTTACCGCCGCTATGCTGGCCTCTACTTCTGCATCTGTGTGGATGTCAATGACAACAACCTGGCTTACCTGGAGGCCATTCACAACTTCGTGGAGGTACGGCGGGAGAGGGATGTAAGGTGGGGAGGCGGGTGGGCAGCCCTGGAGTGGCCCCCAAGGCCTGGGAACCCTCCCTGGTCCCTCCTGAGCCCTCCCTCTGCAGTGACTGGGACTCTCCCTCTCCATTTCTTTTTTTTCTTTTTCTTTTTTTTTTTTTTTTTTTTTTTTTTTTTTTGAGACGGAGTCTTGTTCTGTCGCCCAGGCTGGAGTGCAGTGGTGCAATCTTGGCTCATTGCAGCCTCCACCTCCCAGGTTCAAGTGATTCTCCTGCCTCAGCCTCTTGAGTAGCTGGGATTACAGGCACACGCCACGATGCCCAGCTAATTTTTGTATTTTTAGTAGAGATGGGGTTTCACCATGTTGGCCAGGCTGGTCTTGCACTCCTAACTTCAAGTCATCCTTCTGCCTTAGCCTCCCAAAGTGCTGGGATTACAGGTGTGAGCCACCGCGCCTGACCTTTTGCCATCTCTTTGCATCGATCTTTGCTTTTGTTTCTCTCTGTGTGTCTCCTTGCCTCTCTCCCTGTCACTGTCTCTCTCTCTCCCCTGCCTCCCCCTTGGTCTCTTTTTTTGCTGTCTCTTTCTGATGACCTTGTTCCCATCTCTGTGCGTGTGTGGCTCTCTCCCTGCCCATCTCTTACCATCTCTGCCTTCCTCTCCCAGGTCTTAAACGAATATTTCCACAATGTCTGTGAACTGGACCTGGTGTTCAACTTCTACAAGGTAGGCTCCTGGTGAAGAGGAGGCTGAAGGAGCCAGAGGAGGGGGACGGGGGGGACCCGTGGTGCACTAGCCACCCGGAGCCTCTGCTGAGGTCTGTGTCCCAGCTCGAGGGGCATCAGAGCCCCAGCTTCCAGGGTCCGGGCCAGCATCCTGGGGGGCCTCGTCTCACCCCAGGGTCTCCCCTCACACAGGTTTACACGGTCGTGGACGAGATGTTCCTGGCTGGCGAAATCCGAGAGACCAGCCAGACGAAGGTGCTGAAACAGCTGCTGATGCTACAGTCCCTGGAGTGAGGGCAGGCGAGCCCCACCCCGGCCCCGGCCCCTCCTGGACTCGCCTGCTCGCTTCCCCTTCCCAGGCCCGTGGCCAACCCAGCAGTCCTTCCCTCAGCTGCCTAGGAGGAAGGGACCCAGCTGGGTCTGGGCCACAAGGGAGGAGACTGCACCCCACTGCCTCTGGGCCCTGGCTGTGGGCAGAGGCCACCGTGTGTGTCCCGAGTAACCGTGCCGTTGTCGTGTGATGCCATAAGCGTCTGTGCGTGGAGTCCCCAATAAACCTGTGGTCCTGCCTGGCCTTGCCGTCTTTGAGCCCTTGCCTGTCTCCCCTGGGAACCAGATACCTAGGATGCCTTGCCTTCAGTCCATCAGTCAGTCAGTCAACAAACGCCCCTCATTGTGCTGAGCAAGGTGAGACACCCAGGTGCTCTTCAGACCTGCTCCTGCTCACCAAGGGCCCCCAGGCTGGAAGGGGTGATGGGTTTAGATTCCAGGCACTTGCTACTAAAATAACAATACTCAGCTAATGCTGAAGGGCACTCACCCTCTCCCAGGCATTGTTCTAAGCAATTGACATGTCTTACCTTACTTAAAGCTCACTAGATTATAAGTCTGGGACTATTTTTTTTTTTTTTGAGACATGGTCTCACTCTATTGCCCAGGCTGGAGTGCAGTGGCAGGATCATGGCTCACTGCCGCCTTGACCTCCTGGGCTCAGTTGATCCTCCCACCTCAGCCTCCCAAGTAGCTGGGACTACAGATGTGTGCCACCATACCTGGTTAATTTTTTTTTTTTTTTTTGAGATGGAGTTTCGCTCTTTTTGCCCAGGCTGGAGTGCAATAGCGCTAGCTCGGCTCACTGCAACCTCTGCCTCCCAGTTTCAAGTGATTCTCCTGCCTCAGCCTCCAAAGTAGCTGAGATTACAGGTGCGTGCCACCATGCCCAGCTAAGTTTTTTTTTTTTGAGATGGAGTCTTGCTCTGTTGCCCAGGCTGGAGTGATCTCCTGGCTCAAGTGATCTTCCTGCCTTGGCCTCCCAGAGTTCTGGGATTACAGGCGTGAGCCACTCTATCCGGCCAAGGACAGGACTGTTATTATCCCCATTTTCCAAGTGAGAACATTGTTCCAGGAATGTTTCAGGAACATTAAAAGACTTGACCAGGCTGGGCGCAGCGGCTCACGCCTGTAATCCCAGCACTTTGGGAGGCTGAGGCGGGTCAAGAGATTGAGACCATCCTGGCCAACATGGTGAAACCCTGTCTCTACTAAAAATATAAAAATTAGCTGGGCATGGTGGCATGCACCTGTAATCCCAGCTACTCAGGAGGCTGAGGCAGGAGAATTGCTTGAACCCGGGAGGCAGAGGTTGCAGTGAGCCGAGATTGTGCCACTGCATTCCAGCCTGGGCAACAGAGCGAGACTCCATCTAAAAAAAAAAGACGACTTGACCAAGGTCTGTAGCTAGTCAGTAGCCAAGCCAGGTTTGTTTTGAGCCAGTTTTGAAGCCAGGTGGGTAGCTCCAGAACCCTCATTTTTATCTGCTCGCCCCGGTGGTTGTTGGAAATGTAGGCACTGGGCTTGATGATTTGTGTTTCTTGGCAACAGCACTGCTGGCATTTGGGCCAGGACAATCCCTCATTGTGAGGCTGCTCCAGAAGTGGATGGACTTTTGACTTCCACCCACCAAGTGCCAGAAGTGGCCTTCTGGCCATTGTGATGATAGAAGCCACCCCTGAGTGTTTCTAGGGCCCTCTGAAGTTAAGGGGCCCCCGATGCCCACTGAGAGCAGAGTGTGGGGGCTGCTGGCCACACCTATGCCTGGCATCCTTCGCAAGCTGAGAACACCCTGGCCCCTGTCAGTTTCTTTCCTTCCTTCCTTCCTTTCTTTTTGACAGGGTCTTATTCTGTCACTCCCCAGGCTGGAGTGCAATGGCACAATCTTGGCTCACTGCCACCTCTACCTCCCAGGCTCAAGTGATTCTCCTGCCTCAGCCTCCCGAGTAACTGGGACTACAGGCGCCTGCCACCATGCCCGGCTAATTTTTGTATTTTTAGTAGAGACGGGGTTTCACCATGTTGGCCAGGCTGGTCTCGAACTCCTGAGCTCAAATGGTCCGCCCGCCTCAGCCTCCAAATTGCTGGGATTGCAAGCCTGAACCATGGTGCTCAGCCTCTTTTTATAAATATAAACTAGCATGTTAGTTTTTTATTGCTGCTGTAACAAATTATCACAAACTTAGCGGCTTAAAACAACACAATTTTATTCTCAATGAAATCTGAAATGGGTTTCAGTGGGCTAAAATCAAGTTGTCAGCAGAGCTGTCTGGACCATCTAGGAGAGAATCCTTCCCTGCCTTTTCCAGCCTCTAGAAGTTGCCTCCTGTTCTTGGCATGTAACCCTATCCTTCATCCTTCAAGCCAGCTGCGGAGCATCTTCCAGTCTCTCTCTCTCTGGCTCTGACTGATTTTCCTGCCGCTTGCTTTTACTGATAAGGACACCTGTGGTTACATTCGTCCCACCTGGATAATCTAGGATCATCTCCCCATATCAAGACCCGGACTGTAATCACAACTGTAAAGTCCCTTTTACTGTGTAAGACAACACATCTACAGGTTCCGGAGATGAGGATGTGGACATTTAGGGCGTGCTATTATTCTGCCTGCCACTTATATGGTGTCTATGTAAGAACTGGGGGCTGGGCGCAGTGGCTCACATCTATAATCCCAGCATTTTAGGAGGCCAAGGTGGCAGATCACTTGAGATCAGGAGTTCAAGACCAGCCTAGCCAACGTGACAAAACCCCATCTCTACTAAAAGTACAAAAATTAGCCAAGTGTGGTGTTGGGCACCGATAATCCCAGCTACTCAGGAGGCTGAGGCATGAGAATCACTTGAACCCAGGAGGCTGGGTTGCAGTGAGCCGAGATAGTGCCACTGTACTCCAGTCTGGGCGACAGAGTGAGACTCTTTTTGTCCCAAAAAAAAAAAAAAAAAGAAAAGAAAAGAATTTGGGCCGAGCATGATGGTTCACACCTGTAATCCCAACACTTTGGGAGAACGAGGTGGACGGATCACTTGAGCCCAGGTGTTCAAGACCAGTCTGTCCAACATGGTGAAACCTGTCTCAAAAGAAGAAAGGAAAGGAAAGGAGAGGGGAGGGGAGGGGAGGGGAGATTGGTTTTGTTAAGGTCAAAATCACACTCTGCTAGCCGAGTTAACCAGAGAGAGGATTCTAGCCGATGGAACAGCAAGTGCAAAGGCCCTGAGGCAGAACTTGCAAGAAGGCCAGTGTGGCTGGAACAGAGTAAGCAGAAGGGGGTTCGAGATGGTTCAGAGTGGGACTGGGGATGGGAGGGGAAGTCCGATCACACAGGGCCTGCTCGGGTTTATTCTGTGTCTGATGCCCGCTATGGGAAGGATGTTTCATTTTGGAGAACCTGGGGGATGGTGGTAACAGCTTTTTTGGGATACATACAATTCACCCATTTATGGTATTACAATTCAGTGGTTTTTGTTATATTCACAGAGTTGGGTAACTATCATCACAACCCATTTTAGAATATTTTTATCACCCCAAAAAGAAACCTTATCCTTCAGCCATCACCCCTCAATTCCCCTAGCACCTGGCAACCACTACTCCACTTTGTGTCTTATTGGATTTGCCTGGGCAGTTCATATAAATAGGATCATTTAATATGTGGGGCATGGGACAGTTTTGTGCCAAATCTGATGTAAGAGGTCAAGAATTGGGAGCAGAGCTTGGGTGCAGTGGCTCGTGCCTGTAATCCCAGCACTTTTGGAGGCCGAGGCAGGCGGATCACCTGAGGTCAGGAGTTTGGCCAACGTGGTGAAACCCCGTCTCTACTAAAAATACAAAAGTATCCGGGCGTGGTGGCGCATGCCTGTAATCCCAGCTACTTGGGAGGCTGAGGCAGCAGAATTGCTGGAACCTGGAGGGTGGAGGTTGCAGTGAGCTGAGATCACGCCATTGCACTCCAGCCTGGGTAACAAGAGTGAAACTTCGTCAAAAAAAAAGAAAAAAAAAATGTGCCTAACTAGCTACTGTAACACTTGACATGGATGAAGCTGGAAAACATTAAGCTAAGTGAAAGAAGCCAGACACAAAAGGCCGGATATTGAATGATCCATTATAGGAAACATGCAGAAAAGGCAAGTGCAGAGAGACAGAAAATGATGACGGGTTGTCAGAACCCAGGGGAAATGGGAGGGAGATGATAGCTAAAGGGTACTGGGGTTCTTTCTTGTTTTGTTTTGTTTTTAGAAGACAGGGTCTCACTCTGTCTGCCAGACAGTGGTGTGATCATAGCTCATTGCAGCCTCGACTTCTTGGGCTCCAGTGATCCTCCTCCCTCAGCCTCCCGAGTATCTTGTACTACAGGTGTGCATCACCACACCTGGCCAATTTTTTTAAAAACTTTAATTTTAATTTTTTTTTTTTTTGAGACAGAATCTTGCTCTGTCGCCCAGGCTGGAGTGCAGTGGCACAATCTCGGCTCACTGCAAGCTCTGCCTCCCGGGTTCACGCCATTCTTCTGCCTCAGCCTCCCGAGTAGCTGGGACTACAGGTGCCCACCACGCCTGGCTAATCTTTTGTATTTTTTAGTAGAGACGGGGTTTCACCACGTTAGCCAGGATGGTCTCGATCTCCTGACCTCGTGATCTGCCCGCCTCGGCCTCCCAAAGTGCTGAGATTACAGGCGTGAACCACTGTGCCTGTTTTAAACCTGGCCAATTTTAAAATTATTTTTCTTCGAGACAGGGTCTCGCTATGTTGCTCAGGCTGGTCTCAAACTCCTGGCCTTGAGCAATCCTCCTGCTTCAGCCTCCTTTTTACTTGTTTTTCTTTCTTTTTTTTTTCTCTCTTTCTTGATTTCTTATTTCAATAACTTTGGTATGCCCTGGCCTTCTGAGGGGCGGGGATTACAGGCGCAAGCCACTGAACCTGGCTTGGGTTTCTTTTCTTTCTTTACTTTTTCTTTTCTTTTCTTTTCTCTTCTCTTCTCTTCTCTTCTCTTTTCCTTTTCTTTTCTGTCTTTCTTAACTTCTTTTCTTTTCTTTTTTTTTGTGAGGGAATTTCGCTCTGTTGCCCAGGCTAAAATGCAATGGCATGATCGCAATGATCTCAGCTCACTGCAACATCCACCTCCCGGGTTCAAGCGATTCTCCTGCCTCAGCCTCCCAAGTAGCTGGGACTTCAGGCACATGCCACCATGCCTGGCTAATTTTTTTGTGTGTTTTTTTTAGTAGAGACAGGGTTTCACCATGTTGGCCAGGCTGGTCTCGAACTCCTGACCTCACGTGATCCACTCGCCTTGGCCTCCCAAAGTGCTGGGATTACAGGTGTGAGTCACTGCGGCCGGCCGTATACTTTTTTTTTTTTAGTGGAGTCTCCCTCTGTCGCTAGGCTGGAGTGCAGTGACACAGTCTCGGCTCACTGCAACCTCCACCTCCCGGGTTCAAGGGATTCTCCTGCCTCAGCCTCCCAAGTAGCTGGGACTACAGGCGCACGCCACCACGCCCAGCTAATTTTTGTATTTTTAGTAGAGACAGGGTTTCCCCATGTTGGCCAGGATGGTCTCAATCTCCTGACCTCGTGATCCACCCCCCTCCTGCTCCCAAAGTGCTGGGATTACAGGCGTGAGCCACCGCGCTTGGCCGAAGTATACATTTTAAATAAGTGAATTGAATGGTATGTAAATATATGTCAACAAAGATGTTACAAAACACCTGAATGAATGACATTTACCTTGTAGTTGTAAACAGAAAAACAACGAAAATGCACAAGAATTTTTTTTTTTGAGAGAGAGAGTCTTGCTCTGTCTCCCAGGCTGGAGTGCAGTGATGCGATCTCGGCTCACTACAAGCTCCGCCTCCCAGGTTCATGCCATTCTCCTGCCTCAGCCTCCCAAGTAGCTGGGACTATAGGTGCCTGCCACCACGCCCGGCTAATTTTCGTATTTTGTTTAGTAGAGACAAGTTTCACCGTGTTAGCCAGGATGGTCTTGATCTCCTGACCTCATGATCCGCCCACCTCGGCCTCCCAAAGTGCTGGGATTACAGGCGTGAGCCACCATGCCTGGCCACACGAATGTTTATAGTGGTTTTATTCACCAAAAACTGGAAACAACCTAAATATTCTTCAAAAATGAATAGAAAAACAAACTCTGGCCCCTCCAGGCAATGGAGCACTCCTCAACATTGAAAAGGAATGAACCCGGCCAGGCGCAGTGGCTCGTACCTATAATCCCAGCACTTCGGGAGGCCAGGGCAGGAGGATTGCTTGAGGCCAGGAGTTCGTGTCCAGCCTGAGCAACATAGTGAGACCCCCATCTCCACCAAAAAAAAAAAAAAGAAAAATATCCTGGACATGGTAGGTATCACACCTGCGATCCCAGCTACTTGGGAGGCTGAGATGGGAGGATTGCTTGAGCCCAAGGTATTGAGGCTGCAGAGAGCCAAGATCTAGCTACTGCACTCCAGCCTGGTCAACAGAACAAACCCTATCTCAAAATAAAGAAATAAGGCCAGGCACAGTGGCTTACATCTGTAATCCCCGCACTTTGGGAGGCCGAGGTGGGTGGACCAGCCTGGCCAACATGGTGAAACCACATCTCTACTAAATACAAAAAATTAGCCGATGTGGTAGCGCATCCCTGTAATCCCAGCTACTTGGGAGGCTGAGGCAGGAGAATCGCTTGAACCCGGGAGGCGGAGGTTGCAGTGAGCCAAGATTGTGCTATTGCACTCCAGCCTAGGCAACAGAGCGAAGCTCCATATTGGAAACAAATTAATAAATAAAACACATAAATACATAAATAAATTTCATGCACGTACTTGTGAGGATATAACTGGTTTTTTCGATGTCTTAGGATCACACCGTATGTGGTTCTGCAGCTTGCTATCAGTGCATCTTGGAGGTGATTCTGTGTATAGTCTGTGTGGAATCCCGTTATGTGGGTGCATCCTATGTTACTTAACCAGGCCTGCGTGGCTCCTCCTAATGAAGATGAAAGAATGTCTTTGCCCACGTGCATTTTCACATACATGTGGAGGGTAAGTACCTGGAAATGAATCTCTGGGCTGAAGGGTACATGTATCTGTAACAGGTCATTTGATAGGTTCACCCCAATTGCTCTCCAAACGGGCTGTGCTGATTTTTACTCTCTGGTAGCATAGGAGGAGACCCCCTGTTTCCATGTAGCTTTGCTACTGTGCGATCTCACTATGTTTATTTTATTGTGCCTGGTTACCAATGAGGTCGAACATTACTAGTCATTCATATTCCTCTTCTGTGTTGGTACAAACCTTTTGACCATTTTCCTCCTGTGCTGTTTGTCATTTTCTTGTTTATTTGTAGTAGCTCTTTATTTATTGTGGATCCACAGTCTGTCATACATGTCACAAACATTCCCCCCAGGCTGCTTTTGTCTTTTGACTTTGTATGTGGTATCTTTTTTCAGGAAGAAGGGTTTAGTGTTTTGCTTTCTGTTAGTCTTTCTTCATTGTATATTATGGCCTTTGGGAAGGTTTATCCAGGACAAAATGTTTATAAAAATAGAGCAGGCAGTTTATAAAAGAAATGGATGAAGGGAGAGACTAACGTCAGAGCTTCCCTCTTCCCCACTACATCCTGTAGAACGGGGCTTTAAGGAGCTATTTCTGCTGTTCTTCTCCCTCCCATATTAAATAAAATGATGTATATTAAATAAAAACAGATGTTTTGTAGATAAGAAAACAGGTGGAGCCATTGTGGCTCCAGCCGGTTGCGCGGGCCCTCGGACCCTCAGGGAGGCGAGGGTTCGAGGGCACGAGTTCGAGGCCAACCTGGTCCACATGGGTTGAAAAAAAAAAAAAAATTAAAAAAAAAAAAAAAGGCCGGGCGCGGTGGCTCACGCCTGTAATCCCAGCACTTTGGGAGGCTGAGGCGGGCGGATCACGAGGTCAGGAGATCGAGACCATCCTGGCTAACACGGTGAAACCCCGTCTCTACTAAAAATACAAAAAAAATTAGCCGGGCGTAGTGGCGGGCGCCTGTAGTCCCAGCAACTCGGGAGGCTGAGGCAGGAGAATGGCGTGAACCCGGGAGGCGGAGCTTGCAGTGAGCCAAGACAGCGCCACTGCAGTCCAGCCTGGGCGAAAGAGCGAGACTCCGTCTCAAAAAAAAAAAAAAAGAAAAAGAAAACAGGTCTGTGTGTGTGTAAGTGTGTGTGTGTGTGTGTGTGTGTGTGTGTGTGTGTGTGTGTGTGTTGGGGCTGTGTGGACGACAGGGAGGTAGGGAGAGGTAAAAATGAAAGCCATCTGCCAAGGAACCTCATCTCCGCAGCCTCTGACTCAGTAACTTTCCACTCAGTAACTGAAGGAAACTGCTGGAAATGGGGAGGAAGCTGTTAATGCCTGGAGCTGGCCACCAGGGCATCGGGCAGATTCCTGGATACCCGGGGGTGAGGGTGTTTACAGCTACTCAAGGACAAACTCGGTGGCCTGGACACTCAGTGCCTTCAGGAAGTCCTTGGTATTTAATTGCCTGGGAAAATGCATCTGTTCCCATGTGCGAAATGGGGAATCCACAGCAAAGGTGTTTGTGTGCCTCACTGCACGGAAACTGCATTTCGCGTCTGAATTTTATGTCAAGAGAAAAGCTTAAAAGTACAGAACTCAGCCAGGCGCGGTGGCTCACACCTGTAATCCCAGCACTTTGGGAGGCCGAGGCAGGCGGATCACTAGGTCAGGAGTTCGGGACCAGCCTGGACAATATGGTGAAACCGCATCTCTACTAAAAATACAAAAAAAATTAGCCGGGCGTGGTGGCACGTGCCTGTAGTCCCAGGTACTCAGGAGGCTGAAGCAGGAGAATCGTTTGAACCCGGGAGGTGGAGGTTGCAGTGAGCTGAGATCGTGCCACTGCACTCCAGCCTGGGTGACAGAGCGAGACTCCATCTCAAAAAAAAAAAAAAAAAAAAAAGAAGAAAGAAAAAAATGCAGCACTGACGCATGCTACAACATGAGTGAACCTCGAAGATGTGATGCTGAGTGAAAGAAGCCAGACACAAGAGGCCACCTAGCACAGAATTCCATTCACATGAAATGTACAGCACAGAGACAGATGGTAGATTAGTGGTTGCCCGAGGCTGGGGGAAGAGGAGAGCAGGGAGTGTTTACTTAATGTTTGTGGAGTTTCATTTTTGGGTGATAAAAATGCTCTGGGCTGGGCATAGTGGCTCACGTCTAATCCCAGATTTGGGAGGCTGAGGCAGGAGGATCATTTGAGCCGAGGAGTTTGAGACCAGCGTGAGTAAAATAGCAAGGCCCTGTCTCTATGAAAAAAATAAATAAATAAATAAATAAAAATTAAATTCAACTAGCCAAGCATGGTGGCTCCTGCCTGTAATCCCAGCTACTTGGGAGGCTGAGGTGGGAGGATCATTTGAGCCCAAGAGTTGGACGCGAGGCTGCAGTGAGCTGTGATCACACCACTGCACTCTAGCCTGGGAGACAGAGCGAGACCCTATCTCAAAAAAAAAAAAAAAAAAAGAAAAAAGGATCGGGTGAGTGGAGGGAACTTTGAGGACAGGCCAACAGGTGCAGCAAACCACCATGGCACACATATACCTACGTGACAAACCTGCACGTTCTGTACATGTATCCTGTTTTTTTTTTAGAAGAAATAAAGAAAAAAAAAGAATTGTACATGTTGCTAACACATAAAATTGATGTATCTTCTGTGCTCAATGACTCAGTCTAGTGGCGGAAAAAATGACCCACATTCACGGTGTGACGTATTCTACAGTAGAAACTTATAGCTAGTGTCATTAGTCATCAATAATTTATCTATGCTAATTTTATGCTTTTTATAAATCTGAACTGTCAACTGTGTGTATGATTTCTTCCTCTTATCATAGATTTCATATTAAATAAAATGTAATACATCAGTATTTAATCTCCTAAATTTGATAACTATGCTATACATATATATATATACATATCTATATGTGTGTATATATATAAAAGTATCTTTGTTGATGGCATTAGAGGACACTGAAGAACAACATCCAAAAGATTATTATTTCTTTTTTTGAGACAGAGCCTTGCTCTGTGGCCAGGCTGGAGTGCAGTAGCGTGATCTCGGCTCACTGCAACCTCTGCCTCCTCAGTGCAAGCGATTCTCCTGCCTCAGCCTCACAAGTAGCTGGGACCACAGGCATGTGCCACCACACCCAGTTAATTTTTTTTGTACTTTTAGCAGAGACAGGGTTTCACCATGTTGGCCAGGATGGTCTCGAACTCCTGAGCTCAAGTGGTCTGCCCGCCTCAGCCTCCCAAAGTGCTGGGATTACAGGTGCAAGCCCCTGCGCCTGGCCTTCTTCCTCTTCTTCTTCTTTTTTTTTTTTGAGATGGAGTTTTGTTTTTGTTACCCAGGCTGGAGTGCAATGGCACGATCTCGGCTCACTGCAACCTCCGCCTCCCGGGTTCAAGCGATTCTTCTGCCTCAGCCTCCCAAGTAGCTGGGATTACAGGCATGGGCCACCACGCCCGGCTAATTGTGTTTCTTTGTTTGTGACAGAGTCTTGCTGTGTCGCCCAGGCTGGAGTGCAATGGCGTGATCTCGGCTCACTGCAACCTCTCCCTCCCGGGTTCAATCGACTCTTCTGCCTCAGCCTCCCAAGTAGCTGGGATTACAGGCATGCGCCACCACGCCTGGCTAATTGTCTGTTTCTTTGTTTGTGACAGAGTCTTGCTGTGTCGCCCAGGCTAGAGTGCAATGGCGTGATCTCGGCTCACTGCAACCTCTGCCTCCCAGGTTCAAGCAACCCTCCTGCCTCAGCCTCCCGAGTAGCTGGGACTACAAGCGCCTGCCACCACGCTTGGCTAATTTTTGTATTATTAGTAGGGACAGGGTTTCGCCATATTGGCCAGATTGGCCTCAAACTCCTGACCTCAGGTGATCCACGTGGCTCGGCCTCCCAAAGTGCTGAGATGACAGACGTGGGCCGCTGCACCCAGCAGTGATGGTTTATTGTATGTGTCAACTTGATTGGGTTAAGGGGTGCCCACATAGCTGGTAAAACATTATTTCTGTTTGTGTCTGCACAGGTGTTTCAGGAAGAGATACAAAATACAAAAGTTAGCCAGATGTGGTGGTGGGCACCTGTAGTCCCACCTACTTGGGAGGCTGAGGCAGGAGAATGGTGTGAACCCATAGGTGGAGGTTGCAGTGAGCCGAGATCGTGCCACTGCACTCCAGCCTGGGCGACACAGCAAGACTCTGTCAAAAACAAAAACAAAAAAACAAAAAAACAAATACAAACAAACAAACAAAACCCCATCACAGTAATGATGGAAGTAGTTTTGGAGGTGGCAAAAGCTGTAGTAATCTTGGCCATAACAGCAATCAGTCTTCGAATTTTGGATCCATGAAGGGAGGAGGATTTGGAGGCAGAAGCCCTGGCCCCTATGGTGATGGAGGCCAATATTTTGCCAAAACATGAAACCAAGATGGCTATGGCAGTTCCAGCAGCCCTGGTGGCCAGGGCGGTGGCAGAAAGCTTTAGTTACTTTGGGGAAATGAAGCTTAGCCAGCAGACAGAGCCAGGGAAATGACAGGGAAGCTCAGGTTACAAACAGACTTGTGAACTCAGCCAGGCACAGGGGTGGCAGGGCCTGTCTGTTATGAAGAAGGTGTGTTTTTTGTGTTTGTTTGCTTTTTTTGAGACGGAGTCTCGCTCTGTCGCCCAGGCTGGAGTGCAGTGGCGCGATCTCGGCTCACTGCAAGCTCCACCTCCCGGGTTCACGCCATTCTCCTGCCTCAGCCTCCTGAGTAGCTGAGATTTACAGGTGCCAGCCACCACGCCCGGCTAATTTTTTTTAATATTTTTTAGTAGAGACGGGGTTTCACCGTGTTAGCCAGGATGGTCTTGATCTCCCAACCTTGTGATCCGCCTGCCTCGGCCTCCCAAAGTGCTGGGATTACAGGCATGCGCCACCGCGCCCGGCCGTGTTTGATTTGAGACAGGCTCTCACTCTGTTGACAAGGCTGGAGTGCAGTGGCATGATCACAGCTCACTGCAGTCTCAACCCCTGGGCTCAAGCAATCCTCTCACCCCAGCTTCCCGAGTAGCTGGGACCACAGGTGCGTGCCGCCATGCCTGCCTATTTTTTTTTTTTTTTTTTGAGACACAGTCTCCCTCCATCGCCCAGGCTGGAGCTCACTGCAAGCTCTGCCTCCTTAGTTCATGGGAGTCTCCTGCCTCAGCCTCCCGAGTACCTGGGATTACAGGCGTGAACCACCACATCCGGCTATTTTTAAAATATTTTTAGTCGAGATGGGGTTTCACTATGTTGGTCAGGCTGGTCTTGAACTCCTGACTTCAAATCATCCACCCACCTCAGCCTCCCAAGGTGCTGGGATTACAGGCGTGAGCCACCACCCTCGGCTCCTGATTTTTTAATATTTTTTAAAGACGAAGTTCCACTATGTTGCCTAGGCTGATCTCAAACTCCCTGGCTTAAGCAATCCTCCCGCCTTAGCCTTCCAAAGTGCTGGGATTGCAGGCATGAGCCACCATACCCAGTGGAAGATGTATTGGAGACAATACTCATGTATATGGACAAAAAACAAAAACAAAAAACTCCAGGACTGTATTTGTGACTAATCGTATAACAGGTTATTTCAGTTTCTCTTCTGTGGAAAGTGCAAAGCATTCCAACAAAGGGTTTTAATGTAGATTTTTGTTTTGCACCCATGCTGTTGATGGCTAAATATAAGTGTCTGATGATAATGTTGAATAAAAAAAAAAAAAACAAAAAAAAAACCTTAGAGGAAGTTTTGCTATAAAGGGAGAAGAGAAATAGTCGCTAGAGGGGGGAATGAGATTGGAGGGTGTTTGGTGGAGTGGATGATATCACAGCAGGTTTTTGTTTTGTTTTGTTTTGTTTTGTTTTGAGACAGATGCCCAGGCTGGAGTGCAGTTGTGCGATCTCGGCTCACCGCAACCTTTGCCTCCTGGGCTCCAGCGATTCTCCTGCCTCAGCCTCCCAACTAGCTGGGACCACAGGCGCCCGCCACCATACCCCGCTAATTTTTTGTATTTTTAGTGGAGACTGGGTTTCGCCATGTTCGTCAGGCTGGTCTCAAACTCCTGACCTCAAGTGATCCGCCCGCCTCAGCCTCCCAAAGTGCTGTGATTACAAGTGTGAGCCACCGCGCTCAGCTCAAATCATCAGTTTTATGCTGATGGGGATGATGCAACAGACAAGGGGAAACCGGAAGATGCAGGAAAGAGATGGGAGAGGGATGGAAGGCGCAGCTGGGATTATCCAAGCACACGAGAGGCATCTGGGAGGAAGGGGTGCGTGGGCGCCAAGGCAGGTGGTGGTGGTGTTGGTGTGGGGAGTTCCCAAAAGTCCCTACTCCAATGACTTCCTTCTTCTCAGTGAAATGGGAAGCAAGAGTAAGTCTCAGTCAGCTGAGAGTGACAGCCACTCAAGTTGGTGCCCTTAAGACCACGCGGGTGGTGGAGCCTGTGGAGTGGAGATCACCTGTCTTTTATTTTCTTTTAAGACATGGGGGCCAGACGTGGTAGCTCATGCCTGTAATCCAAGCACTTTGGGGGGCCGAGGCAGGCGGATCATCTGAGGTCAGCCTGGCCAGCATGGTGAAACCCCATCTCTACTAAAAATAAAAAAGTTAGCCGGGCATGGTGGTGCACGCCTGTAATCTCAGCTACTTGGGAGGCTGAAGCAGAGGCCGCAGTGAGCTGAGATCGTGCCACTGCACTCCAGCCTGCGTGACAAGAGCGAGACTCCATCTCAAAAAAAAAACAAACCAAAAAACTTAAAAATACTCTGGGGTGGCAAACGAAATGTGGTGGCTGGATGGAGCCCTCAGGCCATGTGTTTGCAACCCTGGTGCAACTGCACTAAAGCACAGGCCAGAGTCAGTTCTGGGCTTTTGAGGGGCTCCAGGGTTTAGAGAACAGAAAGTCGAAGAGGAACCTGAGAAAGCCACCAAACAAGGAAGCTTCTTGTTTTTGTTTTTGTTTCTTTTTGAGACAGACTCTCACTCTGTCTCCCAGGCTGGAGTGCAATGGCGCGATCTCGGCTCAATGCAACCTCCACCTCCCAGGTTCAAGCAATTCTCCTGCCTCAGCCTCCCAAGTAGCTGGGATTACAGGTGCCCACCACCATGCCTGGCCAATTTTTGTATTTTTAGAGACGGTGTTTCTTTTTCTTTCTTTTTTCTTTTTTTTTTGAGACAGAGTCTTTCTCTGTCGCCAGGCTGGAGTGCAGTGACGCCATCTTGGCTCACTGCAACCGCTGACTCCCTGGTTCAAGGAATTCTACTAACTCAGCCTCCTGAGTAGCTGGGATTACAGGCACGTGCCACCATGCCCAGCTAATTCTTTGAATTTTTAGTAGAGATGGGGTTTCACCATGTTGGCCAGGATGGTCTCCATCTCCTGACCTCGTGATCCGCCCACCTCGGCCTCCCAAAGTGCTGGGATTACAGGTGTGAGCCACCGTGCCTGGCGGTTTTATTTGTTTTTTGAGACAGGGTCTCACTCTGTTGCCCAGGCTGGACTGCAGTGGCACTATCATGGCTCATTTCAGCCTTGAATTCCCAGGCTTGGGTGATTCTCCCACCTCAGTCTCCTGGGTAGCTGGGATTACAGGTGTATGCCACCAAGTCTGGCTAATTTTTTGTGTTTTTTGTAGAAATGGTGGTTTCAAGGCCGGGCGCGGTGGCTCACGCCTGTAATCCCAGTACACTGGGAGGCCGAGGTGGGCAGATCATGAGGTCAGGAGATCGAGACCATCCTGGCTAACAAGGTGAAACCCCGTCTCTACTAAAAATACAAAAAAAAAAAAAAAATTAGCCAGGCGTGGTGGCGGGCGCCTGTAGTCCCAGCTACTTGGGAGGCTGAGGCAGGAGAATGGTGTGAACCCAGGAGGCAGAGCTTGCAGTGAGCCAAGATCGCGCCACTGCACTCCAGCCTGGGCAACAGAACGAGACACAGTCTCAAAAAAAAAAAAAAAAAAAGAAATGGCGGTTTCATCATGTTGCCCCGGCTGGTCTCAACCTCTTGGGCTCAAGTGATCTGCTCACCTCTGCCTCCGAAAGTGCTGGAATTACAGGTGTAAGCCACCGAGCCCAGCCTCAAGGAAGCTTCTGAACTGTTAGGGGGAGCTCCTGCTCTAGGCCCAGCAGCTTCCAAGGCTTTAAAGGCATAATCCCATTTAATCTTGTAATGACGCTGTGAAGTGGCTCTTGGTATTAGCATTGCAATTCTGAGTATTATCTCCTCTTTGTAGATAAGGAAGATCATTTGCCCAAGGACACACAATGAGCAGATGAGACTGGAACCCAGATTTCTAGAGTGCTAGACTCTGTGTCTTCCCATTCACTTTATTTTTTATTTTATTTTATTTTATTTTTTTGAGACAGAGTCTCACTCTGTTGCCTAGGCTGGAGTGCAGTGGCACGATCTCAGCTCACTGCAACCTCTGCCTCCCAGGTTCAAGTAATTCTCGTGCCTCAGCCTCCCCAGTAGCTGGGATTACAGGCGTGTGCCACTATGCCTGGCTAATTTTTGTATTTTTAGTAAAGATGGGGTTTCACCGTGTTGGTGAGGCTGGTCTCAAACTCCTGACCTCAAGTGATCTGCCCACTTTGGCCTCCCAAAGTGCTGGGATTACAAGCGTGAGCCACCGTGGCCAGCCATAAAATTTTTTTTTTATTATAAAATATCTGGGCTTTTTTTGTTTTTTGTTTTTTAGTTGGGGCCTTGCTCTGTCACTCAGGCTGGAGTGCAGTGGTGCAATCTCAGCTCACTGCAGCCTCCGCCTCCTGGGCTCAAGTGATCCTCCTGTTACGGGATCTTTGGGGTGTTGCTTTTCTGGCCAGAAACCTCTGTGGCTGCAGTGCCTTTGCCCAAGTTCTTGTCCTGTGTCCAGGAAGAATGAGGTACACAGACAAGTGAAGGGTGAAGAAGATGAATAGGAGCTTTATTTAGTCTTAGAACAGCTCAGAGGAGACCGTCAGTGGGCAGCTCCTCTCAGTAGGCAGGTCACCCCATCGAGTGTTCAGCTCTCAGCAGAGATGAGGCCCTGAAGAGGGTGGTTCCTCTCGGCAGGCAGGTCATGTAGGCGTCTCTGCAGGTCTCTGAAGCTCTCAGTAGAGAGGGTAGCTCCTCTGTGCAGGTGGTAATCCCATTGTCTCTCTGTCCTCTGCCCTCTGCCCTGCTCTGGTGGAGCCTGGGGCTTTTATGGACCTCAGAGAGGAGGAAGTACGTGCTGGTTGGTCCATGGGCTGCCATGCGTGGGCCCAGAGGAGGTACAAGTCCCCACTCTTGTCTGTGGGGTTGGCAGCCTGGCCCCCAGCCTTCAGGCCCTCCCTGGCAAGAAGGTGGGGCCTTACTAGGGACCCCCCACCAACTTCTGCCCAGGAATCCGTCTGCCTCCTGCTGCCATTCATGGCCCCAGGACTGGACCCCAACCCCGATCCCAGATCAGAGCTGGCGCTGGGAGAGAAGAGAGGCCAGGCAGCAGGAGAAGACACCCAGCAGTCTGCAGAGATTGGGGGGGCCTTCCCGGCCTCTGAGAGTGCAGGCTGCAGAGAGGCCCAGGTCCTCAGCCTCAGAGGGCGGCCACAGCTGCATCCGGGGAGCTCCTGCCCTGCCAACTCGGAAGGGGTGGGGCTCCCACTTGTCCCCGGCTCTTGCTCACTCTGTGGAGCTGGAGGCCTAGGTTGGCAGCCATGGGGGCAGCTGCAGCTGCACCCGGGAGGGCAGACCCTACCTACTTCTGGCCCCTGCAAGAGCACAGGAAGGCTCAATCCACAGTGGCGGTTTGGGCGGCTGCAGTGGCATCTGGGGAACTCCCACCACAGCTCAGAAGGGGCAGGGCTTCCACCGGCTCCATGGAGTGTGTAGCCCCAGCCGCACCTCCCTGCTGCAGCCGGTGTAATGACAGCAGCCACTGCCATCACTCCTGCCTCAGTCTCACTAGTAGCTGGGACTACAGGCGTGCACCACCACGCTAGGCTGATTTTTAAAATTTTTAGCAGAGACAGGGGTCTCCCTATGTTGCGCAGGCTGGTCTCGAACTACTGAGCTCCAGCTCGGCCTCCTGCCTCAGCCTCCCAAAGTGCTGGGATTACAGGTGTGAGCCACTGCGCCAGGCCTAAAATAATTGTTTTGGTTTTTCTTTTTGTTTGAGACAGTTGTCTTCTGTTCTGCACACGCAGCAGGAAATTGGATCTCTACCTCACAGCATACTCAAAAGAGTTGAAATATAACCTATTTGTAGTTATCAGCGACCTGGGTGAAGACACACCTGGCAGAAGGGTGTGGTAGCCTCATTAAACATGAGTGAGAATGAATTCCAGGTGGAGATGGGAGAGATGATTTATTTGCTAGCTGGGGAAAGAAGAGGCAGGCCCAGCCCAGAGGGAGAATGAGAGGCGGAAGATGACATTCGCTGCATGCCTGACACCTGCCTGAAGTTAACCAGGGTCAGCCCGGCCTTTCCTCCCCCGGGATGTCTCCAACTCGGCTGACAACATCCACTTTAATTAATACAGCACAGCAGGACACTTCCTGTGTACAGCTACACGCTAAGGGCCAGGAGTAGCCTAATGTCCTTGAGCCCCAGAGAAACCATCGTGTGTTCAAGCATGCTGTCTGGAAACTTAGAAAGGGCTCATGACTCCTCTCTGCTTTCACACCCCACATCCCATCCAGGGGAAATCCTGTTGACCTTCAAAATGCACCCGAAGTCGGACCCCCCAAAGGCTGGACGCCGTGGCTCACGCCTGTAATCCCAGTACTTTGGGAGGCCTAGGCAGGCGGATCACCTGAGGTCAGGAGTTCGATATCAGCCTGGCCAACATGGTGAAACCCCGTCTCTACTAAAAAATACAAAATTAGCCAGGTGTGGTGGCACACGCCTGTAATCCCAGCTACTCGGAAGGCTAAGACAGGAGAATCGCTTGAAGCTGGGAGATGGAGGCTGCAGTGAGCCGTGATCGCACCATTGCACTCCAGCCTGGACAAGACACAGCGAGACTCCACCTCAAAACAAAAACAAAAACAAAAACAAAAACAAAAACAAAGTCTGAACCCCCAGAGCTAGTCTAGCCATGATCATTTCTCACCTGGAAAATTGCAGTCACCTCCTCGCTGCTTCTGCCCTTGTCCCCAACAGAAAGGTCCCCATATGGCAGCAGAATCCTTTGACAGAAGTGACATGATGTCATTCTCCTCCTCAAATCCCTTCTGTGGCTCCTGCCACACTCACTAAAAGACAACATCTTCACCATGACTCACCAGCTCCCTGTTCTCTGTCTGACCTCATCTTCCACCCGCTCTTCCTCTGTTCCATGCAGACTGTGACTGGCTTTTTTTGTTTTTTTTTTTTTTTGAGACGAAGTCTCGCTCTGTCACCCAGCCTGGAGTGCAGTGCCGTGATCACGGCCCACTGCAACCTCTGCCTCCCGGGTTCAAGTGATTCTCCTGCCTCAGTCTCGCCTCCTGAATAGCTGGGATTACAGACGCCCACCACTACTACACCCAGCTGATTTTTTTTTGTATTTTAGTAGAGACGGGGTTTCTCCATGTTGGCCAGGCTGGTCTTGAACTCCTGACCTCAGGTGATCCGCCTGCCTCGGCCTCCCAAAGTGCTGGGATTACAAGGGTGAGCTACCGTGCACAGCCAAGGGTATTGGTTTCTTATTGCTCCTGTAACAAATGACCATACACTTAGTGGCTCCATAGGAGACAGATTTATTTACTACCTTACTGTTCTGGAGGTTTTTTTTTTTTTTTTTTTTTACCACAGGGTCTGGCTCTATGATGCAGGCTGGAGTGCAGTGGCCTGATCATGGCTCACTGCAGCCTCAGCCTCCTGGGCTCAAGCAGTTCTCCTGTCACAGCCTCCCAAGTAGCTGAGACTACAGGTGTGTGCCACCATGCCCGGCTAATTTTAAAAAATTTTTTGTAGAGACTCTTCCTATGTTGCCCAGGCTGGTCTCCAACTCCTGGGCTCAAGCGATCTTCCTGCCTCGGCCTCCCAAAGTGCTGGGATTACAGGCATAAACCATTGCCCCAGGCCCCCAAAATGGGTTTTACAGGGCTAATATCAAGGTGTTGGCTGGGCTGCATCCCTTCTGGAGACTCTAGGGCTTCTCCTGGAGGCTCTCTTGCCCTGTCCAGCTTCAGGAAGCTGTCCACATTCCTCAGCTCAAGGCCCTCCTTGCATCACTCTAACTGAGGCAGGAGAATAGGGTCTGGAGCCAGAGAGCCTAAGGCCAATTCATGATGACTGGATATCAGAGGCTACTCCCCTTTCAAACCCTCCTTTTTCTGCATGGCTGTTGAAAAATGAAAGTACCTCTGAGTGGTCCCCTCCTGTAACCAATCAGACTGGTCCTGAGCCTACTCTTCATTCTGATTGGCCCCCTCCTGCAACCAATCAGACTGGCTGCGGGCCTATGCATCATTCTAATTGGTCCTCTCCCACAACCAATCAGACTGGTTACAGGCCTACTCTTCATTCGAATTGGTCCTCTCCTACAACCAATCAGACTGGTCACAGGCCAATGGGAAACTTCCAGAGGGTATTCAAATCCCCAAAAATTCTGTAACGGACACTTTTCAGCTGCTAGCTTGAGTCCACTCCCACCCTGTGAAGTGTGCTTTCCTTTAAAATAGATCTCTGCTTTTGCTGCCTTGCTTTGTGCGTTTCCTCTGCCTCCCGGGTTCAAGCAATTCTCTGCCTCAGCCTCCTGAGTAGCTGGGATTACAAGCACGTGCCACCACACCCAGCTAATTTATATATTTTTAGTAGAGACGGGGTTTCACCATCTTGGCCAGGCTTGTCTTGAACTCCTGACCTTGCGATCCACCCGCCTCGGCCTCCCAAAGTGCTGGGATTACAAGCGTGAGCCACCGCACCTGGCTGAGTATTGCAATTCTACATGAGATTTGGGTTAGGACACACACCCAAATCATATCACGGGGATTTGCTGTTTCCCAGGTTGGTCTCAAACCCCTGGGCTCAAGGCATCCTCCCGCCTCAGCCTCTCAAAGTGCTGGAATTACAGGCATCAGCCACTGTGCCCGGCTGAACTATATTCTTTCTTTTTTTTGAGAAAGAGTCTTAGTCTGTCACCCAGGCTGGAGTACAATAGTGTGATCTCAACTCACTGCAACCTCTGCCTCCCTGTTTCAAGCGATTCTCATGCCTCAGTCTCCCAAGTAGCTGGGATTACAGGTGTGTGCCACCATGTCCAGCTAATTTTTTGTATTTTTTTTTTTTAGTGGACGTGAGGTCTCACTATGTTGGCCAGGCTGGTCGCAAACCCCTGGCCTCAAGTGATTTGAAAGCCTCCGCCTCCCAAAGTGCTGGGATTAGAGGCATAAGCCACTGTGTCCAGCCTTATACACTCTTTCTTTCTTTTTTTTTTTTCTGTCACCCAGGCTGGAGTGGAGTGGTGTGATCTCTACTCACAGCAACCTCTGTCTCCTGGATTCAAGTGATTCTCGTGCCTCAGAGTAGCTGGGACTATAGGCACGCACCACCACAAGCAGCTAATTTTTATATTTTTAGTAGAGATGGGGTTTCGCCATGATGGCCAGGCTAGTCTCGAACTCCTGGCCTCAAGTGATCCGCCCGCCTCAGCCTCTCAGAGTGCCTTATACTCTTTCTTTCTTTCTTTTTTTTTTTTTTTGAGACGGAATCTCACTCTTGTAGCCCAGGCTGGAGTGCAATGGCGTGATCTCGGCTCACTGCAACCTCCACCTTCCAGGTTCAAGCAATTCTCCTGCCTCAGCCTCCTGAGTTGCTGAGATTACAGGTGCCTGCCACCACACCTGGCTAATATTTTGTAATTTTTTTTTTTGTAGAGACAGGGCTTCACCATGTTAGCCAGGATGGTCTCGATCTCCTGACCTCGTGATCCGCCCGCCTCGGCCTCCCAAAGTACTTGGATTACAGGTGTGAGCCACCGCGCCTGGCTGCCATATACTCTTTCTCAAGACCTCTTCTCTTGAGCCTAGGGATGGTTCCCCTCTTGCTTACTCAACGACAACAATCCAGCCACTTTCCTCTCTTGCTTCTCTTCTGGAATCTAGAAATCCAGATCATTCCCATCAGCACATGAACCAGCTGTTTGATCTTCTCTGCTCTTCTGACCTTTCTATCAAAAGAATTGACTTTTAGCTGGGCATGGTGGCTCATACCCATAATCTCAGCACTTTGGGAGGCTGAGGTGGGAGGATCACTTGAGCTCAGCAGTTCGAGGCTGGATTGAGCTACAACGGTGCCTCCACTCCAGCCTGGGTGACATAGTGAGATCCTGTTTCTACAAAACATTTTTTTCTATTTTGAGACAGAGTCTCGTGATGTCACCCAGGCTGGAGTGCAGTGGCGTGATCTTGGCTCACTGCAGCCTCCGCCTCCTGGGTTAAAGCGATTCTTCTGCCTCAACCTCCCTAGTAGCTGAGACTCCAGGTGCCTGCCACCACACCCGGCTAATTATTGTATTTTTAGTAGAGATGGAGTTTCACCATGTTGGCCATGCTGGTCTTGAACTCCTGACCTCAGGTGATCCGTCCGCCTCAGCGTCCCAAAGTGCTGGGATTACAGGCTTGAGCCACCATACCCAGCCTACAAAACATTTTTAAAAATAATAAACCAGGCATGGTAGCACACGCCTGTAGTGAGCCATGATGTCACCACAGCACTCCAGTCTGGGTGACAGAGTGAGACCCTGTCTCAAAAAAAAAAAAAAAAAAAAAATTAACCCTGTACCTGGCCGTAATGAATCAACAATTGGAAGCTGTGTTATTATAAAGACGGGTGAACATATGGGCCCCTTTGCTGGTCCCCATCTGGCCTGGCTCTCCTGTTCTCCACCCTGCACACTCATGCCTGGGAACCTGCGTCTCCTCTCAGCCTCCCCAACGGCGGCCCAACCCACATGGCGTTTGATCTGCCCACTTCAGAGCCTTCACCTCCGGCCTGCAGCCCATCAGAGGCGGCTGGATCCCGGCCTCCTCCCCACATGGGCCTTTGAGGATGGGATGAAAGAGGCTAGGCTGAAACCAGTGTGAATGGCCAAACGGGGAACTCAGGAATCCCTGGTGCTACGCCCAGGAACAGAGGTGCGCGGCGGGGAGGCAGAGCAAGGGATGCTTCTTGGGGCTTGCTGGCAGTGCCAGAATGACCTGGGCATTTACCGACCACCTCCTGTGTGCTCAGGCCTGTGCTAGGTGATGCTGAGGACATAGTGGTGACTGGCCTGGCCGTCAGAGGGCTCACAGGCCAGCGGAGCAGATAGGCCAGTGCCCCAAGAGCAACAACCTAGTGGGAACAGGGCTGGGATGGGAAAACCTAGTTGATGCAGTCAAGAAGGGCTTCCTGGAAGAGGAGGTTCTTAAGTTCTTCACAGAGTCTATGATGCCCATCTCAACCTACCTCTTCAGCCACATCTGATGACACTTCCCCACAATCCCTTGAATCCAGCCACCCTGTTCCTTCTAATTCTTTTCATTTTTGTTTATTTATTTATTTTGAGACAGAATCTCGCTCTGTCGCCCAGGCTGGAGTGCAGTGGCGTGATCTCGGCTCACTACAACCTCCACCTCCTGGGTTCAAGCAATTCTTTTGCCTCAGCCTCCCAAGTAGTTGGGATTACAGGCGCCCGCCAACATGCCCAGCTAATTTTTGTATTTTTAGTAGAGACGGGGTTCCACTATGTTGGCCAGGCTGGTCTTGAACTCCCGACCTCAGATGATCCACCCGCCTTGGCCTCCCAAAGTGCTGGGATTACAGGTGTGAGCCATGGCCCCTGGTCTCCATCTGATTCCTGACCACTTCAAGTTCATTCTCACGTCTGGTTCATTGCACTTGCTATTTCTTTTGCCAGCTTCTCTCTTCTCAGTCCCTCATCAGGCAGGTTCCTTATCCTCACTCAGATTGCAGACGAATTCTTCTTGCAGCACTGAGCTCTTTCAAAAAATTGTCTTGGCCAGGTGCAGTGGCTCATGCCTGTAATCTCAGCACTGTGGGAGGCTGAAGCAGGAGGATCCCTTGAGCCCAGGAGTTTAAGACCAGTCTGGGCAACATAGTGAGACCTCATCTCTACAAAAAAATCAAAAAAATTAGCTGGGCATGGTGGTGCACGCCTGTAGTCCCAGCTACTCAGGAGGCTGAGTTGAGAGGATTGTTTGAGCCCAGGAGTTCAAGGCTGCAGTGAGCTATGATCACACTGCTGCACTCCAGCCTGGGTGATGGGGTGAGACTCTGTCTCTAAAAATAAATTTTAAAATAGTTCTCTTATGTCAAGTGCTGGGGCTCACACCTGTAAACACTAGGATTTTGGGAGGCTGAGGTGGGAGGATCACTTGAGCCCAGGAATTTGAGTCCAGCCTGAGGAAAATAGCGAGACCTCATCTCCAAAAACAAATAGGCCAGGTACGGTGGCTTAAGCCTGTAATCCTAGCAGTTTGGGAGGCCGAGGTGGGCAGATCACCTGAGGTCAGGAGTTCGAGACCAGCCTGGCCAACATGGTGAAATCCTGTCTCTACTAAAAACAGAAAAAACTAGCCGGGTGTGGTGGTGCACACCTGCAATCCCAACTACTCAGGGGACTGAGGCAGGAGAATCACTTGAAACTGGGAGGTGGAGGTTGCAGTGAGCTGAGATTGTGCCACTGCACTCTAGCTTGGGCGACAGAGTGAGACTCTGTTTCAAAAATAAATAAATAAATAAATAAGAAAGATAAGCTTTTGGCTGGGCACTGTGTCTCATGTCTGTAATCCCAGACTTTGGGTGGCTGAGGCAGGAGGATCACTTGAGGCCAGGAGTTCGAGACCAGCCTCGCCAACACAGGGAAACCCTGTCTCTACCAAAAAATATAAAAATTAGCCAGGCGTGGTGGCGGGCGCCTGTAATCCCAGCTACTCAGGAGGCTGAGGCAAAAGAATCACTTGAACCCAGGAGGCAGAGGTTGCAGTGAGTGGAGATCACGCCCTGCACTCCAGCCTGGGTGACAGAATGAGACCCTGTCTCAAAAATAAATAAATGAATGAATGAATAAATAAATAAATAAATAAATAAGCAAGCTTTTAAATCAAGCCCATGAACACTGTAGAAAAAAAAAAAAAAGAAAAGAAAACATTCCCTTGTTTGCAGTCTCTGTTGACTCCTTTATTTCCTGCCTTCTCCACTACAATGTAGCCTCTCCTAACCCTGTGTTCCCCAATCCCTGGCAGGGTGCCCGACACAGGGTTGACGTCCGGCAAATATTTGTTAGATGAAGGAAGGATCCAAGATCTCCAGGAGAAAACAGGGTTTGGTGAAGAGGTGGCGGGGGCGGGGATGAGGGCAGAGAGTTCCAGGCACCCCGATTCAAAAATGAGCAAAGGACTTGAATAGACATTTCTGCAAAGAAGACATACAAATGGCCCATAATGCACACGAAAAGATGCTCAATGTCATGAATCATCAGAGAAATTCAAATGAAATCTACCAGGGAACAGCAGGGGCAAAGGTGTGGAGCAGAGAGAGGGTTGGTGTTTTGGGGGCCCTGGAGGAGGTTGTGTCTCGCTGAAAGGAGGGAGGGTGGGAGAGGCAGTGGGAGGAGGAGGGGTTGGAGGGAGGAGGAGGGATAGGAGGGAAAGAGGGAGAGGAGGGAGAGGAAGGGAGAGGACAGAGGTGAGAGAGAAGGAGGCGGGGAGGAGAGAGGAGAAGGGTGGAGGTGGAGGGCCAGATGTGAGTCAGCTCCCACCCTTACAGACCTAGTGCGAAGGAAAGATCGAGAGTTTTTATCCACCAGACATTTGGGGATCATTTTGGGTAGGGGCAGAGGTGGTGGAGGAGATGCCTTTCCGGGAAACCCTGAAGTTGGCTTAGAGAGGAGGGTGCTGAGGGACAGGCCGCCCCCGCCAGAGCCTTCTAAGGACTTTCTGCACAGCATTCCACCACGGGGCCTTCTGGGACAGGCTGTGACTGCCTGGCAGCCCCGGCCGTCCCCACTCCCGGGTCACCGCTCCGGCCTCCTCACGCCTGGACTCACCCTCCTCCTTCCCTGCTCCCCACGGTAGCCCGAGGCTGGCACTTTTTATAGAACACTTCAAAAAATGTTAATAGGTAATTGAAGTCACATGGCTCATTTCTACAGTCACAGGAGGGGACACAGTGGAAAAACCTTCTCCTCTCCCCTGTTCCCTCCCCTCCAGGCCCCTCCTGGGAGGCACTGCGACCTCCGCTCAGCTTCCTTCATCCCATCCTCAAAGGCCCACGTGGGGAGGATGCCCGGCTCCAGCTGCCTCTGATGGGCCATAGGCCGGAGGTGGAGGCTCTGATGTGGGCAGATTAAAGGCCACGTGGGCCGGGCCACTGTGAGGGAGGCTCAGAGGAGAAGCAGGTTCCGAGGCATGAGTGTGCAGGGTGGAGAACAGGAGAGCCAGGCCAGGTGGGGAACCAGCAGAGGGGCCGGTTTCTTGTGTTTTCTCCCACAGAGAGTCACAGACTGTCTAGCAAATGCAAGCGCAGGTGGAGAAATGCTGCCCAGGTCATTCACATGTGTCTGCAACTTTCATTTATTTAATTTATTTATTTATTTGAGATAAAGTTTTGCTCTTGTCAGTCAGGCTGGAGTGCAACGGCACGATCTCAGCTCACTGCAACCTCCACCTCCCAGGTTCAAGCGATTCTCCTGCCTCAGCCTCCCAAGTAGCTGGGACTACAGGCATGTGCCACCAGGCCCAGCTAATTTTGTTTTCTGTTTTTGTTTTTGTTTGAGACTGAATCTTGCTCTGTCACCCATGCTGGAGTGCAGTGGTGCGATCTCAGCTCACTGCAACCTCCGCCTCCCGGGTTCAAGCAATTCTCCTGCCTCAGCCTCCCGAGTAGCTGGGACTACAGGCGCGCACTACCACATCCAGCTAATTTTTGTATTTTTAGTGGAGACAGGGTTTCATCATGTTGGCCAGAATGGTCTCGATTTCTTGATCTCGTGATTTGCCCACCTCGGCCTCCTAAAGTGCTGGGATTACAGGCCTGAGCCACCTTGCCTGGCCTCATTTATTTATTTTTGAGACAGGGTCTCTCTGTCTCTCTGTCTGTCACCCAGGCTGCAGTGTAGTGGCACAATTAGGGCTCACCTGCATCCTCCAACTCCTGGGCTCAAGCCATCCTCCCACCTCAGCCTCCTAAGTAGCTAGGACTATAGGCGTGCACCAGCACACCTGGCTAATTTTTTTTTCAAGAACCAGTATTTATTATCAAAATCATATTCAATGTCAAGAAGACACCATAACTACAAAAAAAATTGCGCACAGTGCAATCTCAAGGCAAACAGTCAAATGGAACACCAGTCATTTAAAAAAGTAATTAAATTAGCCCAAAAAGCAACTGGTTTTTTTTTTTTTTTTTTTTACCATCTTTTTCTTTTTTTTTTTTCTTTTTGAGATAGAGTTTTGCTCTTGTCGCCCAGCTAGAGCTCAATGGCACGATCTCTGGCTCACTGAAACCTCTGCCTCCCTGGGTTCAAGCTTTTTTAACATCTTTATACATCCAGCCAACAAATTAAAATGGTTAACAAGTGGTCTGGCGTGGTGGTTCATGCCTATAATCCTAGCACTTTGAGAGGCCAAGGTGTGTGGATCACCTGAGGTCAGGTGAGACCAGCCTGACCAACATGGTGAAACTAAAAATACAAAAAAAATTAGCCCCGTGTGGTGGTGAGTGCCTGTAGTATAGCTATTTGGGAGGCTGAGTCAGGAGAATTGCTTGAACCTGAGAGAGAGAGTTTGCAGTGAGTTGAGACTGTGCCACTGCACTACAGCGTAGGCAACAGAGCGAGACTCTCTCAAAAGTAAATAAATAAATAAATAAATAATAAAATGATTGGCCAGGCGCGGTAGCTCACACCTGTAATCCCAGCACTTTGGGAGGCTGAGGCAGGTGGATCACGAAGTCAAGAGTTCGAAACCATCCTGGCCAACATGGTGAAACCCCGTCTCCGCTAAAAATACAAAAAAAAAGAAAAAAAAATTAGCTGGATGTGGTGGCACGTGTCTGTAATCCCAGCTACTCAGGAGGCTGAGGCAGGAAGATCGCTTAAACCAGGGAGTTGGAGGTTGCAGTGAGCCGAGATTGCACCACTGCACTCCAGCCTGGCAACAGAGCGAGACTCTGTCTCAAAAAAAAAAAAAAAAAAAATTAAAATGCTAAATTAAAAAAAAAAAAAAAAAGCTGCCAGGCGCTGTGGCTCATGCCTGTAATCCCAGCACTTTGGGAGGCTGAGGCAGGCGGATCACAAGGTCAGGAGATCGAGACCATCCTGGCTAACATGGTGAAACCCCTGTCTCTACTAAAAATACAAAAATAAAAATAAATAAATAAATTAGCCGGGCGCGGTGGCGCGTGCCTGTAGTCCCAGCTACTCGGAAGGCTGAGGCAGGAGAAGGGCGTGAACCCGGGAGGCGGAGCTTGCAGTGAGCCGAGATCGCGCCACTGCACTGAGCCTGGGCGACAGAGCGAGACTCTGTCTCAAAAAAAAAAAAAAAAAAAAAGCCAGTGTGGTGGCTCATGCCTGTAATCCCAGCACTTGGGAGGCCAAGGCGGGTGGATCACTTGAGGTCAGGAGTTCGAGACCAGCCTGGCCAACATGGTGAAACCCCATCTCTACTAAAAATACAAAACTTAGCCAGGCGTGGTGGCACATGCCTGTGGTCGCAGCTACTTGGGAGGCTGAGGCACGAGAATCGCTTGAACCCAGGAGGCAGAGGTTGCGGTGAGCTGAGATTGCACCACTATACTCCAGCCTGGGCGACAGAGTGAGACTGTGTCTCAAAAAAAAAAAAAAGGAAAAGAAAAATAAAAAGGTTAACAAGAGGGCCGGGCACAGTGGCTCATGCCTGTAATCCCAGCATTTTGGGAGGCCAAGGGTGGGCGGATCACCTGAGGTCAGGAGTTCGAGACCAGCCTGACCAACATGGAGAAACCCTGTCTCTACTAAAAATACAAAATTAGCCGGCATGGTATTACATACCTGTAATCCCAGCTACTCAGGAGGCTGAGGCAGGAGTATCTCTTGAAGCCGGGAGGCAGAGGTTGTGGTGAGCCGAGATCGCGCCACTGCACTCCAGCCTGGGAGACAAGAGCGAAACCCTGTCTCAAAAAAAAAAAAAAAAAGTTAACAAGAAAAAATACAAATTCAGAGGTCTGGTATTGATGTTTAAAAAAGGCAACTGCTTAAGCATTTCTATTTATTTGAACATCAGTCTTGGCCATTCAGCTGCATGTTGTTCATTATCCGGCAGACTCTCTCAGCCACCTCTGGGGACGTAAACTTAACCACACTGCACCCCTTGGACTTCCCGTTCTCCATTTCGATGTCAGTGTACAGCATGTGGCCATACTCGTTGAATTTGTCCTTTAGCATCTTCCATGTAAAATTGAATGGGAGATTTCTTACAAATATTTGGCATGCCTTCCTGGCCATGCCCAGGAGCATGGTCTCCTGCTCCACCAAGGGAACCTGCAAAGCTTCCAAAGTTGCCACACTCCATACCGATGGCATGGTCAAAGGTGGCACCGCCACTGCCACACATGGCCAGGCCCATGCACGTGAGGCTCTTGGCACCCATGTGCTCTAGGCCAGTGACCATGTGATCCATCATGGGGCCCATGTGCTCCAAGCCAGCCTCCATGCCTGCAAGCACCATGTGCTCCATGTTCAGGCCCACGTGTTCGATGGCAGGGCCAATGTGCTCCACGCCAGAGCCCATGTGCTCTATGGTCTGGCCCACATGGTCAATGGGAGCGGCCATGCGCTTGAGGCTGAAGCCCATGACACCTGGATAATTTATTAAAAATTTTTGTACAGACAGGATCTCACTATATTGTCCAGGCTGGTGCACCTTTTTTTTTTCCTTAAGCGTAAATTGGCCGGGCGCGGTGGCTCAAGCCTGTAATCCCAGCCCTTCAGGAGGCTGAGATGGGTGGATCACAAGGTCAGGAGATTGAGAACATCCTGGTTAACATGGTGAAACCTCGTCTCTACTAAAAATACAAAAAATTAGCCAGGTGTGGTGGCACACACCTGTAGTTCCAGCTACTCGGGAGGCTGAGGCAGGAGAATCACTTGAACCCGGGAGACGGAGGTTGTAGTGGCCCAAGATTGCACCACTGCACTCCAGCATGGGCGACAGAGCGAGACTCCGTCTCAAAATAAATAAATAAATAAATAGTAAATTTATTTATTCAACACAGGTTTACTAAGTACCTATTATATGCCAGGTGCTTTTCTAGGCACTGGGCATATGGCAAAAACAAAAACAAAAACAAAAAACAATCCAAAATAGATCAAGTTCTTACCCTTGTGGAGGTGACATTCTAGTGGGGGAGAAAGACAGTGCTGTACAGAAATACAATGACGGCTGGGCGAGTGGCTCACATCTGTAATCTCAGCACTTTGCGAGGCCGAGGTGGGAGGATCACTTGAGCCTAGGAGTTTGAGACCAGCCTGGGCAACATAGTGAGATTCCATCTCCAAAAAAAAAAAAAAAATTTAAAATTAGCTGGGTGCGGTGGTGCGTGCCTGTAGTTCAGATGGCTGAGATGGGAGGATCGCTTGAGCCCAGGGGGCTGCAGTGAGCTGCGATTGCGCCACTGCACTCCAGCCTGGGTGACAGAGTGAGACCCTGTCTCAAAAAATAAATAAATAAATAAATAAATAAATAAATAAATAAATAAATAAAATTAAAATTAAGGGAGTGAGCAGTGTAGAACCTTCCAGGCCATTTTCCAAAAGTTGGCTTTTGCTTTCTCTTCTTGAAGATCCATTTGTGTCTCAATGTGTGCTGTGCCCAGTTCTCAAGAGCAGATTGCTACACTTTTGGGAATTTCACAAACCAGTTGTTAAACATAGGTATTATTAACAATTAAATGATACAAAGTTACAGATAAATAAATTATGTTAAAAACAAATATAATAAATAGTTCAAATGCATTGCATCCTAATTGCTACATTTTTACTATTATCTATGCTCTCCAGGCTACTTATCTCTGCCTGGTGGAAATCCTGAGTGATAGTGGGTGGTTGCTTGTCTCTTCTGAATTCCACATCCAATGACATCCTATCAGTAACTAGAAATCAACCACAGTGGGAATATTTACACTGTAGAAATTGGCAAATGGTATAAATTAGGGCTGTTTCTTCCCTAGAGAGCTGGTGGTTAAATTAAAAAAAAAAAAAATATATATATATATATATTGGCTGGGCGCAGTGGCTCACGCCTGTAATCCCAGCACTTTGGGAGGCTGAGGCAGGCAGATCATGAGGTCGGGAGATCGAGACCATCCTGGCTAACATGGTGAAACCCCATCTCTATTAAAAATACAAAAAATTAGCTGGGCGTGGTGGCGGGCACCTGTAGGCCCAGCTACTCGGGAGGCTGAGGCAGGAGAATGGGGTGAACCTGGGAGGCAGAGCTTGCAGTGAGCTGAGATCATGCCACTGCACTCCAGCCTGGGCGACAGAGCGAGACTCCGTCTCAAAAAAAAAAAATTATGTATATATACACACACACACATATGTGTATATATATATATACACACACACACATATGTGTATATATATATATACACACATATATACATATGTGTATATACATACACATACACACATATGTGTGTGTGTATATATATATACACACACATACATACATATATATATATGGATGATTTTGCTCTGTTACTCAGGCTGGAGTGCAGTGGTGCAATCAGAGTTTACTGCAGCCTCGACCTCCTGGGCTCAAGCGATCCTCCCTCTTCAGCCTCCTGAGTAGCTGGGACTATAGGCACGTGCCACCACACCCAGCTAATTTTTGTATTTTCTTTGAGACAGAGTCCAGCTCTGTCGCCCAGGTTGGATGCAATGGTGTGATCTCAGCTCATTGCAACCTTCACCTCTTAGGTTCAAGTGATTTTCATGCTGCAGCCTCCCAAACAGCTCGGAATACAGGCACGTACCACCACACCTGGCTAAGTTTTGTATTTTTAGTAGAGACAGCGTTTTGCCACATTGGCCAGGCTGGTCTTGAACTCCTGGCCTCAAGTGATCTGCCCACCTTGGCCTCCCAAAGTGTTGGGATTACAGGCATAAGCCACCACACCCAGACAAATTTTTGTATTTTTTTGTAGAGACAGGGTTCTTGCTATGTTGCCCAGGCTGGTCTCAAACTCCTGGGCTCAAGCCCTTCTCCCACCTAGGCCCCCCAAAATGCTGGAAGTACACCATGCCCGGCCTGGTTAAGTATTTACCAGCACGCCAGTGCAATGCCTGTAAACGTGGCTCATTCTTTTCTACAGCTGTCTAGTGTTCCATAGCATGAATGGCCACAACATATTTTGCTGGTTCCTTCCTGGTATGTGCTTAGTTTGCTTCTAGTCTTTTGCTACTGCAAGCAGGGCTGTGGTGATTTTTCGCATGCAAGACAATAGCCGTGGAATAAATCCCTCAGAGAAGAACTGCTGTGTCAAAGGGTGTGGGAGGATCTAAAATTAAGGCCTTTTGCCTAATGGCTTTCCAGGGAGGCCGTACCAACTTCCACACCCACCAGCAAATGTGTGAGAGTGCAGAAGCTTCTAAACACAAACTTGATTGTGTCACTCTGCTGCTTAGACCCTTTGATGTTCCCCACTGATCCTGCATGAAGCCCTTCTCCCTTCAAGATACGATCCGGTGTTGGCCGGGTGCGGTGGCTCACACCTGTAATCCCAGCACTTTGGGAGGCAGAGGCAGGTGGATCACCTGAGGTCAGGAGTTCAAGACCAGCCTGGCCAAAATGGTGAAACCCTGTCTCTACTAAAAATATAAAAATTAGCCAGGTGTGGTGGCAGGCACCTGTAATCCCAGCTACTCAGGAGGCTGAGCTCAAGAATCGCATGAACCCGGGAGGTGGAGACTGCAGTGAGCTGAGCTCTTACCACTATACTCCAGCCTGGGCAACAGAGTGAGACTCCATCTCAAAAAAAATAAATAAAATGAAATTTAAAAAATGGCCAGGCGTGGTGGCTCACACCTGTAATCCCAGCACTTCGGGAGGCTGAGGTGGGTGGATCACCAGGTCAGGAGATCGAGACCATCCTGTCTAACACAGTGAAACCCCGTCTCTACTAAAAATACAAAAAATTAGCCAGGCGTGGTGGCGGGTGCCTGTAGTCCCAGCTACTCGGGAGGCTGAGGCAGGAGAATTGCTTGAACCCGGGAGGCGGAGGTTGTAGTGAGCCAAGATTCACCACTGCACTCTAGCCTGGGCAACAGAGCGAGACGCTGTCTCAGAAAAAAAAAAAAAAAAAAGAGTAAATTAAGCTATGATACGGGGTTGGAAAATTACAGCAATCTGGGAACAAAAGGAAGACAGTACTGGTGCCTCAGTTCCCCAGCTTAATTTTCCCTTTGACCTAGTGAATTCGGGGTCCTGAGATTCTACTTTGCTTTCACAATAGTCACGGCTTCTCCCTTTCTCTTGCAACTGAAAGGTGGCACCATGACCTCACCATGACCCCTTATAAATTTTGCATGGCAGCCACCCCGATGATCTGCTGTCTGTCCCCTGGAATGGGTCGTGTTCCTACTCACTTTTACACGGTCCCGCCTTTCCCCCTTCCATGAACCCTACTTCCCATTGCCGTATCAGTGGGCTGAATCCACTTGTCCCTTCCCTGGGTACGTTTGGTCTCTTTCTGTTTCAAGTGGCTGAAAACCTGATTGTAACTCTTCAGCGACATCAGGAATCGATGGGCTGGCTTCAGGCATAGCTGGCTCCAGGAGTTTGAACGCTGCCATGAGGCCCAGCACCTGGCCTGTCACTTTTGTCCTCTTCCACGTTATCACCTTCAACAGTGCATGCCTCTGTCAGGCTGTGTGTGTGTGTGTGTGTGTGTGTGTGTGTGTGTGTGTGTGTGTGTGTGTTTTGAGACAGGGTCTCACTCCAACACCTAGGCTGAAGTATAGTGTTGCAATCACAGCTCACTGCAGCATTGACTTCCCAGGCTCAGCTTCCCGAGTAGCTGGTACACAGCTACTATATTTTTTGTAGAGATGGGGTTTCGTCATGTTGCCCAGGCTGTTCTCAAACTCCTGGGCTCAAGCAATCCACCCTGCATAGCCTCCCAAAGTGCTGAGATTACAGCTATACTCAGGAGGCCGAGGCGGAAGAATTGCTTGAGCCCAGGAGTTCAAGGTTGCAGTGAGCTATGATCATGCCACTGCATCCCAGCCTGGGTGACAGAACGAGATCTTGTCCCTAAAAAAAAATTAAAAATTTTAAAATAATCATAAAAAAGAGAAAGAAAAAAATGTGACTCTCTCAATTAAGCTGTGAGACCTTGGCCAAGTCACATCACCTGTCTGTACCTCTGTTTACTCAGCTATAAAATGAGGATATTAATAGGACCCATTGGTTTGCTGAGAAGCTGTACCTCTGGGCTATAGTAAATGTTCGATAAACATTAGTTGTGGAGTCCTAATTCGGGAAAAGGAATCAGGCTGGCAGGACCAGGGGAAAGCGAAAAGATAAAGCAAATAAGTTTTTTTTTTTTCTGGTGAAACCCTGTCTCTACTAAAGATACAAAAATTAGCCGGGTGTGGTGGCATGTGCCCATAGTCCCAGCTACTCGAGAGTCTGAGGCAGGAGAATCGCTTGAACTTGGGAGGTAGAGGTTGCAGTGAGCCAAGATGGCACCACTGCACTCCAGCCTGGGCAACAGAGCAAGACTCCATCACAAACAAACTAATCTATCTATCTATCATCTATCTATCTATCTATCTATCTATCTATCTATCTATCTATCTATCTGTATGTGTGTATTGGTGGTGCACACCTGTAGTCCCAGGTACTCGGGAGGCTGAGATGGGAGGATGACTTGAGCTCAGGAGTTAGAGGCTGCAGTGAGCTATGATCTCACCACCACACTCCAGTCTGGGTGACAGAGTGAGACCTTGTCCCTTAAATAAAAATAATAATAGTAAAGTTTTTTGTTTTTTAATTGGCATTCGGGCCGGGGGCAGTGGCTCACACCTGTAATCCCAGGTGTGAAGCGTTCCATATTAAAATATATATATACAAAATTAGCCAGGCATGGTTGGTGGATGCCTGTAAATCCCAGTTACTCGGGAGGCCAAGACACAAGAATTGCTTGAACCTGGGAGGCAAAGGTTGCAGTGAGCCGAGATTGCGCCACTGCACTCCGGCCTGGGTGACAGAGTGAGACTCCATCTCAAAATAATAATAATAATAATAATAATAATAATAATAATAATAATAATAAATTGGCCCTTGGAAGAAAGCAGTTGTGTGGAATGTGTGTTGCTGATTTTCTCAGGCCATATGAGGCCCCCCACCACGGGGCTTTGGTGGTTGGAAGCATAAAGTTCCCAGGTCCTGGCCTCTCTCCTGGCTGTTTCATTCATTGGCTGTGGGACTTTGAGACATGGTTGCCTTGTCTGTGTCAGGATGGGATTAGCCTCCTCGGTTTCATGGGCCTCACTGGAGCCTCAGGTGTGCTTCTCACTGGAGCCCCTTTGCCCTGCCCCTCCCACCCCCAAAATGCCAGGGCTCTTCAGCTCTGGGAGGACTTTGTCCAGTTCCTGTTAATCAGCACCTACACTGCTCCTCACTCTGGGCTAAAGTGCAAATTCTAACACCTCTCAAATCCAGGCCCCAGGCCTCACACTTCTCTCAGAAAGGAGAAGTGGAGGTGGGACCTTTCATTAGCTAGTTTATTCAAGGGATGTCTAGGCCCAGGCGTCTGAGCTGGTAGCAGTGCCTCCCAGACTCAAAATGTCCTGGTCCTTCAGGCCAACTGCCCTCAGGGGTGACACCCACATAATCACTAGGAATGTGCTGTGTGATTGTATACTCTCAGAATTGGCTTTTTTTTTTTTTTTTTTTGAGAGGGAGTCTTACTCTGTTGCCCAGACTGGAGTGCAGTGGCACAATCTCGGCTCACTGCAACCTCTGCCTCCCGGGTTCCAGAGATTCTCCTGCCTCAGCCTCCCGAGTAGCCGGGATTACAGGTGCCCCCCGCCACGCCCAGCTAATTTTTGTATTTTTAGTAGGGACAGGGTTTCACCATTTGGCCAGGCTGGTCTCGAACTCCTGACCTCAAGTGATCCACCTGTCTGGGCCTCCCAAAGTGCTGAGATTATAGGCATAAACCACCACGCCTGGCCCTAGAATTGGCTTTATAGGGCCATGTCCTCTCAGCGCTTCCCCCCAAGGGCAGGCCTACGTCCCCTCAGACCCCCAAGGGCAGGCCTATGTCCCCTCAGACCCCAAAGGGCTGGGCCTGTGTCCCCTCAAACCTGAAACTGCCTTTGCAAAAATCTTTTTTTTTTTTTTCCGAGACAGAATTTCACTCTTGTCACCTAGGCTGGAGTGCAGTGGCACGATCTCGGCTCACTGTAACCTCCGCCTCCTGGGTTCAAGCGATTCTCCTGCCTCAGCCTTGAGAGTAGCTGGGATTACAGGCATGCACCACCACACCCAGCTAATTTTTGTATTTTTAGTACAGACAGGGTTTTACCATGTTGCCCAGGCTGGTCTCGAACTCCTGATCTCAGGCGATCCACCTGCCTCGACCTCCCAAGTGTTGGGATTGCAGGTGTGAGCCACCGTGCCTGGCCCACTTTTGCAAAAATTATATCAGTAAGAAAAATTATAACAGTAAGCTAAGCTAACCCATACTTCATCTTGCCTTTCCCTTCATTATTCCTGGGCTATTGGGCCAAACTTTGGAAGACATTTAGGGTACAGTTTAAATAATAGGCTTTGCCCAAAACTCAACCGCTTTTGTAAAGTTAATGGGAGGTCATCAGGCTGCGGGGAGGAGAGGACCCTGAGTACTGCTAAGGCGCAGACATAAAAGATTATCAGCCATTATCCTGGAGGTTAGAAGATAGGCTACTGCCCCAATAACACCGCTGTTGTAGATTGGCCTTTTGAGATATCTGATCCTTCAGACCCCCAGGGCAGGCCTTAGACCCGCCAGGGTAGGACCCTGTTCCCTCAGACCCCCAGGGCAAGGCTATTTCACAACCTCCCCCTCCACGCCCATAGGGCTATGTCCCTTCAGAGGCTGCATTGTATGGCCTGACTCACATCTGACTAGGGCTCTCTAAAGCAAAAAGTAACAATCACAGTCATAGGCCCCCCAGCCCCTAATATACTGATCTCATGGCATTGCCCAGACCTATGCTAAGGTTTTCTTTACTGCTGCTGGCACATCTGGGGTAGGTATTACTTTCATCCTATTTCAGAGATGACCCGAGGTTCAGAGATGGAATCCGTTACCCAAGATCATCTAAGAAGTAGGGGGGTGTCAGGCGTGGTGGCTTACACCTGTACCTGTAATCTCACTACTTTGGGAGGCCGAGGTGGGAGGATCACTTGAGGTCAGGAGTTTGAGACCAGTCTGACCAAAGTGGTGAAACCCCGTCTCCACTAAAAATATAAAAATTAGCCAGGCATGCTGGCGTGGGCCTGTAATCCCTGCTACTCGGGAGGCTGAGGCAGGAGAATCACTTGAACCCGGGAGGTGGAGGTTGCAGTGAGCCGAGATTGTGCCACAGTACTCCAGCCTGGGTGACACAGCGAGACTCTGTCTCAAAAAAAAAAAAAAAAAAAAAGAAGAAGCTGGGGAGGCCCATCTCTCTGCCTCCATTTCCCCCTCAACCATTGTCTTATCCTGCCTCCTAGGAAGTATTGAATGTCTTTCCATCCAGGTCACCTGAGCCCTGAAATACCTGTAGGTTCCCAGGCTGGGACCTTGCTGTGGTAGGGAAACAAGTCCCCACCTTGGCTGGATTTTGGGGGAGGTGGGGAGGGCAGTGCCTGCCACCCCAGCTTTGGGCTTCAAGGCTCAGAAACCTGAGTTACCTTTTTTTTTTTGAGACGGAATCTCGCTCTGTCGCCCAGGCTGGAGTGCAGTGGAGCCATCTCGCCTCACTGCAAGCTCCTCCTCCCAGGTTCACGCCATTCTCCTGCCTCAGCCTCCCGAGTAGCTGGGACTACAGGCTCCTGCCACCACGCTCGGCTAATTTTTTGTATTTTTAGTAGAGAAGGCGTTTCACCACGTTGCCCAGGCTGGTCTGGAACTCCTGGTCTCATGTGATCTGCCCACCTCGGCCTCCCAAAGTGCTGGGATTACAGGTGTGAGCCACCACGCCCGGCCCTGAGTTACAATTGCACCAGGAGCCACTGGGGCCTGCCACCCTGCAGCTGGGGGAGACAGGGCTGAGCCGCCCAGACAGGCCAGCTCTTAAATAAACAATCAGGGAGGTAGGAAGAGAAGGGCAGGGCTGTTCTCCAGTTCCCCAGGCTGGAATGTGCAACGCTCCTGACATCTCCTCCTTTCCTTCCTGTTTCTTTCTCTTTTTTATTTTTAATTTAATTTACTTTTTAATTTTTTTAATTTTTATTTTATTTTATTTATTTATTTTTGAGACGACATTTCGCTCTTGTCACCCAGGCTGGCGTGCAATGGTGTGATCTTGGCTCACTGCATCCTCCACCTCCCGGGTTCAAGTGATTCTCCTGCCTCAGCCTCCTGAGTATCTGGGATTACAGGCGCCCACCACCACATCCGGCTAATTTTTTGTATTTTTAGTAGAGATGAGGTTTCGCCGTCTTGGCCAGGCTAGTCTCAAACTCCTGACCTTAGGTGATCCACCCACCTCCGCCTCCCAAAGTGCTGGGATTAAGGCATGAGCCACTGAGCCCAGCCTTTTTTTTTTTTTTTTTTTGAGATGGAGTCACTTGAACCCACTTCCTGGGTTCAAATGATCCTTCAGCCTCAGCCTCTGGAGTAGCTGGGATTACAGAGGTGAGCCAGTGCTCCCGGTCCTCCTTCCTATTTCTGAAAGCAAAGCATCAACCCACATTCCTGAAGACCCTTCTGTGTGCCTGGCCCCAGGCAGGGCCGTGCTTGGGACACAGTGGAGGTGGAGACAGCCAACCCCCACCCTCAGTCCAATGGAGGTGGCAAACCGTGGTCCCCAGACTTTGACCACTCAGGGTGGCCAGGGCTGGGATTAGGAGTCCAGGGGCCTGGGGGAAGCCTGGGGAGACACGTGACCCAGACTGGTGGACTCAGCAGATTCCTGAGTGGAAATGTGAAGATTCTGGAGAAATGAAGAGAAAAATGTGCGAGGAGGCCGGGCGCGGTGGCTCACGCCTGTAATCCCAGCACTTTGGGAGGCCGAGGCGGGTGGATCACGAGGTTGGGAGATCGAGACCATCCTGACTAACACGGTGAAAACCCATCTCTACTAAAAGTACAAAAATAAAATTAGCCGGGCATGGTGGCGGGCGCCTGTAATCCCAGCTATTCAGGAGGCTGAGGCAGGAGAATCGCTTGAACTTGGCAGGCGGAGCTTGCAGTGAGCCGAGATCGCGCCCCTGTACTCCAGCCTGGGCGACAGAGCAAGACTCCCTCTCAAAAAAAAAAAAAAATGTGTGAGGAAAGGAGTGACGTGGTGAGACTCATGGACCACAGAAGGCTTGGCACACCAGTGTTTCTCAAGTAATTTTGAACTAGAGACACCTGATCCACAACAGGATGTATACATTTCATGTATTTATTTTATGATTATTTATTTTATCTATTTATTTATTTATTTATTTGAGACAGAGTCTCGTTCTGTCGCCCAGACTAGAGTACAGTGGTGTGATCTCAGCTCACTGCAACCTCCGCCTCGCGGGTTCAAGTGATTCTCCTGCTTCAGCCTCCCGAGTAGCTGGGATTTCAGGGGACTGCCACCACACTCGGCTAATTTTTGTATTCATAGTAGAAATGGGGTTTCACCATGTTGGCCAGGCTGGTCTCGAACTCTTGACCTCAAGTGATCTGCCAGCTTTGGCCTCCCAAAGTGCTGGGATTACAGGTGTGAACCACCGTGCCTAGCATATTTATTTTATTTTTAGAGATGGGGTCTCGCTCTGTTGCCCAGGCTGGAATGCAGTGGTGAGATCACTGCAGCCTCCAATTTCTGAGCTCAAGGAATTTAATTTAGAGATGGGGACTTGCTGTGTTGCCCAGGCTGGTCTGAACTCCTAGGCTCAAGGAGTCTTCCCACCTCAGCCTCTCACTAGCAGGGACTTGGGTGCAAGCTACCACACCCTAGCTAGATGTATATTTTACCTGGAATGCAGTATGTGTGCAAATATGTATATAAATTAAGCAAAAATTTCACAAAATAATAATTACTTTTACAATGCACTCTGGTGTGTGTGTGTGTTAAGACTGAAGTTCAGTGGCACAATCGTACCTCACTGCAGCCTCGATCTCCTGGGCTCAGGTGATCCTCCTGCCCCTGCCTCCTGAGTAGGTAGGATTATAGTTGCATGCCACCACACCTATCTATTTTTTTAATGTTTTTGTAGACATGGGGTCTCACTACACTGCCCAGGCTAGAGTGCAGTGGCCCAATCATAGCTCATTGCAGCCTTGATCTCCTGGGTTCAAGCAATCCTCCTGCCTCAGCCTCCCAAGTAGCTAGGTTTTCTTGTCTTTTCAGCCTTTCATATTGAACCCATTGTTTTCTTTGGCCCTACTATACTCACTTCCTAGTGAATCTCCAACCAGTCCCATGAATTTACATACCCTGTATCCATGCATGGCTCCTGTGGTTGGCTGCCTAATAAACCTCAAAGATATCCTGGTCCCTAGAACCTGTGAATATTACTTTAAATGACAACAGAGACTTGGCAGATGTGAGTCAATAAAAGATCTTGAGATGGAGAGATGATCCTGGCCTAACTGGGTGGGCCGTAAATTAATCCCGAGTGCCCTTATAAGAGAGGGGCAGAAGGATATTTGACATAGAAGAGAATGAAGGCAGTGGGATGATGGAAGCAGAGAGATTTGAAGATTCTATGCTGCTGGTTTTGAAGATGGAGGAAAAGGCCATGAGCCGAGGAACACAGATGACCTCGAGAAGCTGGAGAAGGCAAGGATGTAGATTCTCCTCTAGAGCCTCCTAACAGAGCGTGGCCCTGCTAACGCTTTGGTTTCAGCCCAGTGAAACCATTTCGAACTTCACTCTCTGGATTTTTTTTTTTTTTTTTAAGAGAGGGTATTGCTCTGTCACCCAGGCTGGAGTGCCATGATGTGATCTTGGCTCACTGCAGCCTCTGCCTCCTGGGCTCAAATGATCCTCCTGCTTCAGACTCCCAATTAGGTGGGACTACAAGCATGAGCCACCATGCCTGGCTAAGTTTCGCATTTTTGTAGAGACAGGGTTTTGCTATGTTGTCCAGGCTGGAATCTCTGGACTTTTCAGAGAATAAACCCATGTAATTTTAAGCCTCCCACAACCTCCTGGGGTATTTATTAAATGCAGATTCTAGCAGTCCAGGAATCTTTTTTTTTTTTTTTTTTTTTAACAGGATCTTGCTCTGTCACTTAGGCTGGAGTGCTGGAGTGCAGTGGCATGATCTTGACTCACTGCAATCTCTGCCTCCTGTGTTCAAGCAATTCTCCTGCCTCAGTCTCCCAAATAGCTGGGATTATAGGCATGCACCACCACAGCCTGAGTAATTTTTGTATTTTTAGTAGAGATGGGGTTTCACCATATTGGCCAGGCTGGTCTTGAACTCCTGACCTCAGGTGATCCACCTGCCTTGGCCTCCCAAAGTGCTGGGATTACAGGGATGAGGCACTGTGCCTGGCCTGCTTTTTTTTCTTATGTGAAAGGAAAATAAATCTTGGGTCTGTCCCCAAAATCGCTAAGCCAAGGGAAAAGTTAAGCTGGGAACTATGTCAGACAAATCTGCCTCCCATTTTATCCCTAAATAAGATAGCTACAAAGATTAAAAAAAAAAAAAAGCTACATATCTCCCTCACAATTTGCCCACAAGGAAATTCCTTGTGAGCCTCAAGATTTTTACCCTAAAACAGTTCTGTTGAATTTCACCCTGGTCACATAAACTGATAGCTCGTCTTCACAGGTAGAAAGTCATCCCTCTGCTCATTTAAGACTAATGCATATCTGATTGCTTCCTCTGTCCTACTGTTTTTATTTATTTATTTATTTATTTATTTATTTATTTATTTATTTGAGAGGGAGTCTCGCTCTGTCGCCCAGGCTGGAGTGCAGTGGCGCGATCTCAGCTCACTGCAAGCTCCTCCTCCTGGGTTCACGCCATTCTCCTGCCTCAGCTTCCCGAGTAGCTGGGACTTCAGACGCCCGCCACCACGCCTGGCTAATTTTTTGTATTTTTAGTAGAGACGGGGTTTCACCGTGTTAGCCAGGATGGTCTCGATCTCCTGGCCTCGTGATCCGCCCGCCTTGGACTCCCAAAGTGCTGGGATTACAGGCGTGAGCCACCGCTCCCGGCCCCTACAAAAAAATTTAAGAAATTAGCCAGGCATGTTTGCGTGTGCCTATAGTCCTAGCTACTCAGGAGGCTGAAGCAGGAGGATAGCCTGAACCCAGGAGTTTGAGGCTGCAGTGAGCTATGATTGCGCCACTGAACTCCTGGCTGGGCGAGAGAGCAAAACTGTTTCAAGAAAAGAAAAGAAAAGAGAAAAAAGACAAGACAATACAAGACAAGACCTAAAGCCATTTCCTAGGTGGCAAACTGAGGCCAGAAAGGGCCTCTCTGCTCTGTGGGATCCAGCCTCTTCCTGGTCTCTCTCACCCCCTTCCTGGAGCCCCAGGCCTTTTTTTTTTTTTTTTTTTTTTTTTTTTCCAATGATGAAATCAGAATCTGGGTAGGAGGTTTGGCTTAGGGGGAGGAAAGCCGGCTGAGACCAGCTGGTATATTTTCCTCTCTAAGAAGCGGGAGGGCAGGGTGTGAGGCGTTCCAGGCAACATCATCCAAACCCTCAAACCATGCCCTCTTGGCTTAGACCCACCCCACATTCCCTGAAGGGTCTAGGATTCTGGGGTCTCCTGAGTCCTGGAGCCTCCTCCCTCCAACATCCCCCTGTCTGGCACCTCTAGCCCTAGAGTGGGTGGGCAGTGACTAGGCTGAGCCTGGCCTGTGCTCAAGTTGCCCAACTGGCCTGGGCCTCTTGTCCAAACCCTGGGGCGCTGATTACCTGGAGGGCTGCCAGAGCTTCCACACCGCAGCCCGGTCACCAGCTGCTGGGTCCCTCAGGGGCCTCTCAGGCCTCCCTTTGTCCAGTGGTCCCTGGGTCCTCAGGGGAAAAGCTCCCAGCTTGTGAATCTGTGCCCGGGGTATGCACTGGAAGCGATCTCTTTTCTTTTCTCTTTTATTTTATTTTTCGGAGATGGGGTCTCACTCTGTCTCCCACGCTGGAGTGCAGTGGCACGATCTCAGCTCACTGCAACATCCACCTCCTAGGCTCAGGCGATCTTCTCACTACAGCCTCCAGAATAGGTGGGACTACGGGCCTGCGTCACCACGCCCGGCTAATTTTTGTATATTTGGGGGTAGAGACGGGGTTTTGTCATGTTACCCAGGCTGGTCTCGAACTCCTGGACTTGAACTATCCACCTGTCTTGACCTCCCAACGTGGTGGGATTACAGGTGTGAGCTACCGCACTCAGCCTAGAAGAAATCTTTCTTTCTTTTCCGTTCTTTATAATATTTATCTGCAAAAAGTCGTCATAACTTAAAATACCATGGGGTTGTGATTTGCCGGGCACCAACCAAAGCACTCCATACACATGAACTCTGCTCACCCCTCCGTGATCTCCAAGGCAGAAGCTACAGTGATCCCCACTGCACAGCCCGGCAAACTGAGACAGGAGAGTTGAATGATTTGCCCAAGATCTTTCAGCTGCTAAGTGAGATCCAAGGTCAAGATGACAGATTTCAGGGTCCCGGCACCGAACTGTAAAGCCACAGCTTTCCTTCCTGAAAGCAAATCCTTTTAGCAGTTTCTGCAAATTCTTGAATAGTCAATGCATTTAAAAGAGATGCTGTTGGCTGGGCGCGGTGGCTCACACCTGTAATCCCAGCACTTTGGGAGGCTGAGGTGGGTGGATCACCTGAGGTCAGGAGTTTGTGACCAGCCTGACCAACATGGTGAAACCCCATCTCTACTAAAAATACAAAAAAAATTAGCTGGGTCTGGTGGCGGGTGCCTGTAATCCCAGCTACTCTTGAGGCTGAGGCAGGAAAATCACTTGAACCCAGGAGGTGGAGGTTGCAGTGAGGCAAGATTGTGCCATTGCACTCCAGCCTGGGCGACAGAGTGAGACTCTGTCTCAAAAAAATAAATAAATAGAAATAAAAAATTTGCTGGGTGCAGTGGCTCACGCCTGTAATCCCAGCACTTTGGGTGGCTGAGGTGGGCAGATCACAAGGTCAGGAGATCGAGACCATCCTGGCCAACACGGTGAAACCCCGTCTCTACTAAAAATACAAAAATTAGCCGGATATGGTGGCACACGCCTGTAGTCCCAGCTACTTGGGAGGCTGAGGCAGGAGAATCGCTTGAACCTGGGAGACAGAGGTTGCAGTGAGCTGAGATCACGCCATTGCACTCCAGCCTGGGTGACAGGGTGAGACTCTGTCTCAAAAATAAATAAATAAATAAAATAAAATAAAAATAAAAGATTAAAAAAATTAAAAAATAAAACAGATGCTGTGTTCATTTGCTTTTCCCCATTCTATACACACTTTCTCGCACCTTGATTTTCCCCTTTCTATTTTTTTTTTTTTTTTGAGACAGGGTGTCCCTCTGTCACCCAGGCTGGAGTGCAGTGGTGCAATCTCTGCTCACTGCAGCCTCAACCTCCCAGTCTCAAGTGATCCTCCCACCTCATCCTCCTGAGTAGCTGGGACCACAGACGTGCATCACCACGCCCGGTTAATTTTTGTATTCTTTCATAGAGATGAGCTTTCGAAATGTTGCCCAGGCTGGTCTCAAACTCTTTTTTTTTTTTTTTTTTTTTTTTTTTTGAGATGGAGCCTCACTCTGTCGTCTAGGCTGGAGTGCAGTGGTGCAATACCGTCCTCTGGGTTCAAGTGATTCTCTTGCCTCAGCCTCCTGAGTAGCTGGGATTACAGGTACCCACCACCATGCCCAGCTAATTTTTGTGTTTTTAGTGGAGGTGGGGTTTCACCATGTTGGCCAGGCTGGTCTTGAACTCCTGACCTCAAATGATCCACCCACCTCGGCCTCCCAAAGTGCTGGGATTACAGGCATGAGCCATTGTGCCTAGCCTCGAACTCTTGAGCTTAAGCGATCCTCCTGCCTCAGCTTCCCAGGTTGCTGGGATTACAAGTGTGTGCGCCACTGTGCCTGGCCTCCCTCTATACTTTTGTGACCACCTAATTTTTATTTTTTTAGAGACAAGGTCTCACTGTGTTCCCTAGGCTGGAGTGCAGCAGTGGCACGATCACAGCTCACTATAACCTTGAACTCCAGAGCTCAAGTGATCCTCCTGCCTTGGCCTCCAAAAGTGTTCGAATTATAGTTGTGAACCACTGATCCCAGCCTGATTTATTATTGCAATTTACCCTTCATTCATCTAATTCCTCACTTTTCCTAATGCATGCATACATACATATATATTTCCCTCCACAGCACTTTCTGCTTTGTGACAATAAGTTACAAGCCAGATAACCCACTTAGCCTACATGCATATTATGTTTAGTATTTATTGACCGTGTCCTGCTGCTAGAATATCAGTGCTAGCAGAGAAGGGATTTTCATCTGTTTTGCTCGTGTTTTTCTCATCTGTTTTTCTTTGCCTTTTTTTCTTTTCATGCTTTGTCGCCCAGGCTGGAGTGCAGTGGTGCAATCTTGGTTCACTGCAACCTCTGCCTCTTAGGTTCAAGTGATTCTCCTGTCTCAGCCACTCGAGTAGCTGGGATTACGGGTAGGTAGCACCACGCCCCGCTAATTTTTGTATTTTTAGTTGAGATGAGGTTTCACCATGTTGGCCAGGCTGGTTTTGAATTCCTGGCCTTGAGAGATCCACCCACCTCAACCTTCCAAAGTGCTGGGATTCCAGGAGTGAGCCACTGCTCCCGGCTCCTCATCTGTTTTTCTCAGTGTTTGATAAATATTGGCCAGATGAGTCATCACAACGATCCCATGTCAGCTCATGGGCATCCGTCTCCTTCTATTTGATGTCTCTCAGTCTTCTATTCTGTGGATGTGGTTTGTTGAATGAATGAATAAATGAATCACCAAGCGGACAGATGCCTAGCTGAAGAGTGGTTTTCATCCTGAGGGAGGCCACTGGGGCTGTTCAGAGAGTAGGGGTGGCCCAGTTAGATCTGTGCTTTGAAATATTCCAGACTCTTCTGAAGTCTGGGATTTTTTTTTTTTTTTTTTTTTTAGACAGAGTCTTGCTTTATTGCCCAGGCTGGAGTGCAGTGGTGCAATCTTGGCTCACCGTAACCTCTGCCTTCTGGGTTCAAGTGATTCTCCTGCCTCAGCCTCCAGAATAGCTGGGATTACAGGCGTGTGCCATTAGTCCTGGCTATTTTTTTTACTTTTTATTTTCAGAAGAGACAGGGTTTTGCCATGTTGGCCAGGCTGGTCTGGAATTCCTGGTCTCCAGCAATCTACCCGCATTAGTCTCCCAAAGTGCTGGGATTACAGGCGTGAGCCACCATGCCTGGCCAGAAGTCTGGGATTTTGCATGTGCTATTCTCTTTGTCTGGAATATTCTTTCCCTGGGATTGGTCCAACTCCTTCATATCCCAGCTCCGATGCCTCCTCCTCCAGGAAGCTCTCCCTGACCCCCAAGCCTGGTCAAGCATCCCTTCTGGGCTCCCCCATCCCAGCCCTGCCCACTCTGTATCATCACTATCTGTGTCCCCCCCTGAACTTTGAGTCCCAGCAGAACGGGGCCAGAACTGTCTTGTTCGCCACTGGGTCCCTGGTATCACCCATCGCAGGACCCAACACTGGGCTCAGAATACATGACTGTCCCTTGAAGGAAATGTCTAGTTGGAGACAGCCGAGTGCAGGGGTAGCCAGGGTGTCTGATAGGAGATGCAGACAAGGATCAGAAACATCTGAGTTCAGATTTCTTGCTTATGCCTGGGGTTTGGGCCACAGCAAGCCTCATTACCCTTATCTGCTTCCAAATCAGGAAAATGGGAGTGTGAGCTGGTCTCCTGGATTAGTGGGGATAAAACCATGTCTGTGAGCACTGCTAACAGAGATGGAAACCTCTCTGTTGCCTCAGGGCTTCACACGCGTCCTTTGAATGTTTCCACATTATGCCATGGGCTCCTTCTTATCTTTCAGATCTCAGTGCAGATGTCACTTCCTTCCAGTGGCTGAACTGTTCACTCTGTCACTCATAGGATGCTTTTGCTTTCTCCCAACGCTTAGTTCCAGCTGACAGCCCAAGTTTATTGTCTTGTCTCTTCCGCACTAGAATGCACGCTCTAGCAGCCAAGGATTTTGTGTGTGTGTGTGTGTGTGTGTGTGTGTGTGTGATACAGAGTCTGGCTCTGTTGCCCAGGCTGGAGTGCAATGGTGAGATCTCAGCTCACTGCAACTTCTGCCTCCCAGGTTCAAGCGATTCTCCTGCCTCAGCCTCCCGAGTATCTGGGATTACAGGCGTGGACCACCACACCCGGCTAATTTTTTAGTATTTTTAGTAGAGATGGGGTTTCACCATGTCGGCCAGGCTGGTTTTGAACTCCTGACCTCAAGTGATCCGCCCGCCTCGGCCTCCCAAACTGCTGGGATTACAGGTGTAAGCCACTGCACCCGGCCAAGCCCAAGTTTATTGTCTTGTCTCTCTGCACTAGAATGCAAGCTCTAGCAGCCAAGGAATTTTTTGTTTTTTTGTTTTTTTTTTTGATACAGAGTCTCACTCTGTTGCCCAGGCTGGAGTGCAGTGGTGTGATCTCCGCTCACTGCAACCTCTGACGCCTGGGTTCAAGCAGTTCTCCTGCCTCAGCCTCCCAAGTAGCTGGGACTACAGCCGCCCGCCACCACGCCCAACTAATTTTTGTATTTTTAGTAGAGACAGGGTTTCACCATATTGGCCAGGATGGTCTCCATCTCCTGACCTCATGATCTGCCCACTTAGGCCTCCCAAAGTGCTGGGATTACAGGCATGAGACACTGTGCCTGGCCTATTTTCATGTTTTTGTATTTTTAGTAGAGATGGGGTTTCACCATGTTGGCCAGGCTGGTCTTGAACTCCTGACCTCAAGTGATCCACCTGCCTTGGCCTCCCATAGTGATGGGATTACAGGCGTGAGCCACCGCTCCCAGCCTAAATCTTTTTTCCCTTTAGACTGAGTCTTGCTCTGTCACCTAAGCTGGAGTGCAGTGGTGAGATTACAGCTCACTGTAGCCTTGACCTCCTGGCTCAAGCGATCCTCCCGCCTCACCCTCCTAAGTAGCTGGGACTATTGGCGCATACCACCACACTCAGCTTATTTTTTAATTTTTTTGTAGAGACGGAGTCTCGCCATGTTGCCCAGGCTGGTCTCAAATTCCTGGGCTCAAGTGAGCCTCCCACCTTGGCCTCCCAAAGTGCTGGGATTAAGGGTGTAAGCCACTGTGAAATTTTTTTTTTTTTTTTTTTTGAGACGGAGTCTCGCTCTGTCGCCCAGGCTGGAGTGCAGTGGCGTGATCTCGGCTCACTGCAAGCTCCGCCTCCCGGGTTCACACCATTCTCCTGCCTCAGCCTCCCGAGTAGCTGGGACTACAGGCGCCCGCCATCATGCCTGGCTGATTTTTTGTATTTTTAGTAGAGACGGGGTTTCACCGTGTTAGCCAGGATGGTCTCGATCTCCTGACCTTGTGATCCACCCGCCTCGGCCTCCCAAAGTGCTGGGATTACAGGCGTGAGCCACCATGCCCGGCCGAAAAATTTTTTAAAATATTTATTTATTTATTTTGAGACGGAGTCTCACTCTGTCACTAGGCTGGAGTGCAGAGGTGTGATCTTGGCTCACTGCAACCTCCACCTCCCGGGTTCAAGCGATTCTCCTGCCTCAGCCTCCTGAGTAGCTGGGACTACAAGTGCATGCCACCATGCCCAACTAATTTTTGTATTTTTAGTAGAGACAGAGTTTCACCATATTGGCCAGGATGGTCTCGATCTCCTGACCTCATGATCTGCCCACTCTGGCCTCCCAAAGTGCTGAGATTACAGACATGAGCCACCATGCCTGGCCTATTTTCATGTTTTTAAAGATAAGGTCTCACTATGTTGCCCCGGATGGAGTCTAGTGGCTAAATGTGGGCACGATCATAGCTCACTGCAGCCTTGAACTCCTGGCCTCAAGGGATCCTCCTGCTTTAGCCTCCCAAATACCTGGGACTACAGGTGCATGCCACTGAATCCAGCTTGTTCTTCAGTAATAATAACAATAACAGCAATCGCAGCAGTAGTATTTGACTTTCTTCTGAAGGGCATTTTTGTTAGAAACAAAAGAAGAGAGAAAGAACAAAAAATTTTAAAGCACAAATAAATAACTTTTTTTTTTTTGAGGTGGAGTCTCACTCTGTCACCCAGGCTGGAGTGCAGTGGTGAGATCTCGGCTCTTCGCAACCTCTGCCTCCTGGATTCAAGCAATTCTTCTGCCTCAGCCTCCTGAGTAGCTGGGATTACAGGCATGTGCCACCACACCCAGCTAATTTTTGCATTTTCAGCAGAGACAGGGTTTTGCCATGTTGGCCAGGCTCGTCTGGAACTCCTGACCTCAAGTGATCTGCCCGCATCAACTCCCAAAGTGGTGGGATAACAGGCGTGAGCCACTGCGCCCGGCCGTATTATCTCATTTGAACCCTTGCAACACTCAAGGCGGTATGACTTATTATTATTCCCATTTACACATATGAAGACTGAGCCTCATAGAGGTTGTAAATTACCTGAGGCCTCACAGCTGCTGTAGGAGGAAGCTTCTGACATTACCACTACAATCTTTGAGCAAGCATGAAAGCCTGAAATGTCACAGAACAGGCTAGAGATGGGAAAGGAATGAGGATTTCAACACTGTCAGGTGGAGTAAGGAATCATAATTCATTGTTAACCTCCCAAACGGCCACTAACAGAGAATTTGGGGAGGCAGCAGAGTGGGTGCGGTTAGGGGCTTGGGAGGTGGGCATGCACGTGTCATCCTCTCTAGGTGTGGCCTCAAGGTGAATGACTTCCTCTGCCTCTGGGGTTCAAGCGATTCTCCTGCCTCAGGCTTCCAGTAGCTGGGATTACAGGCACGTGCCACCACACCAGGTAATTTTTGTATTTTTAGTAGAGACGGGTTTCACCATGTTGGCCAGGCTGGTCTCGACCTCCTGACCTCAAGTGATCCGCCCGCTTCACCTCCCAAAGTGGTGGGATTACAGGCTTGAGCCACGGCTCCCTAAATAAATACATCAATTTTATTTAAATCTTACAGCAATCATATGAGACAAAAGCTTTTAACACCTGCACTTTATATTCGAGGAATTAAAGTTCTCAGAGGCGACTAAAGACCAAACTCAGGGCTGAGGAGTTCCAAAGCTGAGTTGAGTTGCAAATGAATCACCGAGGACCACCGGAGCTTTCTAGCGACCCTCGCACCAGGGAACGAACCCCTGTGGTTTAAGGGCTCCAACCCACAACCCAGTTCCTTTGGCGGGAAACAGCACCCTCCCAAGGCCCCGCCCCTTCCTGGCCCCGCCCCGTCGTCTCTGGGCCCGGCTCCTGGAGATGGGTATTATTAATCTGCCTTCTATGGGGGACCTGGCCCATCTCGGGTATCAGCCCCGCCCCTACTCGTCCAGTCTCCGAACGCTCTGCAGCCAATCGGCGCCCGAGGGTCGGTCCCCGCCTTCTCAAGCCCCGCCCCCTACCCTTATCCCTGGCAGCTTCCGCTAAACGGGCTCAGAGCCACGCGGCACGCCCGGGAGGCTTTCTCTGGCTGGTAACCGCTACTCCCGGACACCAGACCACCGCCTTCCGTACACAGGGGCCCGCATCCCACCCTCCCGGACCTAAGAGCCTGGGTCCCCTGTTTCCGGAGGTCCGCTTCCCGGCCCCCAGATTCTGGCATCCCAGCCCTCAGTGTCCAAGACCCAGGCAGCCCGGGTCCCCGCCTCCCGGATCCAGGCGTCCGGGATCTGCGCCACCAGAACCTAGCCTCCTGCAGACCTCCGCCATCTGGGGGCACTCAACCTCCTGGAGCCAAGGGCCCCACGTCCCACCCAGAGAAACTCTCGTATTCCCAGCTCCTAGGGCCAAGGAACCCGGGCGCTCCGAACTCCCAGCTTTCGGACATCTGGCACACGGGGCAGAGCAGAGAAGCCTCAGCGCCCAGCCTGGGGAATTTAAACACTCCAGCTTCCAAGAGCCAAGGAACTTCAGTGCTGTGAACTCACAACTCTAAGGAGCCCTCCAAAGTTCCAGTCTCCAGGTGCTGTTACTCAACTCAGTCCTAGGAACGTCGGGTCCTGGGAAGGAGCCCAAGCGCTCCCAGCCAGCTTCCAGGCGCTAAGAAACCCCGGTGCTTCCCATCATGGTGGCCGATCCTCCTCGAGACTCCAAGGGGCTCGCAGCGGCGGAGCCCACCGCCAACGGGGGCCTGGCGCTGGCCTCCATCGAGGACCAAGGCGCGGCAGCAGGCGGCTACTGCGGTTCCCGGGACCAGGTGCGCCGCTGCCTTCGAGCCAACCTGCTTGTGCTGCTGACAGTGGTGGCCGTGGTGGCCGGCGTGGCGCTGGGACTGGGGGTGTCGGGGGCCGGGGGTGCGCTGGCGTTGGGCCCGGAGCGCTTGAGCGCCTTCGTCTTCCCGGGCGAGCTGCTGCTGCGTCTGCTGCGGATGATCATCTTGCCGCTGGTGGTGTGCAGCTTGATCGGCGGCGCCGCCAGCCTGGACCCCGGCGCGCTCGGCCGTCTGGGCGCCTGGGCGCTGCTCTTTTTCCTGGTCACCACGCTGCTGGCGTCGGCGCTCGGAGTGGGCTTGGCGCTGGCTCTGCAGCCGGGCGCCGCCTCCGCCGCCATCAACGCCTCCGTGGGAGCCGCGGGCAGTGCCGAAAATGCCCCCAGCAAGGAGGTGCTCGATTCGTTCCTGGATCTTGCGAGGTCAGCTCCCGCTCCCCCGGGAGGTGGGGAAGAGTGTTACGGATGGCGGGAGTGGTCACGTGGACAGGACGGGGCTTTGGGGCCCCTGGAGCAGAGACTTCCCTCTAGAGTCTTAGGAAAACTCGACAGGATATTGAGGGGAGGCTCCAGCCCTCGGGAGTGTGAGTCTAGTCTCCTGGGGAAGGGGTTTCTAAATCTGGGGGCCTGGGTACATAAGTGGGGTCTTATAGAGGGAGAAGAAAGTGATTTGGGGAGACATAGGAGGGTCTGCCTAGGGGAGAAAGACACTGAGGGGAGGGGACCCCAGGAGGAACTTTTGCGGGGGGAATCTTTGCGTGGTCAAGGGCCCCAAGATGGGGCTTCTAGATATAATTTGGGGCCAGGGTTGGAGAGTTTGGGTAAGGAGCCCCTGGAGGATCTGAGATCTGAGTAACTCCCACCAGGCCCTCTTCCCAGCCCTGGGGCACCCCCACACCACGTGTCACTCGGACATAACCAGGCTCTGTTTTTGGCCTCCGCTTCCCGCCCATTTCAGCTGGGGTCTGGCCGCTTCCCCTTTATCTTTTAGATCAGCCCTGCCACCCCTGCCTTTCCCTCCCGTTTCCTCCTCTGTCTGGGCCACCCCCTAGCAGGCAGCCCAGAAGAGGACCAGTTAGAAAGGGGAGCAGATTCTTTTCCTTCTCCTGGCCTCTGCCCCGCGCCCCCAAGAATGGCCTCCCCCACTTTGAGGAGGGCGGGGGGCAGAGGCCCCCTTGCGCTTGCCTTTAGGGCTTGCTCATTCAGTGTCTCCACGTTGGGGACTTCCTGGAAGTTGGGGGAAGGAAATGATGAGTCACGGAACAGGGTTCTCCAGCCTCTGGGGCGTCAGTGCAGGCTGAGATGCGAGACTGGGGCAGGCTTGGTGTCCCGAGTTGAAGCCTGGGAGCACCTTCTGGCTGGGGGAGATTAGCTGGGTCCTGGCCCAGCCTGGGCCTGGGTGGTACAGGCGGACCTTCAGGCAGGCACACCCACTCCGAGGCTGTTTATGAGCACAGGCCTCCCCTGCGTGCCAAAACAGCTGTAGCTCACACTTGGCCTGCCACACAGGCTTATAACCAAATGACATACAGCTGGACACATTCACGCAGACACTCAGCTGAGGCTGTAGCATCTCGACAAACACATGGCCAGATACCAGCGGTCATACACACGCTCACTGTGTACTAAGACCCCTGTAGCACAGCCATTCAGTGATGCCACCAGCCACGCCAACATCTAAACACAGGCTCAAGAGCACACAATACACACTCACATACACACCTATGTGGTCACACACCAATAAACTCATGCTTTTTTTTTTTTTTTTTGAGACAGTCTCTGTTGCTCAGGCTGGAGTGCAGTGGTGCGATCTTGGCTCATTGCAACCTCTACCTCCTGGATTTAAGTGATTCTCGTGCCTCAGCCTTCCGTGTGCCACCACGCCTGGATAATTTTTGTGTTTTTAGTAGAGACGGGGTTTTGCCATGTTGGCCAGGCTGGTCTCGAACCCCTGACCTCAAGTTATCTGCCCACCTCAGCCTCCCAAAAGGCTGGAATTACTGGCGTGAGCCACCGCACCCGGCCAAACTCATTCCTCTACCATGACGTTATTTTACTGTACCGTGATGCATGGGTGGCCATCCATGGACACTGTCCCATACTACTGAACCTTAACCTGCACCCAAACTATTAACATTTGACAGATTGTATATGGGCACATGGCGTTGGCTGTACACCAGTCATTGGTGAGAGGGAGCATGTGGAGTGCTTGGGGCTATGGAGCCAGCTGGCTGGGTTCAAATCCCAGCTCTGCTATTTCCCAGCTGGGCAATTTTCTTTACCCTTCTGGGCCTCAGCTTCCTTTTCTGTAAAATGGGGTAATAGTGATTATCCCCAAGGCTGTCGTGAGGATGAAATGGGTTAATTTGTGTCAAGCACAGGCCAAAATGCCTGCCTGCCACACGGTAGGTGCTGTAGATGGCTTAGCTGCTATATATATTTTTTGAGAGAGTCTCACTCGGTCCCAGGCTGGAATGCAGTGGCTTGATCTTGGTTCACTGCAGCCTCAACCTCCTCGGGCTTGAGTGATCCTCCCACCTCAGCCTCCAGAGTAGCTGGAACTACAGGCACATGCCACCATGCCTGGCTAATTTTTGTATTTTTTGTAGAGACACGGTTTCGTCATGTTGCCCAGGTTGGTCTTCAACTCCTGGCTCAAGCGATCTGTCTGCCTTGGCCTCCCAAAGTGCTGGGATTCCAGGCAAGAGCCATGGCGCCTTGGCCTTAGCTACTATTTTCATCTTAAGGCAGACACTGTCACACAAGAGTAAGGGTAGCCTTGTAAACACAGATGCATATTCATGAGATATGAAGCCGTCCCTTTTCTCCCTCCCCGCCACCGCCTCCCAACACACCCAGATCCTCCCCCATACTCTCAGAGCCGCTGGCAGGCCCTCCAGGAGGAAGTGGCTGATGCAAGCTGTCCAGGGTATTAAGTTTGCTGCATGGGGTGGAGCTGAGGCCCGGGGCGACCTGCCCTGGCCTGCCGTGGGAGGCCAGCATTCCTCACCCCGAACCCACAATGCCTCAGGGCTAGCACGCCAGCCTCTTGGGGCTGAAGGAGGCTGACTCCCCAAGTCCTGCAAAGGGGTGCAAGCCTAGTTCCAACCCTGCCGGGCTGAGGCATGAGTAGGGGCTGTATTTGCGTGCAGGCGGGCCCCCAAAGCTTCCACTCGCTGCCTTAAAACGCCAACCCAGCCTCTCAGACAATGCTGCCCTCCCACTATGGTATCTAATAACCCTCTGTGTGTCTGTCTCTGCAGAAATATCTTCCCTTCCAACCTGGTGTCAGCAGCCTTTCGCTCAGTGAGTCCTCAGGGGTGTCCTGAGGGGATGGGGGTGGACAGGGAGGGATGCCAGCCAGGGGGAGCCCTTGCTACCTGATTTTGGTTAGTTCCTGGAAAAATGCATGTCAATGAGAATACGGGCTCAGAGCCTCCTGTGAGTTTTAATTCTAGCTGTGTGACTCTGGGTAAATGTGTTTACCTCTCTGAGCCTCGGTTTTCCACCTCTGGAAAATGGGGGTATTGATCATCCTGCCCCATGGGGTTGCCAGCAGATGAAATGAGATCACATTGAAAGGATGTGGAAGGGCAGGCTTTGAGCATTGTTAGCTTGGCATGGGGTTGGGAGGCCCTGGTAACGATGGACACTGACTCTTCCCAACCCCACCTACAGTACTCTACCACCTATGAAGAGAGGAATATCACCGGAACCAGGGTGAAGGTGAGAGCAGTGGGAGGCAGCGGGGGCTCTACCTCTTTGCCTATTGCTATAATTTTTTGGTTTTATTTCTGCCTTAGTCTTTGCTGTGGAATTTGATTGACACTCTGCAGTCCTTCCCCAATTTCTGTCTTTTCTGCCTTCTGGATAGGTCTCTACTTTGTCCCCTCTTTTCCCACCCCAGGTGCCCAGGCTCTTCCTTTCTCCCTCACCCCCCAACCCCATTCCATGCTGCCCTCTCCCTGCCCCCTTCCATCCACCCTCAACCTGCTCAAACTGGCAGCCAGCCAGAGGTTTTTGTTGTTGTTTTTCTGACACAGGATCTCTCTCCATCATTCAGGCTGGAGTACGGTGGCACGATCACAGCTCACTGCAGTCTCCACCTCCTGGGCTCAAGTGATCCTTCTCACCTCAGCCTTCCCAGTAGCTGTGACTATAACACACCTGGCTAATTTCTGTATCTTTTATAGAGACTGAGTTTTGCCATGTTGCCCAGGCTGGTCTTGCACTCTCGGGCTCAAGTGATCTGCCCACCTTGGCCGCCTCGCAAAGTGCTGGGATTACAGGCGTGAGGCACTGCTCCTGGCCCTGAGTATCTTTTCTTTTCTTTCTTTCTTTTTTTTTTTTTTTTTTGAGACAGAATTTTGTACTTGTTGTCCAGGCTGGAATGCAATGGCGTGATCTCGGTTCACTGCAACCTCCGCCTCCCGGGTTCAAGTGATTATTCTCTTGCCTCAGCCTCCTGAGTAGCTGGGATTACAGGCATGTGCCACCATGCCCGGCTAATTTTGTATTTTTAGTAGAGATGGGGTTTCTCCATGTTGGTCAGTGTGGTCTGGAACTCCCCACCTCAGGTGATCTGCCCACCTTAGCCTCCCAAAGTGCTGTGATTACAGGCGTGAGCCACCGTGCTCCGCCCGAGGATCTTTTCAAAACACAAATGTGACCCTATCTCTGCAGTACCCAGAGCCCTGCCATGTGCCTCAGTGCCTTCAGGAGAAAGTCCAGTCTCCTTGCTACAGTCTATGACCAAGGGCTCCCTGTGAGGTCAAACCCCTGCCAGCCCGCCTGGCTGCCCATCCTTAACTAGTGACCCTGCCCAGATTATTCTACTCTAGCCACAGTAGATTATGGCTCTTCTTTGAATGCCCAAGTTGCACTCATTTCTAGGCTGTTGCACATTCTGCTTCCTCTCTGTAGATCTTTCTACCACCCTTCTTTACCTGGTTCACTCCTCTTGTCCTCCAGGTCTCAGCTCAGATGCTCCTTCCTCCAGGAAGTCCCCCCTGACTGCCCCCTACTCCCCAAGCTGGCACTGCCCTCTCTTGGTTCCCACACTCCCCTGGACTCCCTTATTCCAGCCCCACCTACTCTGGGCCATCCCTGACGACTAATATATTTCCCCTGGACCTGGACTGGGAGCCTTGGGAGGAAGGGGTCTGAGGGCTGCCTTGTCTCTGCTGGGTCCCAGTGGTGCCAAGGACAGGCCCTCAGTGACTGTGCAGGTAGACTGAGTGTCCTTTCCACCCCGATCTGTTCCTTGCCCACAGGTGCCCGTGGGGCAGGAGGTGGAGGGGATGAACATCCTGGGCTTGGTAGTGTTTGCCATCGTCTTTGGTGTGGCGCTGCGGAAGCTGGGGCCTGAAGGGGAGCTGCTTATCCGCTTCTTCAACTCCTTCAATGAGGCCACCATGGTTCTGGTCTCCTGGATCATGTGGTAGGTGGTGGGAGAGGAGGCTGGGGGTGGGTGGGGTTGGAGGGTCGGTCTGCTGCCAGAGGCAGGTGCGGGGCATTCTGTTTGGGATGGGGCACCCTCTATTCACTCTTTGGAGCCAGATGACCTGCATTTAAATCCAGCATTGACCATTCCCTGTCTATGTGATTTTAGGCAAGTGATTTTCCTTCTCTGCTTCAGTTTCCTCATCTATAAAATGGGAACGGCACTTTGGGAGGAGGTGGGTGGATCACTTGAGATCAGGAGTTCAAAACCAGCCTGGCCAACATGGTGAAACCCCATCTCTACTAAAAATACGAAAAAATTAGCCAGGCATGGGGACACGCACCTGTAATCCCAGTTACTCGGGAACCTGAGGTATGAGAATCACTTAAGCCTGGGAGGCGGAAGTTGCAGTAAGCGGAGATCATGCCACTGCCTGGGCGACAGAGGGAAACTCTGTCTCAAGAAGAAAAGAAAAGAAAGTGAATACGGTACACGGAAGGTCTTAGGACAGTGCCTGGCTTATTGCGTGCCTACAGTAAATCCTAGTAGCTAATATTTATTGGGCTTTTTGCTTGTATAACTTCTGGATACTTCCCACTGGCCAGAACTTGGGTATCTAGCCTCCCTTCTCTGCACAAGTGGCTGGGAAAATATGCCTTTCTTCTGTGACTTACAAGAAGGGACTGGGGAGATAACTAGTCAGTGATGATGGATGGGCGACCGATGATCGAGTAGTCTAGGGAAGTGATGTTGGGAGGCTTTTATTTTATTTTATTTTTTTGAGATGGAGTTTCGTTCTTGTTGCCCAGGCTGGAGTGCAATGACGTGATCTCAGCTCACTGCAAACTCCGCCTCCCGGGTTCAAGAGATTCTCCTGCTTCAGTCTCCCGAGTAGCTGGGATTACAGGCATGCGCCACCATGCCCGGCTAATTTTGTATTTTTAGTAGAGACGGGGTTTCTCCATGTTGGTCAGGCTGGTCTCAAACTCCCGACCTCAGGTGATCCGCCCACCTCGGCCTCCCGAAGTGCTGGGATTACAGGCGTGAGCCACCGCGCCCGGACTTGGGAGTCCTCTTGGCTTGGAGCCATCCCTGGGATCTTCACAGCAGGAGAGGGTGATAATAAACCCACCTGAAGTTTACAGATCACTTATTGTCTGTAAAAAGCTTTAGCTCCTTTCAACTGGCATCTCATTGCATCCTCCCAGCATTCCCGTGAGGAATCTATTGGGTGTTGTGTAATCTGCAATCTGACTCATAGGACCTCCCTCCGGGGGTTGCTGGGAAGATTCAACATCATGTTCAAGGGCAGAGCACATCGCAAATGCTTCATACCTGGGAGTTGTTATTAAGACCCAGGCCATGGTCTTTCTAAAATTTGTATTTATTTTATTTATTTATTTATTTAGAGACAGAGTCTTGCTCTGTCGCCCAGGCTGGAGGTGCAGTGGCACAGTCTCAGCTCACTGCAATGTCTGCCTCCCATGTTCAAGTGATTCTCCTGCCTCAGCCTCCTGAGCAGCTGGGACCAAAGGCACGAACCACCATACCCAGCTAATTTTTGTATTTTTAGTAGAGACAGGGTTTTGCCATGTTGGCCAGGCTGGTCTCAAACTCCTGACCTCAAGCGATCCGCCCTCTTCGGCCTCCCAAAGTGCTGGGATTACAGGTGTGAGCCACCGCTCCTGGCCTTCAAATTTTTATTTTAAAAATGTGTGTTTTGGCTGGTTGTGGTACCTCACACCTGTAATCCCAGCACTTTGGGAGGCTGAGGGGGGAGGATTGCTTGAGGCCAGGAGTTAGAGACTAGCCTGGTCAACATGGCGAAAAACCCTCTCTACAAAAAAATACAAATATTAGCTGGGAATGGTGGTGTACACCTTTAATCCTAGCTACTACTCAGGAGGCTGAGGCATGAAAATCGCTTGAACCTGGGAGGCAAAGGTTGTAGTGAGCCAAGATTGCAACAGTACACTCCAGCCTGGGCAACAGAACGAGACTGTCTAAATAATAATAATAATAGTAATTTAAAAAAACGTTTTTTGAACTAGGATCTCGCTCTGTTGCCTAGGTTGGAGTGCAGTGTGGCATGATCACAGCTCACTGCAGCCCGGACCTCCTGGGTTCAGGTGATCCTCCCACCTCAACCTCCTAAGTGGCTGGGACTACAGACCCCAGCCACAAAGCCTAGCTCATTTTTTTTGTTGTTGTTGTTTAAGAAACTGGGTGGCCCAGTACGGAGGCTCATGCCTATAATCCCAGCACTTTGGGAGGCTGAGGCAGGCAGATCACGAGGTCAGGAGATCGAGACCATCCTGGCTAACACAGAAAAACCCTGTCTCTACTAAAAATACAAAAAATTAGCTGGGCGTGGTAGCACGCGCCTATAGTCCCAGCTACTTGGGAGGCTGAGGCAGGAGAATCGCTTGAACCTGGGAGGCGGAGGGTGCAGTGAGCCGAGATCATGCCACTGCACTCCAGCCTGGGCAACAGAGTGAGACTCCATCTCAAAAAAAAAAAAAGAGAGACATGTTGCCCAGGCTGGTCTTGAACTCCTGGGCTCAAGCGATCTGTCTGCCTTCACCTCCCTGCATGCTGGGATTACAGGTATGAGCCACCGTGCCTGGCCTATTTTTATTTTTTGTAGAGACTGGGTCTCGCTGTGTTGCCCAAGCTGGTCTCGAGAACTCCTGGCCTCAAGTAATCCTCCTGCTTTCACCTCCTAAAGTGCTGGGATTATAGGCATGAGCCACTGTGCCCAGCCTCTTTATCTTTCATCATCTGCAGAGAGCGTATTGGCTCAAGTCATGCTAGCTGCCATAGCAAACCAACCCAGGAAGTGTGAATGGCGCACCTTGATGGACATTTCTTTCTGTCTCCCATGTGAAGTCCAAATCTGGTGACTGCTTCACATGGTGATGGAAGCACTGAGACTTTTTTTTTTTTTTTTTTTTTGAGATGGAGTTTCACTCTTGTTGCCCAGGCTGGAGTGCAATGGCATGATCTTGGCTCACAGCAACCTCTGCCTCCCTGATTCAAGCAATTCTCCTGCCTGAGCCTCCCAAGTAGCTGGGATTGCAGGCATGCGCCACCACGCCTGGTTAATTTTGTATTTTTAGTAGAGACGGGGTTTCTCCATGTTGGTCAGGCTGGTCTTGAACTCCCGACCTCAGGTGATCCACCCACCTCAGCCTCCCAAAGTGCTGGGATTACAGGCATGAGCCACCGTGCCCGGCCTGCACGGAGAGTTTTATCTCCGGGCTGCTCTACCTTTGAGGGGAAAGAGAGCATGAGATTGGCATGGGGGCTTCAGGGGCCAGGCCTGGGAGTGGTGCCCATGCTGAAGCACACATTGCTGGGGCTTCTCCTGACCTCAGGAAGGCAGGAAGATGTGGGTAGGGTGCTGAGCCTCACGCCTGGCCACTGGGCCCGTGGAAGAGGCAACAAGCTGTCTCCTGTGTTACTGATCAGGTACGCCCCTGTGGGCATCATGTTCCTGGTGGCTGGCAAGATCGTGGAGATGGAGGATGTGGGTTTACTCTTTGCCCGCCTTGGCAAGTACATTCTGTGCTGCCTGCTGGGTCACGCCATCCATGGGCTCCTGGTACTGCCCCTCATCTACTTCCTCTTCACCCGCAAAAACCCCTACCGCTTCCTGTGGGGCATCGTGACGCCGCTGGCCACTGCCTTTGGGACCTCTTCCAGGTACGGCCTTGGGGTGGGCTAGGGTGGGATGTTTAATCCGCTAAGCGGCATGGAGCGGATGAAATTTTCTCTGCCCGGGACATTGTATCTGGGTACAGGGGCCATACTTCAGGAGATTCTCATAAGGTCCTGGATTTATCCCCACCCTTAAAAAGATAGGAAATGATTGCCCTAGAGATTTATTTCCCTCTTTCTTACACTGCCTCCCCGTGGCCCTGGAGGCACTCTTTTTTTTCTTTTGTTTTAAACAATGGCGTCTCGCTCTGTTGCCCAGGCTGGAGTGTAGTGGTGTGATCTCAGCTCACTGCAACCTCTGCCTCCTGGGTTCAAGTGATTCTCTGCCTCAGCCTCCCGAGTAGCTGGGACTGCAAGTGTCCCCCACCATACCCAGCTAATTTTTGTGTTTTTAGTAGAGACGGGGTTTCGCCATGTTGGCCAGGCTGGTCTCAAACTCCTGGCCTCAAGTGATCCGCCCACCTTGGCCTCCAAAAGTGCTGGGATTATAGGTGTGAGCTGCCATGCCCCTGGGGGGCTCTTAAGTTCTGCTCTGATTCAACCTCAGAACTCCTTCCACCGTCTCTCCTGGGCATTTCATTCATCCCTGCTGGCCCTGTCCCCTCCCAAGACAATAGTAATTCTTAGTGTATTATTGGTGAGAGTCAGCAGGACCCAGACAGTAGAATTTAGGTGTGAATTGTGTGGGTATTTTGGGAGGTAGTAGTCTATACTCTCCCAGGGGTTCCAGGACTCATGGATTTTGTAATCCTGGTATTGAGTTCCCTAGTGCTGCCTGCTTGTGGGAAAAGAGCTTAGATATAGCAAGTGAGGGCTGGGGGTGGAGTCAGGACATGGTAGGAGGGAAGGGGGGTCTAGGTTAGATGTGGGGGCCTTGGGCCAAGGGACAGACTGGGGACGTGGGTGGGACTTCGGCTGGGCAGGTGGTATGGGCAGGATCTGGTGGGCGGGGCTTTGGCTGGGCAAGTGGTATGGGCGGGATCTGGGTGGGCGGGGCTTTGGCTGGGCAGGTGGTGTGGGTGGGCTCTGGGTGGGCGGGGCTTCAACTGGGTGGGTGGTGCAGGTCAGACCTGGAGGGTGGTTGGGTGACAGGGCTTTGCTTAGGCAGGCTCTGGTGGGGATCCACTGGGTGGGGTGGGTGGGGCTTTGGCTGGTTGGGGTGGGGTAGGCGAGGCCTCACCTGGGCTGGACCTGGAGGGTGGGCGGAGCCCCGGTCAGCAGGTTAACCTAACTCAGCTCCCCCATCCCTTGCAGTTCCGCCACGCTGCCGCTGATGATGAAGTGCGTGGAGGAGAATAATGGCGTGGCCAAGCACATCAGCCGTTTCATCCTGCCCATCGGCGCCACCGTCAACATGGACGGTGCCGCGCTCTTCCAGTGCGTGGCCGCAGTGTTCATTGCACAGCTCAGCCAGCAGTCCTTGGACTTCGTAAAGATCATCACCATCCTGTGAGTGTCAGGGGGCTGCGGATGGGACCCCCGGACCCCTGTTGACCCCCATCTTCTCCCACAAGACAGGCATCTGCCTAACCTCCCACCTTCTCCCTCAGGGTCACGGCCACAGCGTCCAGCGTGGGGGCAGCGGGCATCCCTGCTGGAGGTGTCCTCACTCTGGCCATCATCCTCGAAGCAGTCAACCTCCCGGTCGACCATATCTCCTTGATCCTGGCTGTGGACTGGCTAGTGTGAGTGTGGGTCTGGAGACTGGGGCAGGGCCAGGGGTACCCCTGGGAAAGAGGATGAGTGAGTGAGAGTCCTTAGAGCCTCTGGACAGAAGAGGAAGAGAAGAAGGAAGGAATTCTGGAGGAAATGGGGGGAACCTTGAGCATTCCTGAGGGCAAGGAATGGCATCTTTGTGGCTCTAAGAGGGATGTCAGAAAAGTAGAGCGTCTGTGTGGTGAATACAGCAGACTCTTCAGCCAGACTGCTCAGGTTCACATCCCAGCTCCAACATTCACTGTTGTGACCTCGGGAAGTGCTTAATCTTCCTGCGTCTCAGTTTCTCCATCTGTAAAACGGGGAGAAGAACAGTCTCTCCCTAAGGATTAGATAACAGACACACCTCCCTTAGAGCAGCCCCCAGTAAGCAGTAATTGCTACATAATTATTTGCTATCACGATTAAGCTATTAAGAGTATAAAGATTGGAAAGCAGCCAGGCACGGTGGCTCACACCTGTAATCCCAACATTTTGGGAGGCCCAGGCAGGTGGATTATTTGAGGTTAGGAGTTTGAGACAAGCCTGACCAACATGGTGAAACCCCATCTCCACTAAAAATACAAAAAAATTAGCCGGGTATGGTGGTGTACGCCTGTCCTGTGATCTCAGCTACTCAGGAGGCTGAGGCAGGAGAATCGCTTGAACTTGGGAGGTGGAGGTTGCAGTGAGCCGAGATTGTGCCACTGCACTCCAGCCTGGGCAACAGAGTGAGATCCTGTCTCAAAAAAAAAAAAAAAAAAAAATTCTGGAATTAATTATTGGCAATGGTTGCACAAGTCTGAATATACTAAAAAATACCAAGATGGACACTTTTAAAAGGTTAATTTTATGGTAGGTGAATTATAATTTTTTTTCGAGACACAGTCTGGCTCTGTCACCCAGGCTGGAGTGTAGTGATGTGATCATGGTTGTGATCACTGCAGCCTCCACCTCCCAGGCTCCAGCGATCCTCCTGCCCCAGCCTCCTGAGTAGCTGGGACTATAGGTGTGCACTACCATGCCTGGCTAATTTTTTTTTTTTTTAAATATATATAAAGATGGGATCTCACTATGTTGCCCAGGCTGACTCCAACTCTTAATTTTTACTTTTTAGATTCCAGGGGGAGAGAGGCAGGAGGCTTAGGCCTTGGCCCTTTCCTTCCCTCTCACCCTCTCCCCTCCCGCTTACTTTGCTGTCATTTCTACCCCTTTAGCGACCGGTCCTGTACCGTCCTCAATGTAGAAGGTGACGCTCTGGGGGCAGGACTCCTCCAAAATTACGTGGACCGTACGGAGTCGAGAAGCACAGAGCCTGAGTTGATACAAGTGAAGAGTGAGCTGCCCCTGGATCCGCTGCCAGTCCCCACTGAGGAAGGAAACCCCCTCCTCAAACACTATCGGGGGCCCGCAGGGGATGCCACGGTCGCCTCTGAGAAGGAATCAGTCATGTAAACCCCGGGAGGGACCTTCCCTGCCCTGCTGGGGGTGCTCTTTGGACACTGGATTATGAGGAATGGATAAATGGATGAGCTAGGGCTCTGGGGGTCTGCCTGCACACTCTGGGGAGCCAGGGGCCCCAGCACCCTCCAGGACAGGAGATCTGGGATGCCTGGCTGCTGGAGTACATGTGTTCACAAGGGTTACTCCTCAAAACCCCCAGTTCTCACTCATGTCCCCAACTCAAGGCTAGAAAACAGCAAGATGGAGAAATAATGTTCTGCTGCGTCCCCACCGTGACCTGCCTGGCCTCCCCTGTCTCAGGGAGCAGGTCACAGGTCACCATGGGGAATTCTAGCCCCCACTGGGGGGATGTTACAACACCATGCTGGTTATTTTGGCGGCTGTAGTTGTGGGGGGATGTGTGTGTGCACGTGTGTGTGTGTGTGTGTGTGTGTGTGTGTGTGTGTGTTCTGTGACCTCCTGTCCCCATGGTACGTCCCACCCTGTCCCCAGATCCCCTATTCCCTCCACAATAACAGAAACACTCCCAGGGACTCTGGGGAGAGGCTGAGGACAAATACCTGCTGTCACTCCAGAGGACATTTTTTTTAGCAATAAAATTGAGTGTCAACTATTTAATCAGGTGTTCTTGAGAATTTGACTTAAAGCACTGGCCACTGCAATGACAGTATCTGCTCATCAAGAAACACCACTGGGCTGGGCATGGGGGCTCACACCTGTAATCCCAGCACTTTGAGATCACTCCAGGCCAGGAGTTCAAGACAAGCCTGGGCAACATAGTGAGACATCGTCTCTACAAAAAAATACAAAAATTAAGGCCGAGCACGGTGGCTCACACCTGTAATCCCAGCACTTTGGGAGGCCGAGGCGGGCGAATCACGAGGTCAGGAGTTCAAGATCAGCCTGGCCAACATGGTGAAACCCTGTCTCTACTAAAAATATAAAAATTAGCCAGACATGGTGGTGGGCGCCTGTAGTCCCAGCTACTCAGGAGGCTGAGGTAGGAGAATTGCTTGAACCCGGGAGGCAGAGGTTGCAGTGAGCCGAGATCGCACCACTGCACTCTAGCCCGGGTGAAAGAGCAAAACTCTGTCTCAAAAACAACACAAAAAATTAGGCAGGTGCAGTGGTGCACACCTGCAGTCCCAGCTACTCAGAAGTCTGCGGTGGGGAGGATTCCTTGAGCCCAGGAGTTTAAGGATGCAGTGACCCATGATCATGCCACTGCACTCCAGCCTGGGCAACAGAGTGAGACCCTGTCGCTTTTTTTTTTTTTTTTTTTTGAAACGGAGTCTGGCTCTGTTGTCTGGGCTGGAGTGCAGTGCAGTGGCACGATCTTGGCTCACTGCAACCTCCGCCTCCCAGGTTCAAGCGATTCTCCTGCCTCAGCCTCCGAAGTAGCTGGGACTACAGGTATCTGCCACCATGCCCAGCTAATTTTTGTATTTTTAGTAGAGACCGGTGCCTCAAGTGATCCACCCACCTTGGCCTCCCAAAGTGCTGGTATTACAGGCGTGAGCCACCACGCCCAGCCAGACCCTGTCTCTTAAACACCACGGGAAACCACAATGAGACACCACTATACACAGTAGAATGGCTGAATACAAGACCAAGGGAGGATGGGATACAACAGGACTCCTCATCTCTTGGTTGGTGCTCCCTTAGTAGATGGCTGAGTTGTTTTGGAAAATAACTGGGCAGTTTCTTAATAAAGTTAAAAAATACAGGCTGGGTGCAGTGGCTCACGCCTGTAATCCCAACACTTTGGGAGGCCGAGGTGGATGGATCACCTGAGGTCAGGAGTTCGAGACCAGCCTGGCCAACATGGTGAAACCCCGTCTCCACTAAAAATACAAAAATTAGCCGGGCGTGGTGGCACATGCCTGTAGTCCCAGCTACTTGGGAGGCTGAGGCAGGAGAATCGCTTGAACCCAGGAGGCAGAATGTTGCAGTGAGCCAAGATCTCACCATTGCACTCCAGTCTGGGTGACAAAAGCAAAACTCTGTCTCAAAAAAAAAAAAAAATATATATATATATAATATATATTTATTTACTATGCAGCTTAGGAGTTGCACTCCTGGGTATTTACCCAAGAGAAGTGAAAACTTTTGCTTTTACAAAAATGTGTCCACAAACGTTTAGCTGCTGTACTCATCATTGCCAAAATTTGGGAACAAATCAATTGGATACACTGGTACATTCATACAATGGAAGATTACTCAGCAATAAATAAGAGCGATATCGACCTACACTGCAACAGAAATGCATTTCAGATAATTTGTTGAGATAAAGAAGCCAGAGACGGTAAATACTGTATAGTTCCATTTAGAGGAGGGCTAGAACATGCTCAACTGGCCTATGGTGGGAAATCAGAACAGTGGTGACCTTTGAGAATGAATATGGGGCCAGGCACGGTGGCTTCATGCCTGTAATCCTAGCACTTTGGGAGGCCGAGGTGGGCGGATCATGAGGTCAGGAGATCGAGACCATCCTGGCTAATATGGTGAAACCCCATCTCTACTAAAAATACAAAAAATTAGCAGGGCATGGTGGCGGGCGCCTGTAATCCTAGCTACTCTGGAGGCTGAGGCAGGAGAATGTGGTGAACCCAGGGGGCGGAGCTTGCAGTGAGCCGAGATTGTGCCACTGCACTCCAGCCTGGGTGACAGAGCAAGACTCCATCTCAAAAGAAAAAAAAAATAGCATATTGATCAGAAGGGAGCACAAAAGAACCTTCTATGATAAAGCAAATATCTTACCTTGATTTGGGTGATGATTCCACAGATGGATGCATTTGGGAAAGTTAACGAACCTGTACACAAATCACATGCATTTTGCCCTGTGTGCCTTCCAGTTAAATTTTTTCTACAATCTGGGTGTGGTGGTTGGTACGTATCTGGAGTTTCCACTACTCAAGAGGCTGAGGCGGCGAGAGAATCACTTGAGCTCAAGGGTTCAAGGCTGCAGTGAGCTATGATTATGTGACTGCACTCCAGCCTGAGCAACAGATTGAGACCCTATCTCTTAAAAAAATCTGCACAAGGAGAATCGCTTGAACCCAAGAAGTGGAGGTTGCAGTGAGCCAAGATTGCGCCACTGCACTCGAACCTGGGCAACAGAGCAAGACTCTCTCAAGAGCAACAACAACAAAAATCTGCACAACGCATGGTAACAATTTATTTTCCTTTGTGACCACCTACTTAGGAATGCAGCATCCCTTCATATCCCAACTCTCACTATCCAAATTGTCCCAAGAATTATTTTATTTCCTTGAAACCCCAAAATAGCTATTTGGATAAAAACCCACTCTGCAACTGTTTTACATCCTGTGTAAGTTCAGAATATGGACTATGCTGGCCGGGCGCGGTGGCTCACACCTATAATCCGAGCACTTTGGGAGACTGAGGCGGGTAGGTCACCTGAGGTCAGGGGTTCGAGACCAGCCTGACCCATATGGGGAAACCTCATCTCTACTAAAAATACAAAAATTAGCTGGGTGTGGTGGTGGGCACCTGTAATCCTAGCTACTTGGGAGGCTGAGGCAGGAGAATCGCTTGAACCCGGGAGGCAGAGGTTGCAGTGACTGGAAATCATGCCACTGCACTCCAGCCTGGGCGATAGAGTGAGACTCTGTCTCACCGCCCCCCCCCCAGAAAAAAGTACTATGCTGCTGTTGTATCTCACCTGTTCTTTTGAGACAGGGTCTCTGTTGCTCAAGCTGAGTGCAGTGGTGCTATCATGGCTTACTGCAGCCTCAACTTCCCGGACCTTAGCAGTTTTCCTGCCTCAGCATCCTGAGTGGCTGGAACTACAGGTGCACACCACCACACCCAACTAAATATTATTATTATTATTATCATTATTTTGAGACGGAGTTTTGCTCTTGTCACCCAGGCTGGAGTGCAATGGCGCGATCTTGGCTCACCGCAACCTCTGCCTCCCGGGTTCAAGTGATTCTCCTGCCTCACCCTCCTGAGTAGCTGGAATTACAGGCATGAGCCACCATGCCAGGCTAATTTTGTATTTTTAGTAGACACAGGATTTCTCCATGTTGGTCAGGCTGGCCTCAAACTCCCGACCTCAGGTGATCTGCCTGCTTTGGCCTCCCAAAGTGCTGGGATTACAGGCATGAGCCACCACGCCCGGCCGCTAATTTTTATTTGTAGAGACGGGGTCTCACTATGTTGCCCAGACTGGTCTCAAACTCCTGGACTCAAGTGATCCTCCCACTTTGGCTTCCCAAAGTGCTAGAATTACAGGTCTGAGCCACTGCACCCAGCCCTACTTCTCACCTGTTCTAACAGGATTCTGTTTTGTGCGTTGAATGTGTTAGCCATTGTTGATATTATCTTCCGCTTCCAAACCCCCTGTGTTGACTTTGGCCAGGTGCCTGGAGGCACCACTGACCTGGGTCCAATTATAGACGGTATCTTTAGTATCTTTTTGTTTGTTTGTTTGTTTAGTTATACCCCATGATCATTGCACTGCGGAAGGAAAATATAATTTATATCTGATTCTGTGCAGAATACTTTTGTATTGTACACAAACATAATCATTCATGAGTTTAAGTGTTGAATAATTAGGCAATTGGTATTTTAAATGCTTTCTACTATGCCATAATCCGTGGTAGGCTGTTATGTAGGTGTTTAAGAGTCTTTTATTGATATTCTAGGAAATTGTTTAGCGTTTTTGGATGAAGCTGGGAGTGCATTATTTTCTCTGCTTAAAATAAAAGCCGGGGCTGGGTGCAGTGGCTCATGCCTGTAATCCCAGCACTTTGGGAGGCTGAGGCGGGTGGATCACAATGTCAAGAGATGGAGACCATCCTGGCCAACATGGATGTAAAAATACAAAAATCAGCCGGGCGTAGTGGAAAGCGCCTGTAGTCCCAGCTACTCAGGAGGCTGAGGCAGAAGAATCAATTGAACCTGGGAAGTGGAGGTTGCAGTGAGCCGAGATCACGCCACTGCACTCCAGCCTGGCGACAGAGCAACACTCCGTCTCAAATAAAGAAATAAATTAAAGCTGGGCAGGTGGCTCATTCCTGTAATCCCAGCACTTTGGGAGGTGAAGCGGATGGATCACCTGGAGTCACGAATTTGAGGCCAGCCTGGCCAACGTGGTAAAACCCTGTTTCTACTAAAAATACAAAAATTATCTGGGTTAGTGCCGTGCACGTGTAATCTCAGCTACTTGGTAGGCTGAGGCATGAGAATCGCTTGAACCCGGGAGACAGAGGCTGCAGTGAGCTGAGATCATGCCATTATACTCCAGCCTGGGAAACAGGAGCGAAACTTCGTCTCAAAAAAATAAATAAATAAATAAATAGTGGTTTATCCCCAAAGTTTCTATATACTACTTTTTTGGGAATAGATTAGGTTTATATTCTGAGGGATGCCTGTTTATGGAGCTATAAACCTACCTACATATTTCATAAACAACCTATGTGTATAAAGAAAAACATGTTCATGAAACAAGCTTTACCAAACGTTACTTACTCATTTTTTTTCTATTCTATTTTTTTTGTGTGTGTGACAGTCTTGCTCTATTGCCCAGGCTGGAGTGCAATGGCACAATCTCAGCTCACTGCAACCTCCACCTCCCAGGTTCAAGCAATTCTCCTGTCTCAGCCTCCCAAGTAGCTGGGATTACAGGTGTGTGCCAACATGCCCAGCTAAGTTTTTGTATTTTTAGTAGAGATGGGGTTTCACTATGTTGGCCAGCCTGGGCTTGAACTCCCGACCTCAGGTGATTCGCCTGCCTCAGCCTCCGAAACTGTTGGGATTACAAGTGTGAACCATTGCGCCTGGCTCAAACTTTTTCTAAAAAAAAAAAATATTTTTAAAGATTTGAGACCTTGCTCTGTCTCGCAGGCTGGAATGTAGTGGTGTGATTATGTCTCACTGTAGCCTCAGACTCCTGAGCTCAATCGATCCTCCCACCTCAGCCTCCCGAGTAGCTAGGACCACAGGCATGCACCACCATGCCCAGCTATTTTTTTTTTAAGACAGAATCTTACTCTGTCCCCAGGGTGGAGTGCAGTGGCATGATCTCAGCTCACTGCAATCTCTGCCTCCCAGATTCAAGCAATCCTCCTGCCTCAGCCTCCTCGGTAACTGGGATTACAGGCATGAAGGGGACCAGCCCCTCCACACCTATGGGTATTTCTCGTCAGGTGGGACGAGAGACTGAGAAAAGAAATAAGACACAGAGACAAAGTATAGAGAGAGAACAGTGGGCCCAGGGGACCGGCGCTCAGCATACGGAGGACCTGTACTGGCGCCAGCCTCTGAGTTCCCTCAGTATTTATTGATCATTATTTTTACTATCTTAGCGAGGGGAGTGTAGCAGGGCAACAGGTGAGGAGAAGGTCAGCAGGGAAACATGTGAGCAAAGGAATCTGTATCATGAGTAAGTTCAAGGAAAGGTACTGTGCCTGGATGTGCAGTAGGCTAGATTTATGTTTCTCTTTACCCAAACATCTCAGTGTAGCAAAGGGCAACAGAGCAGTATTGCTGCCAGCATATCTCGCCTCCAGCCACAGGGAGGTTTTGTCCTAGCTCAGAATAGAACGAATGGGAATGGTCAGCTTTACATCGAGACATTCCATTCCCAGGGACGAGCAGGAGACAGAAGCCTTCCTCTTATCTCAACTGCAAAGAGGCCTCCCTCTCTCACTACTCCTCCTCAGCACAGACCCTTTACAGGTGTCAGGCTGAGGGACAGTCAGGTCTTTCCCTTCCCATGAGGCCATATCCCAGGCTGTCTCAGTCGGGGGAAACCCTGGACAATACCCAGGCTTTCTTGGGCAGACGTCCCTGCGGCTTTCTGCAGTGCATTGTGCCCCTGGTTAATAGAGAATGGAGAATGGCGATGACTTTTACCAAGCATACTGCCTGCAAACATATTGTTAACAAGGCACATCCTGCACAGCCCTAAATCCATTAAACTTTGATTCCTTACAGCACATGTTTCTGTGAGCACAGGGTTGTGGCTAAAGTTACAGGTTAACAGCATCTCAAAGCAGAAACAATTTTTTCTTAGTACAGATCAAAATGGAGTTTCTTATATCTTGCTTTTCTACATAGACACAGTAACAGTCTGATCTCTCTTTTTCTTTTCCCCACACAGGCACCTGCCACCAGGCCTGGCTAATTTTTGTATTTTTTGTAGAGACGGGGTTTTGTCATGTTGGCCAGGCTGGTCCCGAAATCCCGACCGCAGGTGATTTGCCTCAGCCTCCCAAAGTGCTGGGATTACAGGAGTGAGCCACCACTGTGCCTGGCCATGCCCAGCTATTTTTAATTAGAAAAGGTTTTTGTTTTTGTTTTGTTTTGTTTTGTAAACAAGGGATCTCACTATGTTGCCCAGGCTGGTCTGGAACTCCCAGGCCAAAGTGTTGGGATTACAGGCATGCACCACTGCACCCAGCCACTGCTTTTTTTTTTTTTTTTTTTTTGAGATGAAGTCTCGCTCTTGTCCCCCAGGCTGGAGTGCAATGATGTGATCTCAGCTCACTGCAACCTCCACTTCCCGGGTTCAAGCGATTCTCCTGCCTCAGCCTCCCGAATAGCTGGGATTACAGGTGCCTGCCACCACGCCCGGCTAATTTTTGTATTTTTTTTTTTAGTAGAGATGGGGTTTCACCATGTTGGCCAGGATGGTCTCCAACTCCTGACCTCAGGTGATCCACCCACCTCAGCCTCCCAAGGTGCTGGGATTACAGGCATGAGCCACTGTGCCCAGTGTCAAACATTTTTTAAAACCAGTGGCTGGGTGGCTGGGCGCAGTGGCTCATGCCTGTAATCCCAGCACTTTGGGAGGCCGAAGCAGGTGGATCATCTCAGGTTAGTAGTTTGAGACCAGCTTGGCCAACATAGTGGAACCCCGTCTCTACTAAAAATGTAAAAAATTATCTGGACATTTGTAGTTTCAGCTACTCAGGAGCCTGAGGTGGGAGAATCGCTTGAGCCCAGGAGGCGGAGGTTGCAGTGAGCTGAGATCTTGCCACCGCACTCCAGCCTGGGCAACAGAGTGAGACTCTATCTCAAAGCTAACTAACAAACAGACAGTGGACTGTCATTAAAATGAAACCTGTGCAAATCTTGGGTGAAAGATGAAAACGGTGGGGTGGGGGCCCTCCTCTGCCACCTCCTCCAAATACTGGAACTTGGAATCTGGAACCCACCAATGTGGCCCCTGCACCCCGCAGGTGGAGAAACCCGGATGCCAGGCCAGGCCTGACGGGCGGTGATACATTAAGAGCCTCATTCACTGGGGAGCTTGAGCACTTTGGGTTCCATGGGGTTGGCTCCGGCCTGGCGGTGGGGATCCCTGGGCCTGCTGAGGGGTGCAGGAGCCCGGGTTGGTGCAAGGAGCTGGGCTCCAGTCACATACAGAACAAGCCACTTTATTTCCTTCCCCTGCTACGCCCTCCTTCTGCCCGTCATATCCCACATTCAAGCTACCAGAAATCTCAGTTTCTCTGCCCTCAAACCCCAAATCTGGCCCCTCTACACCTTCCACACTGGGTACCACCCTGGCCAGCTGCCATCATCTCCCACCTGAACTATTGCAATTGCCTTCACGCCGGGACTCCTGAGCCCCAACCTCTTCCGTCTGTTCCCCATATGGCCTCCAGAGGGCGCCTGTTTCCATCATGGCAGCTCGTGGCCCTCCGCAGCTCAGAACCCAGAGAAAAATCCAAGGTGCTCCCCATAGCCTCTGTAGGATGCGCCTTACTTCACCGACCTCACCTCTTCCCACTCTCCTCCTCCCTCTCTTACTCCAGCCTCTGCCATTCCTTGAACATGCCAGGCCTGCTGGTGCCTCAGGGCCTTTGCACAGGCTGTTCCTCTCTTGGCTGCTCTGCCCCCCAGATTTCCATTTGGCTCTTCCCACACCTCCCTCTCGACTTGGCTGCAATGTCACCTCAGTGAGCCTTCTCTGACCGCTTTATTTAATTCTACCACCCCTGCTTCCTGCCCCCACCCTCACCCACCCAACCCATACCCTATTCTACCCTTTTCTCTTTTTTTTTTTTTTTCTGAGACGGAGTCTCGCTCTGTCGCCCAGGCTGGAGTGCAGTGGCACGATCTCGGCTCATTGCAAGCTCCGCCTCCCGGGTTCACGCCATTCTCCTGCCTCAGCCTCCCGAGTAGCTGGGACTACAGGCGCCCGCCACCACACCCGGCTTTTTTTTTTTTTTTTTTTGTATTTTTAGTAGAGACGGGGGTTTCACCATGTTAGCCAGGATAGTCTCGATCTCCTGACCTCGTGATCTGCCCACCTCAGGCCTCCCAAAGTTCTGGGATTACAGGCGTGAGCCACCACGCCCAGCCCTTTTCCTCTTTTTTTTTTTTTTTTTTTTTTTTTTTATTAAGAGATGGGGTCTTGGGCAGACGCAGTGGCTCATGCCTGTAATCTGTGCACTTAGGGAGGCTGAGGCAGGCAGATCACTTGATGCCAGGAGTTCAAGACCGGCCTGGCCAACATGGCGAAACCCTGTCTCTACTACAAATACAAAAATTAGCCAGGTGTCGTGGTACACGCCTGTAATCCCAGCTCTTTAGGAGACCGAGACAGGTGGATCACTCGCTGTCAGGAGTTCGAGAGATGTGGCAAAAACCTGTCTCTACTAAAAATACAAAGATTAGCTGGGTGTAGTGGCGGGCGCCTGTTATCCCAGCTACTCGGGAGGCTGAGGCATGAGAATTGTTGAACCCGGGAGGCAGAGGTTGCAGTGAGCCAAGATCGCGCCACTGCACTCCAGCCTGGGAGACAGAGATAGACCCTGTCACAAACAAACAAACAAACAAACAAACAAACAGAGATGGGGTCTTGCTCTATGGCCCAGGCTGGCCAGGCTCATACTCCTGAGCTCAAGCAATCCTCCCACCTCGGCCTCCCAAAGTACTGGGATTACAGGCATAAGCCACCACGCCAGGCCTGCTCTACTTTTTTTTTTTTTTTTTAAAGACAGGGTCTTGCTCTGTTGCCCAGGCTGGAATGCAGTTTCATGATCACAGCTCATTTCAGCTTTGACCTCCCAGGCTCAAGTGACACTCCCACCTCAGCCTCCTAAGTAGCTGGGACTATAGGCCCATGCTACCCTGCCCAGCTATTTTTTTTTCTTAATTTTTGTTTTTTGTAGCGACACAGTCTCTGTATGTTGTCCAGGCTGGTTTTGAACTCCTGGGCTGAAAGGATCCTCCCACCTACGCCTCCCAAAGTGCTGGGATTATAGTTGTGAACCACCGTGCCCTGCCCTGTTCTCCTTTTTTAATAGCAACAGTCCCCTCCCAACAGACGATAGAATTCACTGGTTTATGATGTTTATTGTTTCCTGCCTGTCCCCACTGGGAAGGTCACTCTGTGGGGGAACCATCTTTGAATTGTTCACTGCTGTAGGCTCAGAGTCTAGCATAGGGTCCGGTGCATGCGTATAGCAGGAGCTCAATAAACACTCGTGGAATGGTGGAAGAGGCTGGTTCAGTCTCGACTCTGCTGCCTGGCAACTATGTGACCTTGGATGAGCACTGCCAGGTCTCACCCGCCGGTGACAATGGCTCTCTTATGCCTCACCCAAAGGCTGCTAGTGCAGGTTACGTAAGAGCAGAAGAAAAGGCACTTTGACGGTCACTCCCTGGGTCCCAGTTCCCAGCTCCCACCTTTCTCTCCCTTTCTCCATTGCCCCACCCACCCCTCTTGCCTCTTTGAAGGAGCTTGGCCCAGGAAGGAGGGCCCAGGCTGGCCCCGGATTAGGGTTGGTCCTGGGTTCTAGGCTCAGAGTGGCAGTATGGGGACAGAAAGGCAGAGGGCAGTGACTCAGTTTTGTCTCTCTTAGAGACAGGTCAATGTTCTTAGGCCTGTTGGATTCTGCCCCCATCTGCTCTTTTTGAGGTCAACTTTATTGAGGTATAATTTACATACAATAGGCCGGGCAAGGTGGCTCACACCTGTAATCCTAGCACTTTGGGAGGTCAAGGCAAATCATTTGAGGCCAGGAGTTCAAGACCAGCCTGGCCAACATGGTGAAACTCCATCTCCACTAAAAATACAAAAATTAACCAGGTGTGGTTGTGCACACCTGTAATCCCAGCTACTCAGGTGGCTGAGGCATGAGAATCACTTGAATCCAGAAGGTAGAGGTTGCAGTGAGCCAAGACTGCACCACTGCACTCTAGCCTGGGCAACAGAGCAAGGCTGGCTCCAAAAAAATTGTTTCATATGATAAATTGCACCCGTTAAAATCAATTAGGCCAGGCTCATGCCTGTAATTCCAGCACTTTGAGAGGCCGAGGCAGAAGGATCGCTTGAGCCCAGGAGTTTGAGACCAGCCTGAGCAATGCTGCGAGACCCTGTCTCAAAATAAATAAATAAATAAATAAAATACAGTTAAATGAGTTTTGACAGATGAATATACTGTGAAAAACCACTCCCATAATCAAGATACATGATATTCTCATCATCCCCAAATTTCCTCATGCTTCTTTGCAGTCTGCCCCTCTCTCCAGCTCCAGGCCCCGGTAACCACTGATCTGCTTTTGGTCACTATGAATTAGTTTTACCTCTTCTAGAATTTTACATTGGTGGAATCATATACTATGTAGCGTCTTGCATCTGGCTTTTTTTTATGTGTCATAATGCTTTTGGGATTTATTCTTATTTTTGCATGTATCAGTAGTTTGTTCTTTCTTTTCTTTTCTTTTTTTTTTTTTGAGATGGAGTTTCACTCTTGTTGCCCAGACTGGAGTGCAATGGCACAATCTCGGCTCACTACAACCTCCGCCTCCCGAGTTCAAGTGATTCTCCTGCCTTGGCCTCCCAAGTGGCTGGGATTACAGGCATGTGCCACCATGCCCAGCTAATTTTGTATTTTTAGTAGAGACAGGGTTTTGCCATGTTGGTCAGGCTGGTCTTGAACTCCCGACCTCAGGTGATCGGCCCGCCTCGACCTCCCAAAGTGCTGGGATTACAGGCGTGAGCCACCACGTCCGGCCCAGTTCTTTCCTTTTTTAAAAAACTTGCTAAGGAGTATTATGTTGTCTGAGTGTACCACAGTTTGCTTATCCACCCACCTGTTGATTTACATCTGATGGTTTCCAGGTTGGGGCTATTGTGCATAAAGGTGCATTTGTAGACAGGTTTTTTATTTTTTATTTACCTTATTTTATTTTTGAGACAGAATCTTGCTCTGTTGCCCAGGCTGGAGTGCAGTGGTGCAATCTCGGCTCACTGCAACCTCCACCTCCCAGGTTCAAGCAATTCTCCTGCCTCAGCTTCCTGAGTAGCTGGGATTACAGGCACCCACCATCACGCCCGGCTAATTTTTGTATTTTTAGTAGGGATGGGGTTTCACCATGTTGTTCAGGCTGGTCTTGAACTCCTGACCTCAAGTAATCCGCCCTCTTCGGCCTCCCAAAGTGCTGGGATTACAGGTGTGAGCCGCCACACCTGGCTAATTTTTGTATTTTTAGTAGAGACGTGGTTTCACCATGTTGACTGGGCTGGTCTCAAACTCCTGACCTCAAGTGATCTGCCCGCCTCAGCCTCCCAAAGTGCTGGGATTACAGGCATGAGCCACTCGCCCCTCCTAAATTTTTTTGGTAGAGACAGGGTCTCAACATATTACCCTGGGTGGCCTCCACCTCCTGGGCTCATGTGATCCTCCAGCCTTGGTCTTCCAAAGCGTTGGGATTACAGGCATTAGCCACCACACCTGGCTAATGTAGACAGGTCTTTACATGCCACTATTGTTCATAGCAAATATTTTGTAACATGTAGGGCTGATAGACAAAATATTTACTGCTTGGCAAAGTCATCAGTCCATCCAACATCCGGGATATGGGTCCCTCTTATCTCCCACTATACCCAGTTTAACCCCTGGACTTCTGGGCCAGAGGGCAGCCCAGGGGATCCCCAGGGAGAGCTAGGAGGATACTAATAGTCAGGGGGTTCATGGCAGTGACCGTTTATGAATGAGTAAATAATCCATAATTTAGTGTTTTGCTGTCTTAACCACTGGCGTGGCCATACCAGGGCGTGTGCTGGCTTGAATGTCAGTTCTGGGAAAGTTCTCTCTGTTCTCCTGAAATGAAGTTCATAGACAGTATAACCCACTGGCACATGATTTAACATGATTTAAGAAAATCCTACTTTGGGAGGCCAAGGTGGGCAGATCACTCGAGTCCAGGAATTTGAGACCAGCCTGAGCAACATGGTGAAACCCCATCTCTACTTAAAATACACACACACACACACACACACACACACACACACGTATTTTTAGTAGAGATGGGGTTTCACCATGTTGGCCAGGCTGGTCTCGAACTCCTGACCTCAAGTAATCCATCCGCCTTGGCCTCCCAAACTGCTGGCATTACAGGCGTGCGACACCGCACCTAGCTAATTTTTGTATTTTTAGTAGAGACATTATATATATAAATATATTTATATATATATATATATAAAAGCTGGGTGTGGTAGTACTTATCTGTAGTCCCAGCTACTCGGGAGGCTGAGGTGGGAGAATCGCCTGAGCCTGGGAAGTTGAGGCTGCAGTGAGCCAAGACTGTGCCACTGCACTGCAGCCTGGGTGACAGAGTGAGACCCTGTCTCAGAAACAACAACAACAGCAGCAGCAACAAAAACGATCCTTGATTGCCCTAAATGTAATAAAAAGGAGAAATAAGAACATAGTAACTTACAATAAGCATTTCATTATGCGGATGTGTGGAGCCAGTCCCCTAGAACCCAAGGAGGTAGGCAGATGTTTATGCCTGTAATATAGACAGTTCCAACACATTGAAAACACGTGGACTGGTGTCCAATTACCAAGAGCCATGTGCAATGTGAGTTTTTTCACATGGTGGACAACCTTTGGCCAAGTTTTGAACAAAACACGATACAAGCTTCCCTCATTTTTTGTGGTAGTTGCACTTCCTGGAAGATTCCGAGGCTATTTAAAAACAAAAAGGACTTTGTACGTACAAGAGAGAGATTTTTGGCCAGGGTTTTCACCTCCAAGTAAGGCTAAAATTTAGTTGGTCTGAACTAGTATGGAAATACTGTTCTTTCTTGTTTGTTTTTGAGACAGAGTCTCGCTCTGTCACCCAGGCTGGAGTGCAGTGGCATGATCTTGGCTCACTGCAACCTCCGCCTCCTGGGTTCAAGCGATTCTCCTGCCTCAGCCTCCTGAGTAGCTGGGACTACAGGCGCCCACCACCATGCCCGGCTAGTTTTTGTATTTTTAGTAGAGACAGGGTTTCACCATATTGGCCAGGCTGGTCTTGAACTCCTGACCTTGTGATCCACCCACCTCGGCCTCCCAAAGTGCTAGGATTACAGGCGTGAGTCACCATACTTGGCCAATACTGGTTGTTAAAATACTGAAATACTTCTGACTGGATAATAATAGTACAAGAGTAGTTGAGAAAGCACTGAAATTCAATACATATTTGAATAAAAATGAATTAGTTCAAGTTAATTGTGACAGATCTTTGTCATATCATAACTTAGGTGATAATAAGGATTTTTGTTTTTTTGAGACAGGGTCTCACTCTGTTGCCCAAGCTGGAATGCAGTGACATGATCATGGCTCACTGTAGCCTTGACCTCCTGGGCTCAGGTGATCCTCCCACCTCAGCATCCTGAGTAGCTGGGACTGCAGGGGTGCACCACCACGCCCAGCTAATTGCTGTATTTTTAGTAGAGACATGGTTTTGCCTTGTTGGCCAGGCTGGTCTTGAACTCCTGGCTTCAAGTGATCTGCCCGCCTCAGCCTCCCAAAGTGGTGGGATTACAGGCATGAGCCACCCCGCCTGGCCCCTAGTCTGGTCTTGAACTCCTGGGCTCAAGCAATTCACCTGCCTCGGCCTTCCAAAGTGCTGGGATTAATGGTGTAAACCACCACGCCCTGCTCAATTTTTGAAATGTTTTGTAGAGATGAGGGTCTCTCTATGTTGCCCAGGCTGGTCTCGAATTCCTGGCTTCAAGCCATCCTCCTGTCTTGGCCTCCCAAGGTGCTGGGATTACACTATGCCTGGCCTAAAATATTTTAAAAATTTGATGCATACATTGACATATACTAATTTATATTACAGTACCAGTGGCAAAACATTTTGAATATTACCCTTCCTTCGTGAATGTCCAATGAGACATCTGGAAGCTGCATGAGACAAGGGATGATGCTGTACTGTGTGGAGATTCCTGAATATTACAAGACATCTGCATCCCTGGACCACGTCTGCCAAGAGCCAAGAGCAGCTTCCAGTCATGATGATAATGCAAATCATCCCCATGCATTCCAGAATCCTCCCTGTGGACCTGCCAAGTCTCTTTGTGAACCATTTTTGGGTTCAGTGGTTAAAAGCAGGGGTTGGGTTACAAGAAGTCAGGCTTTGGATGTCTGAGCCTCAGGAGACTCGGCCAAACAGTAATCTTCTCTTGCTGGTCTATGAAGCCTCCTCCTCCCAGGAATGTACAATTGTGAAATATTACCAATCTCCCCAGTTTACAGGTTCAGAGAGGCAGCGACTTGTCTGAGAGTACAAAGAAACCAAGTGGCCAAGCCAGGATTCAAACCCAGCCAGACTCTGGGCCCCTTTACCGCGAACACACTCCTGTGGGAGGAGCGATCTCATTGCTTCCACTTCCCAAATGCAAGGTGGGGGCGCAGAGACAGAGTCAATAGAGGCCCTGGGAGAAGGTGGCAGCACTGGGAAACCCGGTCCTCTCCAACCTCAAGCCCATGTCTTTTCTTTTTTTCTTTTTTTTTGTGGGGGGATGGGATAATGCTCTGTTGCCGAGGCTGGAGTGCAGAGGTGCAATCAGAGCTCACTGCAGTCTTGATCTCCTAGGCTTAAGCAATCCTCCTGCCTCAGCCTCCCCAGTAGCTAGGACTACAGGTGCATGCCATTATGCCTGGCTGATATGGTTTGGCTGTGTTTCCACCCAAATCTCATCTCGAATTGTAGTTCTGATAATCCCCATGTGTCGTGGGAGGGACTGGGTGCGAGGTAATTGAATCATGGGGGCAGTTACCCCCATGCTATTCTCGTGATAGTGAGTTCTCATGAGATCTAATGGTTTTATAAGGAACTTTCCCCTTTTGCTTGGAACTTCTTCTTCCTGCCATCACAAGATGTGTTTGCTTCCCCTTCTGCCATGATTGTAAGTTTCATGAGGCCTCCCCAGCCGTGCTGAACTGTGGGTCGATTAAACCTTTCCTCCTTTATAAATTACCCAGTCTCAGGTAGGTCTTTATTAGTAGCATGAGAAGGGACTAAAACAGTGGCTATTTTTTTATTATTTTGTAGAGACAGGGGATCTCGCTATGTTGCCCAGGCTGATCTTGAACTCTTGGCCTTAAAGGATCCTCCAATTTTGGCTTCCGAAAGTACCGGGATTACAGGCATGAGCCACTGTGCCCAGTCCTTGCTTATTTTTAACATTTTGCCTCTTATTTATTATTTTATTTTTTTGAGATGGAGTCTTGCTCTGTTGCTCAGGCTGGAGGGCGGTGGCACAATCTTGGCTCACTGCAAGCTCCGCCTCCCGGGTTCATGCCATTCTCCTGCCTCAGCCTCCTGAGTAGCTGGGACTACAGGTGCCCGCCACCATGTCCAGCTAATTTTTTGTATTTTTAGTAGAGACGGAGTTTCACTGTGTTAGCCAGGATGGTCTCGATCTCTTGACCTTGTGATCCGTCCGCCTTGGGCTCCCAAAGTGTTGGGATTATAGGCGTGAGCCACCATGCCTGGCTTTATTTATTATTTTTAATTGACAAGAGTCTTGCTCTATTGCTCAGGCTGGTCTCGAACTCCCGAGCTCAAGTGTTCCTCCTGTCTCAGCCTCCCAAAAGTGTTGGGATCACAGGCGTGAGCCACCACGCCCGGCCAGCTTTTTTTTTTTTTTTTTAACCCGTGGTCTTGAATGCTGGGTGCTCACACCTGGGTGTGCAAAAGTCATTGGGATGAGGCAAGAAACATAAAAAAAACCCTATTCATATTCATAATTTTAAAATGGAATAATTTAAGCTTTATTACTAACATACAGATAATAGTATCTGTATATATTTATAAATAAATATACACATATTGGGAATACATGCCCAAATACCATTTATTCTTAGGTGCATAATCAAATAAGGAAGGCTGCCATTGCTTTCACCTGCTAAGTGGGTCTCCAAGCCCCTCTTGGGGACCATGACTAGAGAGGGGCATAGTGGGTAAGACAATTGTGGGCTCCAGAGCCTGACCACCTGGGTTCAAGCCCCCGATCTGCCCCTTCCTAAGCTGCCTGACCTTGAGCAAGTGACTTCACGATTCTGGCCTCAGCTTTTTCATCTGTGTAATGAAAATAATAGCAGCTGTCACTTCAGAGGGCTGAGGTGAGGGACGCATTAGTTGATCCAGGTGAAACACTGAGAATGGTGCCTGGTACCCAGTAGGTGCTCAGTGAGTGTGAGCTATGGTTATTGTCTACACTGCCGTGCAAGTGGGGAATTAGGTGCAGACAGCTGAAATAATGAGGTATTAGTCATGAGTGGAGCTGCGATTCAGAAGTCGGTTCTTTTTCTTTTTTAAAAATAGAGACGGGGTCTTGGCATGTTGCCGAGGCTGGTCTCAGACTCCTGGGCTCAAGCGATCCTCCCACCTCGGCCTCCCAAAGTGCTGGGATTACAGGCGTGAGCCCCCGCGCCCGGCCCAGCACCCGGTTCTCGACCACAGCCGCACCTCGGAGCTCTGAGCATTTCCTCCTCTGCAAGACTGAAATACTTCTATTCAGTCTTGAATAGAACAGTTAAGAGTAGCATGCAGGTCACAGGGCTCTCCCAGGAGGGAAGGAGGTCGCAGTCCAAAAGAAGGGGAGGTGGTCACTGCTGTCCGCCTCCCACAGGGGCTTGGAGAGAAGTCCAAAGGCTCAAGAGAGTAGATGGCTATGGAACACAGGCCCTGGGCGTACTGTCGCCCGGGCAGCCACAGTGGGCCACCAGGAGCGGGACCGGCGCGCCCTCTAGTGGCGGAAGCAACCCCTGCAGCCAAGGGTCCCGCATCCTGGAAGCAACTGAGGCACAGAGAGACTGCGACGCCCCCCCAGGCCCACCTGGCTCCGAAGCGATAGAGCCAGGATTTGAATCTCGCCAGTCTGGCTCCAGAGCCTGCACTGTTTCCAAAACTCTGCCCCTGCCCTAGAGCGCAGGGCTCTCGGAATCTTGGGCAGAACACTTTTTTCGGGTCTGGGGCTGTGCTGGGCCCTGCGGGACGGCGTGACATCCCCGTCTCCCTCCATGACTGAGATGACCCAGGATGTCCCCACGCATATCCACGGCTCCCAGTGGGCATGACCATTTGATAAATCTGGAGGTCGCTTCCCATCCTCGTCCTGGTGCTCTCCTCCTGCCAATGCCAGCCTTCTCTCATGCTCTCCTTAGAATTTCTTTCTTGGTCAGTTTCCCCCTTCCCCTCTCCGCGACATCCCTCCACCCCTCACCGCTCACACAGAGCTTCTCCACATCCAGACAGACCCCCGAAAAACAAAGGCGAGGTTATCAGGGCTTCAGCCGCTTCCCGTCAGACTCAGCAGTGCCGGGTTGGGGTACTGGGGGTTCTCGATGACCCCGGGCCCGAACTTGAGCTCCAGGAAGCGGCGGTAGTTGTTAGGCGCCTGCGCCACGAAGCCGGCAAAGGGCAGGGGCACCAGCGGCTGCAGGAAGTGCTCGGGAAACTCCACATCCTGCCGGTGGTCCAGCCACGTGTCCTTGGTCATGACGCCATTGCGGGGGTAGAAGGGCCACAGGTCCACGTGCAAGTGGTTGCTTTCGCTGTACTGCACGCGGAAAAAGTCGCCCTCGACCGCCTTCTCCCATACGAAGCCGCGCTCATCCACCACCGAGCCGGCCTCTGCCCCCCGCAGCTGCTCGCAGTTGCCCACGTCCTCCAAGTAGATGCCCAGGTCCACGTCGTAGTCCCATGGGATGATGTCCCCGTGGCGGGCGGCCCCCAGCAGTGAGCCGCCCTCGAGCCAGTAGCGCACGCCCGCAGCCTCCAGCACGCCCACCACATAGCGGGCGGTCTCGCGCAGCGCGCGCAGGCAGCAGGGGGGCGTCCAGCGCTCCTCGTAGAGGTAGGCGGGCGTGTCGCCCACCACGGTTCCGAAGCAGCGCGTGGTCTCCTTGTTGCAGCCGAACCACTCCAGCCGCCCGCCTTCCCAGCTCACTAGGCGGATGCCCAGCGCGCGGAGCAGCGCCGCCCGCCGAGCGCGTCCCTCGCGCTCAGCCTTCCAGCGCGCGTGGGCCGTGGCCAGCGGGGGCTGGCGCGCCGCGGCGAAGGTCAAGTCCAGCAGCTGCACCGCCCAGCCGCGAAGGGCGGTCTGCAGAAAGAGGCTGGTGCCCACCGGCCGGGCCAGGGGCGCCGAGAGGTTGAAGAGGTCGCGGGCGCGCAGGAGCACCACAGCATCTCCGTCCAGGGCGTCGCAGCGGGGCGCGGCGGGGGCTGCGCCATAGCGGGCGGTCCACTCTCGCAGGCTGACGTTCAGGGCCAGGCACCTGGCAGGGTTGGCCGTGGCAACCGGGGCGGCCACCAGACGTGCGCTTCCTGCGCGGAGCGCCTCCACCATGCGCTCCAGCAGGCCAGGTGCCTCAGCCCGCGCCCCATCAGGTACTAGGGCCACAAACTCGGTGGCCACGTAGGTCTCCGGGCGCGAGGCTGCGGCTGGCCGGTCCAGGGCGGGCTGGAGCAGCGCCAGACGCACGTTGGGGATGCGGGGCAGGGCCAGGGGCGGGTAGGGGAGCGTGTCGGCTGCCACCACCACGGGCTGGGCTGGGTCTTGCTGCAGGAAGGAGTCTACCAGCTCGGGCACCGCGTTGTCAAATGCCTCGAACTCCCGCACCAGGACGGTGACACGGGGGCCGGCAGCAGAGGCACGACGGGGCCCCCGGGCCCGGGAATTCCTAGGCTGGTGCTGCAGCCACGAGACATAGAAGAGGACCAGAAGGTTGAGGGTGATGGCGGCCGCCAGGGCAGCCTGGCAGCGGGTGAGCCGCATGGGGCCGAAGTCTGGGGCTAGCTGGGCCTCCGGGGCATCCTGGGGGAGGGGGACGAAAGGGAAGGCAGCAGCTGATTGTCAGAACCACCCCCTTCTGCCACCCTCAGCCTTGCCCCTTTCTACAGCTCTTTCTCAATTCCCTTTCTTTTCCCTATTTGGTTTCAGCTTTGACTTCCCCTTCTCCAGGAAGCACTCCCTGACCTCCCAGTCTGGGCCATGCACCAACTCTGGGTGTCCTCAGAATTTTTTTTTTTTTTTTTAAACAGAGTGAGTCAAACTAATAGAAACATAAAGTAGAATGACGGGTGCCAGGGGTTGCAGGCAGGGGGGAATGGGGAGTTGTTTGATAAGTACAGAGTTTCAGTTTGGGAAGATGAAAAGGTCCCAGAGGTTTGTTGGCACAACAGTATGAATGCATTTAACACTACTGAACTGTGTGCTGAAAAATGGTTAAGATGGTACATTTAATGTTATATATACTTAATCAGAATTTAAAAAAAATTTTAAGTGGGGTGCTGAAAAATATAAATGAAAAAAAAAGGTTAGGCTGGGCGCGGTGGCTTATGCCTGTAATCCCATCACTTTGAGAGGACAAGGCAGGTGGATTACCTGAGGTCAGGAGTTTGAGACCAGCCTGGCCAACACGGTGAAACCCCATCTCTACTAAAAATACAAAAGTTAGCTGGGTGTGAGGGCGGGTGCCTGTAAGCCCAGCTACTCAGGAGGCTGAGGCAGGAAATCGCTTGAACCTGAGAGATGGAGGTTGCAGTGAGCGGAGATGGCACCATTGCACTCCAGCCTGGGCAACACAGCGAGACTCCGTCTCGAAAAATAAATAAATAAATAAATAAACAAACCAATTTAAAACAAGAAAAACAAAACAAAAGTGGGGTGGGCCAGGTATGGTGACTCACGCCTGTGATCTCAGCAATTTGGGAGGCCAAGGCAAGAGGATCACTTGAACCTGGGAGGTGGAGGTTACAGTGAGCCGAGATGGCACCGTTGCACTCCAGCCTGGGCAACAGAGTGAGACTGTCTCAAAAAATAAATAAATAAATAAATAAATAAATAAATAAAAATTAAAAAAAAAAAAGAAAAAACAAAAGTGGGGTGGGCCAGGTACAGTGACTCACACCTGTGATCCCAGCAATTTGGGAGGCCAAGGCAGGAGGATCACTTGAGTCCAGGAGTTCGAGACCAACCTGAGTAACATAAGGAGACTTCATCTCTACAAAAAATAAAAAATTAGCTGGGTGTGGTGCTACTCACCTATGGTCCCAGCCACTCAGGATGCTGAGGTGGGGGGATGGCTTGAGCCAGTGAGCCATGATCATGCCACTGCACTCAGCCTGGACAAGAGTGAGACCCTGTCTCAAAATACCCAACAACAACAAAAAACTGGGGTAGCTTGCATCAAAAGAGGCTGCCAACCTTAGGACACTCCCCTCCACATTCATTGGCCACACCCTCAAGCACCAGATGGCGCTGTCTCCTTGTCCCCACCGAGACTGAAGATTTGGCTGGCCGGTCTCCAGCACAGGTGGTATAGCTCTGGGTTCCAAGCAGATGATCAAATAATTTCCCCATGAAGGCTTTTTGTAGGTTTCTGCCCTTCCTAGAGAGAGGGGGCATCCAACTAACCTCCCTATGTCCTAAATCCTCTGTCCCCTCCTCCCCATTTCCACAGCTCCCTCCTCAACCAGGTCCACCCACATTCCCATCCAACCTCCCCCTGGTCTCCTGGCAATTCCTCTCCCCGTGATAGCCAGAGGAGTCTTCCTAAAGCACAAGTTGGACCTCTCCTTCCCCTGCTCTGAACTTGCCATGGCTCCCAGTGCCCAGGGGAGAAAGTGGAAGCTGCTTCTGACATTCCCCTTGTCTGCCCCCCATTCCACCCTCATCTCTTGCCATGCTTTCCCCAACCTGTATGTTTAAGTCACCCTGAACATTTTCTCAAACTGCTCTTATTTCTTTTCTTTTCTTTTTTTTTTTTGAGATGGAGTCTCCCTCTGTTGCCCAGGCTGGAGTGCAGTGGCAGCTATCTCATCTCACTGCAACCTCTGCCTCCCGCGTTCAAGCGATTCTCCTGCCTCAGCCTCCTGAGTAGCTGGGATTACAGGCATGCGCCACCACACCCGGCTAATTTTGTATTTTTAGTAGAGACGGGATGTTGGTCAGGCTGGTCTCGAACTCCTGACCTCAGGTGATCCACCCGCCGTGGCCTCCCAAAGTGCTGGGATTACAGGCGTGAGCCACCGCGCCCAGCCAAAAACAATTTTTTTTTTTTTGAGACGGAGTCTCACTCTGTTGCCAGGCTGGAGTGCGGTGGTGCGACTGGCTCACTGCAACCACCGCCTCCAGGGTTCAAGCGATTCTCTTGCCTCAGCCTCCTGAGTAGCTGGGACTACAGGCGCGTGCCACCATGCCCGGCTAATTTTTGTATTTTTAGTAGAGACGGGTTTTCACCATGTTGGGCAGGATGGTCTCAATCCCTTGACCTCATGATCTGCCTGCCTTGGCCTCCAGAAATGTTGGGATTACAGGAGTGAGCCACCACACCCAGCCAAAATATATATATTTTTTAAACGGACAGCGTCTTGCTCTGCTGCCCAAGCTTGAGTGCAGTGGTGCAATCACGGCTCACTGCAGCCTCGAATTCCTGTGTTCAAGCCATCCTCCTGCCTCAGTCTCCCGAGTAGCTGGGACTACAGGCATGCAATACTGTGCCTGGCTAATTTTTCAAACACATTTTTGTGGAGACTGGCTCCCACTATATTGTCCAGGCTGGTCTCGAACTCCTGACCTCAAGTGATCCTTCCGTCTCGGCCTCCCAAAGTGCCAGGATTACAGGCGTGAGTCACCATGTCCTTTCTAATCTTTAGAATCCTGGAATTGCCTTCTGGACCTTAGATTGATTCTTCCTTCCTTCAATCCTTCAACATCTATTTGTTGAACTCCTACAACATGCCAGGCACTGTTCTAGGCACTGGAGAGAGAGCAACAGATGCTCAGAGACAGACAACATTCCTGCCCTTGTGGAGCTCCCATTAGTGCAGGGGCAGGAACCTTTGCAACCACAGAACCTCAAGCCCTTCAAAATCTTAGAGTTTAGGTACATAGGAGCTCCGAACACACATGAGATGGTTAGTCTGCATATCCTTGAAGGTCACAGCAAGAGACTGTCTTCCCGCTTCTGTTCCTGTGGTCTGTTCCTCATTCAGCACCTCGAGAGATCCTGTCACAACTCACATTTCATCCTGTCCTGGCTCTGCTCAGGCCCTTCTGTGGCTGGCACCTCGCAGGAAAAGCCAAGGTACTCAATGTGGCCCATAAGGCCCCGCGTGATCTTCCATCCTTTCCTACTCACTCACTCAGCTCTAGGAACATTGGCCACCAACACCATCTTTCAAACACACCTGGGACACTCCAGCTGCAGAACTGCCTGTTGCCTCTGTCTGAGTGTTCTTATCCCAGATAGCCACAGGCGATCCACCCCACTGCGCCGGCCCCCACCCCCATCACTCCAATGTCACCTTCCCATAACCTCTTCCTTTGGCCATCCTATTTAAAAATGCATCTTGGTGGGCTGGGCATGGTGGCTCATGCCTGTAATCCCAGCACTTTGGGAGGGCGAGGTGGGCAGATCGCCTGAGGTCAGGAGTTCAAGACCAGCCTGGCCAACATGGTGAAACCCCATCTCTACTAAAAATACAAAAAATTAGCCAGGCGCGGTGGCGGGCGCCTGTAGTCCCAGCTACTCGGGAGGCTGAGGCAGGAGAATGGCGTGAACCCGGGAAGCGGAGCTTGCAGTGAGCCGAGATTGTGCCACTGCAGTCCGCAGTCCGGCCTGGGCGACAGAGCAAGACTCCGTCTCAAAAAAAAAAAAAAAAAAAAATACAAAAAAGTTAGCTGGGCATGGTGACAGGCGCCTGTAATCCCAGCTACTTGGGAGGCTGAGGCAGGAGAATTGCTTGAACCCAGGAGGCAGAGGCTGCAGTGAGCTGAGACCATGCCATTGTACTCCAGCCTGGGCAACAACAACAAAACTCTGTCTCAAAATAAGTAAATAAACAAAAAAATGCATCTTGGCCAGGTGCAGTGGCTCACACCTGTAATTCCAGCACTTTGGGAGATTGAGGTAGGCAGATCGCTTGAGACCAGGAGTTTCAGATCAGCCTGGACAACATAGTAAGATGCCATCTCTACAAAAAATAAACAAAACTAACTGGATGTGATGGCTTGCACCTGTAGTCCCAGTTACTTAGGAGGCTGAGGTAGGAGGATCACTTGAGCTGGGGAAGTCAAGGGTGCAGTGAGCTGTGATGGCGCCACTGCACTCCAGCCTGGGCAATAGAGCGAGACCTTGTCTGTCTTTAAAAAAAAAAAAAAAGCATCTCCCATGTACTTCCTATCCCCCATTCCTGCTTTATTTTGCTCCCCTAGTAGTTATCACGTGGATTTTACTTAGCTTGTTTGTTGTCAGAATCTCCATGGAAGGCAGGGAATCTGTTTTCTTCCCTACTGTATCCCCAGAGCACAGCTCAGTGCTTGGTGCATAGCAGGTGCTCAATAAATACGTGTTGAATGAATGAGTGACTTGAATTATTAAGATAAGGAACGTGGGCTGGGTATGGGGGCTCACTCCTGTAATCCTAGCACTATGGGAAGCTGAGGCAGGAGGATCGCTTGAGCTCAGGAGTTCAACACCAGCCTGGGCAATATAGCAAAACCCCGTCTCTAAAAAAATACAAAAATCAGCCAGGCGTGGTGGTGCCTACCTGTGGTCTCAGCTACTTAGGAGGGAGGCTGAGGCAGGAGGGTCCCTTGAGCCCAGGAGGTGGAGGCTGCAGTGAGCTGTGATTCAGCCACTGCACTCCAGCCTGGGCGACAGAGCGAGACCCAGTCTCAAAAACGAAAGATAGGAACCTCTGGCTCAGAGAGATAAGAAGGATGCAGGGTCGAGAACCGAGGTCTCCGCTTCTGAGGCCCTGGCTCTTGCCACACTGTCTGACTGACTCTGGGCCAGGAAGGAGGTGCCCAGCAGGGCAGAGGACAGCAGCCAGGTCCTGGCTACCCTCAGGCCCAGCACAACTCTTGGCCCTCGCAGACCAGACACCAGCAGATTTGATGGCCAGATGAAGAGGTGCCACCTGCTGGTGAGGGTGTGAGGGAACCTGAGGCGGGGAAAGGAATCATCTAGTACCCTGATAAAGCCATGCAGACTTCACCGCCTCTAAGGGCAACAAACCCCTTCGTTGGGGCAAAGTGGATACAATGATGATTTTGAAGGTCTGAATGTTCTACATTTTTCTGAATCGGGAGGATAATAATAACAATTCTAGCAGCTCACCATGTGCCAGGCCCTGTTCTAAGCACTTTAGGCATATTCACTTGTTTAATCCTCGTGTTATGATCACATTTAAAAATGGAAACCAGCCGATGTGGTGGCTCATGCCTGTAATCCCAGCACTTTGGGAGGATGAGGCTGGGGGAGATTGCTTGAGCCTGGGAGTTTGAGACCAGCATGGACTGGTAAGACCCCGTCTCTACAAAAAAATTTAAAAAATTAGCCGGGCATGGTGGTGTGCACCTGTAGTCCCAGCTACTCTGGTGGCTGAAGTGGTAGGATTACTTGAGTCTAGGAGGCAGAGGTTGCAGTGAGTTGAGATTGTGCCACTGCACTCCAGCCTGGGTGACAGAGCCAGACTCTTTTTTTTTTTTTTTTTTGAGACGGAGTCTCGCTTTGTCACCAGGCTAGAGTGCTGTGGCACAATCTCGGCTCGCTGCAACCTCCAACTCCCTGGTTCAAGGGATTCCCCTGCCTCCGCCTCCTGAGTAGCTGGGATTACAGGCATGCGCCACCATGCCCGGCTAATTTTTGTATTTTTAGTAGAGATGGGGTTTCACTATGTTGGCCAGGATGGTCTCAATCTCCTGACCTCGTGATCCGCCCGCCTCAGCCTCCCAAAGTGCTGGGATTACAGGCGTGAGCCACCGCGCCTGGCCTCGAGACCTTATCTCAAAAAAAAAAAAAAAAAAAAAGGAAACAAAGGCACAGAGAGTTAAAGAGTTAAAGTCTCTTATTCAAGGTCACACAATGTGAAGTAGTGGACCCAAGAGTTGATCCAAGAAGCTGGCTACAGAGTCGTACTTTAAACCAGTAAACTTTACCTTCTCTCTTGGGTTCTTTCTGAAGCCCCAACTCTCAGCCCATCTTTAGTGAGCCTTCCCCAGCCCTAACCTGACAGGGGCTTTCAAAGCTTGGCTATGGCACATTAATAAATTAATTCAACTCAGTAACTCAACAAACTCAAGTATTCTTTGTGGTGGACCCCATGTTTTGAGGATACAGAATGAACGAGGTACTCATTAGGTCAGCCCTCCAGAAGACAGAAAGAAGACTGACAGGGCCACGTGTGGTGGCTCACACCTGTAATCTCAGTACTTTGGGAGGCCCAGGCGGTCAGATCACCTGAGGTCAGGAGTTAGAGACCAGCGTGGGCAATATGGTGAAACCCCCTCTCTACCAAAAAATACAAAGATTAGCTGGGCATGGTGGTGCGCACCTGTAATCCCAGCTATTGGGGAGGCTGAGGTGTGAGAATCACTTGAACTCAGGAGGCGGAGGTTGCAGTGAGCCGAGATTGCTCCACTTCACTCTAGCCTGGGTGAGACCCTGTCTCAAAACAAACAAACAAACAAAAAAAAGACGGACAAAAGCCATGCAACTTACAGACAGGGCAGGAAACCAGCAGGGGGCGCAAGAGTAGAAACAGGGGGCTTGCCTTAGAAATGGTAGTCAGAGGGGACAGTTACTCTGAGAGTTTACTTGTCTCTCCAGTCCCCACAAAACAAGGTAAATGAATCCAAATTCTCTTCAGGCCTTGGGTTCACTGGGTCTGAGTTGCGATTTGGCCTGAGCCTCAGTCCCTGCACCTGTGGAATGGGAATGTGACGGTTAGAAAAAAATGAGAGGGCTGGGCGCGGTGGCTCACGCCTGTAATTCTAGCATTCTGGGAGGCCGAGGCGGGCGGATCACGAGGTCAGAAGTTCGAGACCAGCCTGCCAACAAGGTGAAACCCCATCTCTATTAAAAATACAAAAAATTAGCCGGGCGTGGTGGCAGGTGCCTGTAATCCCAGCTACTCGGGAGGCTGAGGCAGGAGAATCGCTTGAACCAGGGAGGTGGAGGTTGCAGTGAGCCATGACCGCGCCACTGCATTTCAGCCCGGGCAACAGAGCGACACTCCGTCTCAAAAAAGAAAGAAAGAAAAAGAAAAAAATGAGAGACATGGGAAAGCCTTAAGGAATGAGGAAGGGCAGTTTCCATGAGAGTGTAGGTGACACTGAGGGACTTCTTACCTCCTAGGTTGTAGGCTGGGGGAGTTCCAGGAGGGCAGTTCCAGCCCAGCTGAGCTGCGCTCCTGAGAGGAGGAGAACCAGAAAATCCCAAATCAGCCATTTCCGTACAATAGAGCACAATTTCATCTTATCCACAAAAGTGGCAAGAGAAAGGTCAGGGAATCCTTTCTCTTGAAGTCCTATAATCTCGGGCACCACCTGGGGTGTCTCAGGAGTGGGGTGGGGTGAATGGGAGGGATGTCAGTTATTATAGCAACCTATAACCATCCCTCTAGCATGAATGTGTCCAGAAAAGGTAGGGCTAGAAGCCAACAGAAGCTGTTACCATGACAACCCCTTCCATAGACACACTCTACCTCTGAGAGACATTCTTAAAACATCCCCTGGCCGGGCGTGATGGCTCACACCTGTAATCCCAGCACTTTGGGAGGCCGAGGCGGGCCTGAGGCAGATCACCTGAGGTCGGGAGTTCAAGACCAGCGTGACCAACATGGAGAAACCCCGTCTTTACTAAAAATAAAAAAAAAATTAGCCGGGCGTGGTGGCGCATGCCTGTAATCCCAGCTACTTGGGAGGGTGAGGCAGGAGAACGGCTTGAACCGGGGAGGCGGAGGTTGTGGTGAGCCGAGATTGGGCCATTGCATCCCAGCCTGGGCAACAAGAGTTACACTCTGTCTCAAAAAAAAAAAAAAAAAAAAAAATCCCCTCCTTTGTTGGGCTTGGTTCCTAGGGTCACTCGAAGGGGGCTGCTCTATTATCATAGTAACCAGGCCTTGAACTTGCCTGTTTCTCACCTTCCGGAGGAAGGTCCAGGCCCTGTAACCATAGCAACTGCCCCTCAGCAGAGCATCTCCTCTAAATAAAAACACCTGGTTAGTTTGGTGCATGGGCCTCCCACGATGGGAAGGGGAAGACGGTTACCATGGTAATGCCAACTAGGTGGCTATGGGGGAGGGGCTGGGGAAGAGGTGCTTCTCTTAGAGATCAGTGTCCTTGGGGCTGGGGTCCTTTCTACCTGAATGCTAGGTGGGGGGGAGGTTGCCATAGTAATCAATGAGGATAGGAGCAGAAGGACCACCACGGACACTTAGGTTACCTTAGCAACCTTCTCCTGGTGCAGAGTCCTAAGAGGTTTGGGGCTCCATAACCACAAAGGTGGAAGCGAGGGGAAGGCTGCTCCCCACCACCTCGCCCCCACCGCTGGGGAAGGGTTACCATGACAACCAACCTGGCCGGCAATCAGAGAGGATGGGGCCACTGCTGGTCGCCCTTTCTCTCAGAGTAAAAGTAATTGTCCAGGAGAGTGGTGTTTGGGTGTGGAAGGGGTAAGGCTCTTTCTCTGGGGCGAAGTGGGAGGAGGGGGGCAGAAAGCGGCCCCTTCCTCAGTCTCACTCCAGCGAGGGGGACCGTCGCGCGGGGCCTGGGTCTCCCTCGCCCTCCTCGGGGCGCGATCTCCCACCCGCCGGCCCCCGCGCGGGCACGCTACCCTTCGGTGTAGACCCGGGTGGGCGAGGCTCGCGCTCGCCGCCGGCCCCCCTTCCTACTGTCCCCCGCCGGGCGCGCGCGCGGTGGTTGCGGCGGGGGAGGGGGGGGGGTGTTGGCGCGGCCGCGCAGGCGCGCGAGGCACAGCGGGCGCGCAGGCCGGCCCCGGGGCCTCCATGATGGAGGAGCGAGCGGCCGCCGCGGTCGCCGCCGCCGCCTCCTCCTGCCGTCCGCTCGGCTCAGGCGCGGGCCCTGGCCCCACTGGGGCGGCCCCGGTCTCCGCCCCTGCCCCCGGGCCGGGCCCGGCAGGTAAGGGAGGCGGCGGCGGAGGCAGCCCCGGGCCCACGGCGGGCCCGGAGCCCCTGAGCCTGCCGGGGATCCTGCACTTTATCCAGCACGAGTGGGCGCGCTTCGAAGCCGAGAAAGCCCGCTGGGAGGCCGAGCGCGCCGAGTTACAGGTGAGCGCTGTCCCGGGACCCCCGACCCCCAACCCGGCCCGGCCCGGCCCGGCCTCACCCGCTGCCGCCGCCGCCGCCATCTTGGAGCAATGGCCGCCGGGACGGCCGGCGGGGGGGCGGGAGGGGACCGCGACGGTCCCGGAGGGCGAGTGAGGGGCCGTCCGAGGGGTGTCCTGAGGGCACTCCGGGGTGGGACGGGACCGGGACGGCCCGAGGTGGGAGTGGAGGGACCGGGGGTGGGAGGGATCACCGGGACCGGCCGAGAGAAAGGGGCGGAGGGACCACAACCAGCTGGGAGTGGGACTGGGACTGGGACTGAGCACGCTGGCCGCGGGGCTCCTGAGAGAGGCGACTCGAGCCCTGGAGGGGAGGCTAAGAGAACTCGGGAAAGGGTGTGGAGAGGAGCTGGAGGGGTCTGGGAGACCTGAGTGGTCTCCTGTGGGAGTAAGCAGAAGCTTGCCGGGCGCCGAGGGACTCCCGACCCCGACCCCGACCATGGCCCTAGCCAGGTGCAGGTTGGAGGTGGGAGCGTCCAAGGGGGGAACTTGGGACCCGCTGGGAAAGAGCGGGTCCAGATGGGGAACCGGGAGGATTTAGGGAGAGGAAGTCGGGAACCTGGGATCGGTGTGTTTCGGGGCGACTGGACGGTGGGCACGGAAGGAGGGCTGTGTAAGGACCCGAGGGGTGGGAGGAGGGTTTCAAGGGGTCCAGGATGAAGGTGTGTGCCTTCCCCTCTGAGGAGAAACTTTGGGGATCCCGGGCATGTGTGGCTGCACAGTGCAGGGAAGGGTTCTTTGGAGTGGAAGTGTGGACAGAGCAGGGAATGTACCCTAGGAGCCTGGATGGGAGAGCTTAAGAGTGGAAGTTCCACTTTGGGGGTGTGCAGGAGTGGGCGCGATGGCACTGAGATGGCACGTGTGTTGTAGGATGTAGGTAGAGAGCCCTGAACTGGAGTGTGGGGTGTTGGGCATGTCCAGTATGGAGGTGAGGGTCCTGGGATGGTGCCAATGAGGACGAGTTAGGGGTTACCCTGGGGTGATGCTTTAGGGGGGAGAATTTTGTAGAGCCCGAAGGCAACATGAGGAGGCATCTCGGAACGGGGGTAGACTGGGGTTGGGGGGAAGGGGATATGTTTGTGGAAGTCTTGGGAAAAGACCCCGTGGTTTTTGGGGTAGCTTGGGACAGGGATGTTGAATGGAAGAGTCTGAGGAGTTGGGCTAGGGTTTGTGACCTCGTGGAGCGTCAGGTCCATTGGCAGTGACTGGAGGACCATGGAGATGTCCGGATTTGAAGGGATCAGGAATGGCCCGCTGGAAGTCTGAAGATTCTTGGACTGGGTTATTATTAGCAGAAATTGTCATTACCTGCTTGTAGCAGCCCACCTTTCCCCTTCCGATTTGCCGTTTGCTATCTAGTAGGAAGCTGGTACCCAAATAAATAGCTGATGAGAATTGTGTCGGTAGGGATGGGGTGCGGTGGCTCACGCCTGTAATCCCAACACTTGGGGAGGTTGAGGTGGGAGAATCCCTTGAGCCCAGGAGTTCGAGGCCAGCCTGGCCAACATAGCAAGACCTCATCTCTACAAAAAAGTACAAAAATTAGCCGGGTGTGGTGACATGCGCCTGTAGTCCCAGCTACTCAGGAGGCTGAGGTGGGAGGATTGCTTAAACCCCGGAGGTTGAGGCTGCGGTGAGCCATGATTGCACCACTGCACTCCAGCCTGGGCAAAAGAGTGAGATCCTGTCTCAAAAAAAAGCATTTTGTTCATAGGATGAGTAAAGACCCTCCAGTAACTCTCCCCCTGCCCTCACTTGTGGTGGCTGAGGCTTGGGGCTGGGATGGGAGCAGAATCCTTATGTAACTGCTCTCACTTCTGTCCCACTCTCTACTTCCGAAGCTCTTTCCCAGCATACATCTCATCAGATCTTCACAATGCCCTGTGATGTAGGCAGAGGCAGTGTCATTACCTCACTCAGCAATAACGGTACCAGCTGCAATTTAGTGAGCACATACCATGTCTGGGGCGCTGTATCAAGTACTGTAGATACGAGCTGTCATTTAATTCTTGCAGCATTCTGGGAGGATAAAGGATATTCCCCCTACCTTTAAAAAAAATCAGGAGAGGAAATGGAGGTTTTGAGAGGGTGATTTATCTAGGATCCCAGCAGATGAGCAGAAGGGCTGGTCTGTGGTGGACCTTTTGTTTATTTATTTATTTATTTATTTATTTTTATTTTTATTTTTTTGAGACAGAGTCTCACTCTGTCACCCAGGGTGGAGTGCAGTGGCATGATCTTGGCTCATTGCAACCACTGCCTCCCAGGTTCAAGCGATTCTCCTGCCTCAGCCTCGCAAGTAGCTGGGATTACAGGTGTGCACCACCACCACGCCTGGCTGATTTTTGTATTTTTAGTAGAGATGGGGTTTTGCCACGTTGGTCAGGCTGGTTTCGAACTCCTGGCCTCAAGAGATCCACCTGCCTCGGCCTCCCAAAGTGCTGGGATTACAGGCATAAGCCACCATGCCCGACCGTCGGTAGACTTTTAAGCCCATGTTCTGTACCTCTCTGCTACCCAGTACAGTTGAGAAAATTGGTTCAGGCAAGCATAGTGGCCTCCCCAGGGTCACCCAAGCAGTCATAGCAGAGCTTGGACTGAATCTTGGCCTCTGGGACTTTGCACCAGTGCACCGCACAGCACCCACCACACCATCTTCTCATCCTGGAGGCTGATGAGAGAAAAGATGTTTATCCCCTCACTTACTGACCCTTCTTGGAGTTTGAGAGGAACTTGTGTCTGGCATGGTACCAGCACTGTCACTTTGTACTTTTGTTTTCTTTTATTCTGTTAAGTTAGTAAAAATTCAGACATCTCAGAGGGGTGTGTGTGTGTGTGTGAGTGTGTGTATACACATATATATGTAAGTGAAAAAGGAAAGTTCCTTCTCTTCGTCCCTTTCCTGCTCTTCTCTCCTGAGAGAGAAGAGTTATTGTGCTTATGTAATAGATGAACTACTGCTGTATGTATCATTTTGTGACATAATAATCTGTTTTGGTTTTCCTTTCATATCAGCACAGAGAACTCTTTCTTTTTGATAGCTGCATAGCGTCCCACGGGATGTTTGCACCATAGCTGATTGAGTTTGACCCTGGTTGGTGGACTTTTAGATTTTTTCTAGTTTTTCCCCCATCAGACATGGCTGCAGTGAGAACCCCTTATTCCTGTGCAAGAATGAAGCAGAACAGATGAGTGGAATAGTAGAATGGATGTGTTTATGAAACAGTGATTGGGCTGGGCGCGGTGGCTCGCGCCTGTAATCCCAGCACTTTGAGAGGCCAAGGCAGGTGGATCACAAGGTCTGGAGTTCAAGACCAGCGTGGCCGATATGGTGAAACCCCACCTCTACTAAAAATACAGAAATTAGTCGGGCGTGGTGGTGGGCGCCTGTAGTCCCAGCTACTCGGGAGGCTGAGGCAGGAGAATCGCTTGTACCCGGGAAGCAGAAGTTGCAGTGAGCCGAGATCACACCACTGCACTCCAGCCTTGGTGACAGAGCGAGATGCCATCTCAAAAAAAATAAAAATAAAAAAAGAAACAGTGAATGACTCTGCCACATTGACCCACCAGTTTACTCTCCCATCAGCGGCACCTCTTTTACACACCTTTACTTGAACACTTAGTGCTAACAGACGGTGTGACTTCCCCTGTGAGATCCCTTAAGAGCTAGGCAGTGTCAGATTTTCCTGATGGACTCTGAATAACTTTTCTCTGAAGAGCTTAATACAGCTGCTCCTAGCAGAAGACCTGCCGTGCGACCCTGCTTGGTACCTGTGTGTTGAATGGCAGAGAAGGCAGCCCCCAGGGAGGTCCTGCCAGTAGTCACCATAAGTTTGGAGCAGGAAGGTGGCGGAGCTGCAGTCTGATAATGAGCAGGCATTTGCTAGGTGGGGGATTCTGAGAAGTAAGTAACGTGGTTTCTGCCCATCCGAAACTTCCAGGCTGGCAGAGGAAGCTTGTTTGTGCAGGGGACCGCAGAGCTGTAGATGTTCATGCACAGTTGATTGTGTGGCTCTGCCCCTGTTCTGTGGCAACTCTGAGAGGGGAAGCTTTTTGAGGATGGGAGGGACCTTTTAATGAGGGATCTGAACTGGAGATTTGTATAGGAGCAGCGACAGGGACCTGCAGTGAGTGCGGTGCCAGCAGAGAATGTGCGGAGCTGCCCCTGCCCACTTCAGCTTCCTGGGGGCCCATTCCTGCCAGCAGCTGCTGAAGCTTGGGAAGGAGGCCCTTAGGAGATGCAGGGCTAGATGGCACGAAACGGGGACTCTTCCCAGCTAGCTGGGACAGGAAGCAGCGAATTCAGAGAGGCATCAGCTCCTGGGAGGACTGAATTGCTGGGACTCCTCCGAAGCCTTTAGATGTCGCCTTGCTGGGAATAGCTGGAGGGGCGGAGAGGCAGTAGCTGCCAGGTATCAGAAGGTTTTGGGAGCGCATGCTCTGCGGCTCTGGCTAGAGGGAGTGGCAGTGGGTGGATATGGTGAGCGGCACTTCCAGATCCCCGACCGACCCTCAGGCCTACCTTGGCCCTCGCAGACCAGACAGCCCGTGGGGGCTGCTGGCGTTTGCAGCGAGGGAGAGACTGGCCACTGACGCTTCCCGTTTTTGGTGGGTTTCCACCTCCCTGAGATGCTCCAACCATGTCTTTCTGGTTCTCTTTCCAGAGGCACTGGGAAAGGGACAGCAAAGCAGAGTGGGCAGCTGAGACCCTCACATCCTCATTAGGAGGAGGGAGACCACAGCTCGATGAGGCAGCAGAGGGATGAAGGGGGAACCCAGCCAGTGACAGGTCTGGTTGGGATGCCCAACTCCACCTCCTGCCCCCACAGATAGACCACTACTGTGTCCACTGCCCCGGCCTAGTCCAAGCCACTACCGTTCTGTCCTGGGATTTCTGGGACTGCCCTCATCTGTGATGGGGGTCTCTGTGTCCAGCTCTGCCGCTCTCCTGCTCCCTCCCTCTAGTCTCCCTCCAGAACTCCCTCCAGTCAGTTCTCCATGTTTTAGCTGGAGCTGCCTTTATAACATGCGAATCGGTTACCTCTCTGTACTTAAAACCCTTCCATGGCTTCACTGAGCCTTTTACAGGTTCTGAAGCAGCCATCCTGGCCTTTTTTAGAGTTCCTTAAGCCCACCATGCAGCTCTTGTCTCCGTCCTCTGCCAGCAGGGCCCTTCCCTCCCCTGGCTAACTTCTCTTCAGCTTCAGGCCTTAGCTGAATTGTCGCCTCTTGTCCCTCTTCCCATAGCGTCCTTCGCTCCCGCAATGGGGTCCTAGTCACATTGCATGTGAGTTGCTGCTCATGCCTGTCTCCTGCATGGGACTGAGCCCTGTGGGTGCAGGAACCACATGGCTCCTCTGTTATTCCCCAGCGCCTTACTGGGGCACCTGATGTGTGTGGGCAGTCACCAAACAGTGGCAGGTATTGACCAAGGTGTAGGTTCCCGGCAGGCTGAACTGCCCCTGGGAGGTTGAGGGATCAATCACCAAACCCCAGGAGGGAAGGGAGGAGAGTGAGGAGGAAAGTCAGGACTTGTCTTCGGTGGTCGGTCTGCCTCTCCTCACACCTTCTCCAGTGATTCAGAGAGTAGATTTGGGGGACTGAGAAGATACACAAAGGACAGAAACTCATGCTTCAGAGATGCTGATGTCATATAAGTAGTTTCCCTGTCTGGCCTTGGATGTTTATATACATATGTGTTGGTAAAAAGTGTTAAAAAGGAAAAAAATTTCCCATTCTTGAAGCGGACAGATGAGTTTTCTTTTCTATAAGGTAACTGGTGACATGTATTTCTTTTTTTTTTTGAGACGAAGTCTGGCTCTGTCGCCCAGGCTGGAGTGCAGTGGCACGATCTTGGCCCACTGCAATCTCCACTTCCCAGGTTCAAGCGATTCTCCTGCCTCAGCCTCCCGAGTAGCTGGGACTACAGGTGTGTACCACCATGCCTGGCTAAGTTTTTTGTATTTTTAGTAGAGATGGGGTTTCACCATGTTGGCCAGGCTGGTCTTGAACTCCTGACCTCAAGTCATCTGCCCACCTCAGCCTCCCAAAGGGCTGGGATTACAGGCGTGAGCCACTGTGCCTGGCCAATCCACAGACATTTCTAGTTGATCTGGGGTCTCCAAGGGATCCTACCTCCCGTAAGGAACTGGGCCCATTTCGAAGTTGCGAACAATGGACAGGGAGAATAAAAATGATGAAAGAAGTAGAAGCTGGCATTTGTTAGCCTTTATTCTGTGCCAGGCCTTGACTGAGCAGAACCTAGCACATGAGGGGAGGGCACTCTTGTGACTCTCATTTTCTAGAGGGGCAAATGGAGGCTCAGAGAAGGCTGATGACCTGCGTAAGATCATGTAGCGAGTAAGTGTCTAAGTTGGGCCTGGGCTCTGGCTGTTCTGGGCTGGAACGGTGGGGTGCTTGGGGAGAAGCCAGAGATGAGCCTTGGGCCAGGGCTTTGGCAGAAGAGCTTCTGGACCATGGTCAGGGGCCAGGATCCTGCCTGGAAGGCAGTGGGCCCAGTGTCTCCAAATGACCTGTTGACAGACTGGAGCAGACGGGGCAGCTCAAGCCAGCAGACGGTGTGAAGTGCTTGGCAGGAACCCGGGGTCGTGTCTGTGGCACATTTCTCTCACACCCTGGGCGGAATGCAGTGGGACGGCTGGTCCCCACAGCGGGCTTGGCTTGTAAAGCTTTTCTATTGGAGCAGGAGCCGAGCCGAGCCACCCACTCTTGTCCCTAAGCTCCAGAAGTAGCTTCCCACGCCTCCCAGAGACAGATGCTCTGGTAAGAATAGTGGGACGCCACCTCCACCAGCAGCCTTAGGGACAGCACCTGCCAGAGGGCGTCAGGGGTAGTCCAGGGCGGTGAATGCCCACCCTCCTCTCCACTGCCATCCCTGACCCGACTTCCCCCCAAAGGCAGCCACCAGGTGAGGCCCAGGCTGGCCCCATTGTTATCTCAGGGGTTAAGGGCTCCCCTTCGGCCCTCGTTGTGGGTGACGTGGCAGGGGGCCCTGGAAACAGATCCATCCTGTCCTCTCAGTGCTCCCTGAACCCTGGCTTGGGATCTTTGTGCCTGAGGAAGTGGCTGCTGCCCATTACTGTGGGGTGACTGTGGGCTGGCACTATACCTGGGTGAGTGATAGACACACCGGCATTGAGCCTGAGCCCCATTATCTCCCTTTGCCTCCTGTCTGCCCTCCCAGGCTCAGGTGGCCTTCCTTCAGGGAGAGAGGAAAGGGCAGGAGAATCTAAAGACGGACCTGGTGCGGCGGATCAAGATGCTAGAGTATGCGCTGAAGCAGGAAAGGTGAGCCTTCATCCTGCCCTGGGCCTGCCTTCTGGGTCCGTCTCAAGCACAGTGTCAGGAGGCCACCAGCCACGCCTCCTTCCAGCTAAGGGAGATTTGGGGTCGACATTCTTTTCCATCATTCCAGTACCATAAGATTCTAGGGGAGAAACAGGACAGAGTAGGTGGGATTTGGGTTAGACACCAGGAACGATATTCACGATGCTAGTGGCCCACTGTGCGCCAAATATCGTATAGTCCTTACCTCCGTTATCCCTTATACCTTCCAATAGCCTAACGGGTATTGTTAGCCCTGTTTCAGATAAGGAACTGGGGTTTCAAGGGCTGATGGTTTCCTCAAGGACCCCTGAGAGCAACCTAGGTTGCCTGACTCCAGGGAGTGGTTTCTTCCACCAGGCCAGGGGTGTGGGGGGATGCTTCAGCCTCAGTAGTAGACGAGCTGGGGGAGGCCCTGTGATTTGGGGTTTGGGATTCTGGATTCCTTAGGTAACTACTGACCCTGTCTACTCTCCCGCATCTCTTATTCATTAATCATTTGCTCTTTTAGGGCCAAATATCATAAACTGAAGTTTGGGACAGACCTGAACCAGGGGGAGAAGAAAGCAGATGTGTCAGAACAAGGTACCCACCCTCTGATGCTCGCACTGTCGGCACCCTCCCGCAGAAGCTGAGTGTTCTGGAGAAGCAGGAAGATGGGGTGCCTCTTTCTCACTTTGCTCCTTAGAAGGCAGAATCGGCCCCGGGGCTGGGGAGGGGCGGAATCTCACTCTCAGAGCCCTCCCTATGGGCTGCCAGGTCCCGTGCTGGACCCTGGGGGCCAGTCCCGCTTGGGTCCCCCTGTGCAACAGAGGCAGACACACGAGCAGCTCACGGGATCCCTTTGCGAGGAGTGGGCGCCAGGGCTATTTATAGAGTGCTGGGGACGGTGCGGGAAAGCCGGGGAAGACGTCACTGAGGAGGTGGCGTTTGAACAGGGTTGCCGTTCAATCGTTCATCCAAAAAAGACTTTATTTGTAGGGTACAGGCTTTGTATCACAGATCAGGAATACAGCAGAGAGCACGGGAGACATGGTCTCTACCCTCTGGTCCCTTAGAGTCTAAGCTCCTTGAAAGATGACTCCGTTCCCCAGCAGGAGAGTCAGGGGAGAGAGCACAGATACAGAGACGCACGCTGAAAGGGTTAGGGGACAGGGAGTCGGTCAGTGTGCCTGGGCAAACAGTGTAGGGCAGAGGATGTGGGAGGGCGGGCTGGGTGAGGGGGAAGCTTGGCCGAGGCAAGCTGAGAAGACCTTGTGTGCTCAGCTGATAGTGATGGTCATTACCTGCTGCCAGCTCCTCTCACTAGAACGGAAGTTCCACAAGGGCAGGTCTTTGTTTACCCATGTAGCCCAGGCCCCTGGCCAGGCACAGCGTAGATGCCCAGGAAAGACTTGAATAAAATACTAAGCAAATTATCTCATTGCATCCTCTCAGCACTCCCAAGAGGGAGATGCTGTTATCATTAAGCTCATTTCTCAGAGGACGAAACTGACACGGCTTACACTAACTCAGGGTCACACAGCTGGGATGGGGCAGAGCTGGGCTTGAACCCAGTCGGCCCTTCTCTCAGAACCAGGCCAGCTTTCTGGTTTTGAGATAACACCCTTATCTTGTCGGGGGCCAGTTTGGGGAACCACCAGTCAGGAGACCTAGAGATGAGGAACGCTTCAAGGAGGAGGAATCCCCGAGTAAGGGAAGAGAGCAGGGTTCCAACACTCAGGAAGTGATGCCACAGGACCTGCGACAGTGACCGATTTGGGTTGGAGGGGTGAGGAAGATGGAGGAGGTGATGGGTAGGTGGCAGTGGCCTGACTTAAGACAGCCTCCGTTCTCTCACCCGCCAGTCTCCAATGGCCCCGTGGAATCGGTCACCCTGGAGAACAGCCCGTTGGTGTGGAAGGAGGGGCGGCAGCTTCTCCGACAGTGAGTGTGCTCGGGGAGGGGGGCTGGGGACACGTGACACGTTTGGCTTGAGAGATAAGTCCAAAGACTCCACAGTCCTTTTCCGTCCCCACTGGGGATGCTGAACTATCAGGATCTTAGCCAGCCATGGCTGGAATGGCTTTCACCCTGTGGGCGGAGCCTGGCCTGGGGAGAGGGAGGGAAACCCGCTGCAGGAGGCAGACGTGGGGACACCCCTGTTGGAATGTGTCCCTGAATGCCTCTGTGGCTTTTTTTTTTTTTTTTTTTTTTGTCTCAGTGGCCATAGGAGCCCTGTGTGGCTTTTTTTTTTTTTTTTTTAGATACCTTGTGAAGATTTATGAAGCATGGCTTTTTATTTCCCAAGGGTAATATTAAATTATTTTTTATTTGTTAATTATTTATTTAAAGACTAATCAAATACAGTAGTGGGAAGTGGGGAGAAGGCAGATCTGTAAGTAGGTCTGTAATCAACTGTGAATCATCACAGTAACTCACCATGTTTGGACCAGCAAATTCTTAATGTTATTATTATTTATTATTATTTTTTGAGACAGTTTCTGCTCCGTTGCCCAGGCTGCAGTGCAGTGGCACGATCTCAGCTCACTGCAACCTCTGCCTCCATCCACCTCAGACGATTCTCCTGCCTCAGCCTTCTGAGTAGCTGGGATTACAGGCAGGTGCCATCACACCCGGCTAATTTTTGTATTTTTTAGTAGAGATGGGGTTTCAGCATGTTGGCCAGGCTGGTCTCAAACTCCTGAGCTCAAGTGATCCGCCTGCCTCGGCCTCCCAAAGTGCTGGGATTACAGGCATGAGCCACTGCGCCTGGCCAAATTATTATCATTATTATTATTATTTGAGACAGAGTTTCGCTCTTGTTGCCCAGGCTGGAGTGCAGTGGTGCGATCTCGGCTCACTGCAACCTCTGCCTCCCGGGTTCAAGCGATTCTCCTGCCTCAGCCTCCCTAGTAGCTGGGATTACAGGCGTGCACCACCATGCCTAGCTAATTTTGTATTTTTAGTAAAGACAGGGTTTCACCATGTTGGCCATGCTGGTCTTGAACTCCTGACCTCAGGTGATCCGCCTGCCTTGGCCTCCCAAAGTGCTGGGATTATAGGTGTGAGCCACCGCGCCCAGCCTCAAATTATTATTTTTTAATTGCTGAAGAGATTTGTGCATTTTAGAAAACTTAGAAAATATAGGAGAGCAGAGAGAAAAATCACTCATAATTTCTCCACCCAAGAAATTTCATACCCCTATAAACATTTTGCCATATATGGTCTCAGTTTCTTCCGTGGCTGTGTATTTTTGCCTCTGTTATCTTAATAAATAAATAAACTCACTCTGTCTCCCAGGCTGGAGTACAGTGGTGCAGTCAGAGCCCACAGCAGGCTTGATCTGAGCTCAAGTGATCTCCTGCCTCAGCCTCCTGAGTAGCTGGGACAACAGGCATGAGCCACACTGCTCAGTTTATGTATTTCATTTACTTATTTATTTATTTATTTTTTAATGTTTTGAGACAGAGTCTTGCTCTTTCACCCAGAGTGGAGTGCAGTGGCATAATCTCGGCTCACTGCAACCTCTGCCTCCCGGGTTCAAGTGATTCTCGTGCTTCAGCCTCCCAAGTAGCTGGGATTACAGGTGTGTGCCACCACACCTGGCTAATTTTTGTATTTTTAGTAAAGACAGCGTTTTACCATGTTGGCCAAGCTGGTCTTGAACACCCGAGCTCAAGTGATCCACCTGCCTTGGCCTCCCAAACTGCTGGGATTACAGGTGTGAGCCACCGCGCCCAGCCCAGCTTATATATTTTATAAAAGCTGGGATTTGTTTTCACTGTTAAAGAGTTGCAAACATCGGCCGGGTGCAGTAGCTCATGCCTGTAATCCCAGCACTTTGGGAGGCCGAGGCGGGCAGATCACAAGGTCAGGAGATCGAGACCATCCTGGCTAACACGGCAAAACCCCGTCTCTACTAAAAATACAAAAAATTAGCCGGGCTTGGTGGCGGGTGCCTGTAGTCCCAGCTACTCGGGAGGCTGAGGCAGGAGAATGGCGTGAACCCGGGAGACGGAGCTTGCAGTGAGCCGAGATCGTGCCACTGCACTCCAGCCTGGGCGACAGAGCAAGAGTCTGTCTTAACAACAACAAAAAAGAGTTACGAACATCTCTCCATATTAATTAGTTATGTTGCATCACTTTGAAGACCTCATAATTTCCTTCCTTTGGTCCTATGGAGGAAAAAAACCCAACATATAATGTCTGTCATATAGATAACCATAACTCTCCATGGTCAGTTCCTTGTATTTTGTCAAGGTTGCTTTTAATTTTTTTGTATTATAGACAGTGTGATAAAAATCAGGAAGGTATTTGTGCATATCCTTGATTTCCTCAAGTTAGATATCTGGAAGTGGGGTTGCTAGCTTAAAGTGTGTGCAAACAATAACCCTAAAACAATAATAGTAATACTAACAGGCTACACTTACCAAGTACCTATTACGTGCCTGGCACTGTGCTAAACATTTTCCACCTGTTGGCTCCTCACTGAGATCTCTGTGTGGTATAATGCTAGTGTTCCCCTCATAAGAAAACTGGCATGCGGTGAGGTGATCTGTTTACACAAGGTTGCATGGTTAATTTGTGGGATCTTGGGCAATCTGCCCCCAGTGCCCAGCTTTAAAGCCCCGTGCTTCCCTGTCTCTCTTTTGGTGGGGAGATAGGAGCCTCAGACACACACAGGCGCACAGGATGAGACGTACATGCAGGTGCGTGCAGCCTAACATTCAAGAGACAGGGTCAGAGCTGCGAAGGGACAGGGAACGGCAAAGGCGGCCTGGCCAGGAAGCCTCCTGAGGAGTAGCAAGGGACTGTTGTCGCTGTATTTTGAAGCCACAGATACCCCAAATTGATTTTTGTTCTTTTTTCCTTCTTCTTTTTTTACTTTTAGTCCAGTCCCAGCTGGCTTCAGTTTTTAAATTGCAGAAGTAATAAGTGCTCATTTGTAGAAGTAAGTAGAGTAAGTTGCAAAAGTTCCTCTTACGCCCCTAATCCCATTCTCCAGAGGTCACTGCTGTTATGTTTTTTATGGATCTTTCTAGGCCTCTTGGGGGACATAATACAAACGTGTGTTTGCGTGTGGTGTAAGCTTTATGCACATTAACGCCTTTTTGTTTTTTTCTACAAACATTGGCATCATGTGGATCATAGAACTTAGCGTTTTCGTTCTGCTGTTTACCGTGGCCAGCTTCCCTTAAGGCTCTGCCCTGTTGATCTTCTGCCTTGCAGCGCTATGAGTCATTTGCTGACACAGCCCCTGTCGGTGGGTGCTGAGGCTGGTCCCTGTGCTTCGGCTTCCCCATACAGCAGTGCAGGGAGCACCCTCACACATAGCATTGTGTGTGTGTACAAGGGCTTCCACTGGAAATAGCCTTGACGGGGAACTGCTGGAGCGAGGGTGTGCTTATGTCAGATTTTGGTGTATGCTCTTAAGTGGCCCCTTAAGAGGTTGTCTCGGTTTGCATTGGCCCCTGTGGTACATGAAGAAGCCCAGGGGATGTCTGACCCACGTGGCTCTGCACCCCTGCAGGTACCTGGAAGAGGTGGGCTACACAGACACCATCCTCGACATGCGGTCCAAGCGCGTCCGTTCCCTGCTGGGCCGCTCGCTGGAGCTCAACGGGGCAGTGGAGCCGAGTGAAGGGGCCCCCAGGGCTCCACCAGGCCCTGCAGGGCTCAGTGGTGGGGAGTCGCTGCTGGTGAAACAGATCGAGGAGCAGATAAAGAGGTGAGCCCGTGGACATGGCAGGTGTGTCTCTCTGTTCCTCCTGACTGCTGGTGAAGGCCAGGGTCAGAGTGTCAGCTGATGGCGCTGGGTGCCCTGGCGGCCCCTCCTCCTGGAGTATGCCGTGGGCTCCCTTGTTCTGAAACCCTGAGTCCCTTCACTGCTGGGATCCCCCGGATTCTGTCCTGGGTTCCCTCCACACACTTCGCCATGGCCTCATCTCCAGCCCTGCCCCCGTCCTGATACTCAGGCCTGCCCGCTTCTCGGTCGAGTGGGGTGCTTACCGAAGGCACACCCTGGGTGCCTCGCCAGCAGGGAGTGGAGCACACGTGGTCGCCACCCTCAGGAATCTCTGGCTTGTTCACTCTCATCAGCAATTGTCAGTTAAGCAGAACAAGTGAGGCCACGTAGGTGATGCTAAGCACGATGGAGACCACGAGGGCCAATATGTGCTCCTCTGCAGGGGGTGGGCAGGGAGGGCCTCTGTGGGCATTAAATGGAGGGTAAGCCACACGAGTGGCTGGGAGGAGAATGTTCTAGGCAGAGGGCACAGTGAACCCCGAGGTCCAGAGGCAGGAGAGACGCAGCCTGCACAGAAGCAGCACGAGGCCGGCATGGCCGCAGGCAGTGAGGCGTGGGCTGCGGGGAGGTTGTGGTCTCAGGAGTCAGCCACTCAGGGCCTTGGGCTGGGATAGAGTCTGAGTTTGACTCAGGGTTGTGGGAAGCCAGTGCTTTCGAGCAGCGGGGTGACATAATCTGACGTACCTGATCCACTCTGAGAAGGAGAGGTGTGGGAGGGTCACAGAGGAGGCAGGCGGACCAGTTAGGAGATGGCTCGATGTCTGGGACAGAGCTGATGGACTTTAGCGGTGGTGAGGCGAGAGGTGTCAGCTTCCCCAGAGGCTTTCAGGCAGTCGACACTGAAGGACTGCAGCTAAGGGGAGAGGAAAAGAAACGAGCGACTCCAGGGTTTGGTGTGAGCCATTGGAGCAGCATCCCCTGAGACGGGGAAGCCTGGGAGTGGAAGTTCTGGGGGCCGCCGAGGTTGTGTGAAGTGTGAGGGGCCTGTTTACCCCCATGTGGAGAAGCAGAGCTCGTCTGGAGCTGCGGGGCATTTGGCCCCTAAACATAGGTCTAGTTGAACAAGCACATGGGCATTCTTTGGAAAGCCATGGCCGTCTGCAGTGCCTGCAGGAGTGAGTGTAGATGACGCAGAGAAGAGATCTGGGGACTGCCCGGGTGCTCTCCCACTTAGAGGCTGGAGGGAGGAACAGGAGGAGGAAGCTGAGAAAGAGGCTGAGCCTGTGCGGCGTGTCAGTGTCGTTGTGGGAGGAAGGCCGGTGAGAATGGAGTCCTGTGTCCCGCTGCAAGTGCAGCGAGTGTTCTGAGGATGGAGTGGAGCTCTGGTGATGGCAGCCGTGAGGCGAGAGGGTACATCTGCAGTGACCTCTGCACCCGTTGGTAACTGGCAGTTGACAAGACCTCCAGGGCATCAACCTGATGGCAGAAAGGGGGGACGTTTTCGTCGATCTGCACTTGGAATTGCACCCTGCCTTCTCCCGCAGTCAGGCTGGGTCAGTACCTCCTCTGCTATAACTTGTCATGAAGTTGGAAGCCAGGAGGTGGAAGGAGGAGTGCCATCTGTTGCTGGGGATAGTGCAGGCTCCTGGGTAGCAGGGATCGCCGGCGCCCCTGCTTGCGCGAGGCTGGCTGGCTTTCGGCGCCTCCCAGAGCATTTGTAGAATGGCCGGTTCCTCTTTCCTGCAGGGCGTGTTTGCCTCCTGCCTGACCTGCCCTTGTGGTCTGACTGGGCTGTGGGAATGGGGACTGCTGAGTCAGTGGCACTTTCTCATCCAGCTTTCCTTCTGACTCAGCACAGGATGGAGATTTGTGACCAGGGTTGGGGGCTGGCCCTCTGAAACTCAGGTCGGCGGTCATTGAGGAGCTGGGCCCCGTTTGCGGTCTGAGTGAGGCTTCCAGTTGGAATGAGCATTTGTTGGGCAGAGGCTGGGGTTGGGGCTCTGTGTGTGACCAGAGTCAAGGCTGCTCAGGGGTTAGGGGGTTAGCTGGGTCTGGGCTCTGGCCACCAAGCCTGGGAGGGCACCTTCCTATCTGAGCTTTGACACCTGCCAGGACTCATGCCTCCTCTGCTCTGCTGTCTTTGGCAGGAACGCGGCAGGCAAAGATGGCAAAGAGCGCTTGGGCGGCTCAGTGCTGGGGCAGATCCCCTTCCTGCAGAACTGCGAGGACGAAGACAGCGACGAGGACGATGAGCTGGACAGCGTGCAGCACAAGAAGCAGCGTGTGAAGGTGAGCCCTTCCTCCATGCCCTGCACAGCCTGGCCTGGGTGTGACCTGATCGAAGCCCTTCCGAGTCAGCCTGGGCCTTCAGGGGCTGCGGTGTGTGCTGGCAGCAGGGATATGGAGACACACAGGCCCTGGCCTGGAGGAGCTTGTGGCCAGCAGCGGCCTTGTAAATAGTCATGTGCAGAAGGACGCGTTGTGGTGGAGGCAGGGGCATGTGCCTATGAAGGAGGCACCTGTGGCAGATGGCCTCGGAGCTTTCCCTGAGCCCCGGGCTTCCCATTAGCGGGTCCCTTTGCCTAGGTCCCCTTTCTTTCCTCCTTTAGACTCAGCTCAGACACCCCCTCCTCCAGGAAGCCTTCTCTGACTCACCCTGGGCTCCCTTCCCTGGCCCTGGCCACTCTGGGGTCCTCCCTGTCTGGTCTGTATTCCTCCTGACCTCTCCCTGGGAGGGACTGGGCCTGTGTGGGCCTCCACTGCATCTCCAGTATCCCCAGTGTGGCTCAGCACAGAGTCGCACCCCAAGTAGAGTGGTGTGCACGGAGCCGCAGCACTGCAGGAGGCCTAGAGGAAGAGCAGGAGGGCTGAGTCCAGGGTCTCAAATGCTGGCCCCTGGTCCAGACGCTTGGTCCTTCCCACCCCTCTGAGAATTTCTAGTCCTTTTCCACCCCTCCACCCATTCCATCAGGAATCATCCGTGGTGTTTGCACCCCTTCGGGCCCACACCCTTGGGCTGGCTGGTTGGGTAGGGCTCTCTGTCTCTACGCAGCAGCCCTCCATCGAGGCCCAGCTGGGAACCCAGGGGACTGCCCATGGCTCCCAGGGGGCCCTGGCCCAGCTGCGTGAGTTCTGGCCCACACTTCTTTGTCTTGGCTTCAGTCTCCTCACCCTTTAGATGGGGCTGAGTCCCTCCGTCTGAGTTGTTGAGGATTTAATTAGAATGAGCTGGTGCCCAGGAAGCCCTCAGCTGCATGGTGGCTGTCCCCCAAGTGCTCAGTAGGTGTTAGTGGCGCTGGTGGCACTTGGTAGTGGTGGAGCCCTCATGGTTCCAGGCACTGTTGGCAGAGCACAATTGCCACTCGTGTGCCCCTCAGAGCACCTGTGGTGGTTCTCTCCTCTGGAGTCCTGAGCCCGGCCGCTGCCTTTCTGGGCATGCTGTCTAAACCCTCCCCTTCCCCATTCTTTGCACAAGTGTTGAATAAACCTTGGCCCTAGGTCTTCTCCATGCCCCTTCCCTCTGGTCCCCCCCATGCAGGTCAGAGGCTGGCCCCTCACTGGTGCCCGAGAGGTGTCGCCAAACTCAGCCTGGGGGGCTGACATGTGGAAGGGGTCAGCCACGCCCTGGAGGAGTTCACAGTGGGCAGAGCTTGGCCTTGGTGACCTAGGGCAAGTGGGTTCCTGCTGCTCAGCCTGTCTCCTGGCCTGTAATGTGGGAATGATAATGACAGTGTTCACGGTAGCTGTTCGCAGGGTTGGGGGTTAAGTGAAGTCGTGTCTGCGAGGGGTAGTCAGTGGTCATTCAGTGAGTGGAATTTGCTCTTGTGCCAGCACGGCTGCTGGTGCTGTGTTTATCGCTGCAATGCTGTGGTCCATTCATCCTCACTTGTTTGCACCTCCGTATATTCACACACGGACACCAGTGCATATCTGCCCTCCCTGCAGGCAGATTGTTGCATTATCTGACTTTTCTTCATCCGAGGCACCTTGCTGGGGGACTGGAGCAGGCTGAGCCCTGGCTAGGGGAAGGACTGCGTGAGGGTGGGGTCAGGCCGACCGGCCCTAGTGGTAGCAGCTGTCCAAGGCCCAGCAGGGGGCGCTCCAGGGCAGCTGGCTGGCGGCTGAGGCAGCCCCATGAACAGAAACGGGCCCAGAGCCCCGGCTTACCTGTTCCTAGGCACGGAGGTGGCTTAGTCTCTGGACAAGAGGCCCCCTGACTTGTCTGGCTTTCTCCATGTGCCAGCTCCCATCCAAGGCTCTGGTGCCCGAAATGGAAGACGAGGATGAGGAAGACGACTCTGAGGATGCTATCAATGAGTTTGATTTCCTGGGCTCAGGAGAGGATGGGGAAGGGGCTCCAGACCCTCGGCGGTGCACTGTGGATGGGAGCCCCCATGAGCTGGGTGAGCTGACGTTTTCTGGCCAGCCCCCGCTTGCCTTCCCCACCGAGGGGGTGGGAGCAGGCTCAGCTGCCCGCAGCTGCTTCCTGTACAGGGTCTCTCTACCGGACGGATATGTTTCCTGAGAGGAGGGTAGCCAAGGAGAGCAGGAGGCCCAGGTCATGGCCGCCGGCCCCTCACCCCTTCCCTGGAAAATCCCCATGGAGACGCAGGCAGTCCTGGCTCTTCCTGAAGTGGGGCCGCCAGCCCTCCAGGGCGGGCGTCCAGCTCTGGCTGGCCTCAAGGAGGGAACAGGATGAGGACCCAGTCGGGGAGAGGCAGGTGGGAGGGCCGCATCTTCCTCCCTGTCCTGTGACTCCTAGCTAGGAGGGCTCTCAGGATACGTGGGATGGGTGGCTGGGGCCTGAGGCCTAGGCAAGGCAGTGACCTGCCCACTGCCCCACGGAGGGGCCCAATCAACCTCCTCTCCTCTGCCCATTCCCCCCCTCCCCCAGGGCCAGAGCTTCACAGCCCCACAGAGTGGCAGGGGGCCCTCAGTGTGGGGAAGGCGTCACCTATGCCAGACTGGGTTGGAACTGCTGGGTGACTCCGGCCCTATGCCTCGACCCTGCAGAAAGCCGTCGGGTCAAACTCCAAGGCATTCTGGCTGACCTGCGGGATGTGGATGGGCTGCCCCCAAAAGTGACTGGCCCGCCTCCTGGCACACCCCAGCCCCGGCCACATGAAGGTAAGAGGCACCCCCCACCTGGTCCCAGTCCTGCGGGCCCATGGCAGAGGGAGGCTGCAGAGCTGAGCCCAGGGCTTCTGTGTCTTCAGGGTCGAGGCCCAGCCTCCAGTCTGCAGCCTCCCTGCCCCAAAAGTTCGTCTGTCTGTCTGTCTCCCTCTCTTTTTGTCTGTCCTGCCCTGTCTGTCTCTCTGTCTCTTTCCAGCTGTGATTCTTCATCTTGTCCTCTCCCCGTCTCTCTCTCTTGCTCTTTATCTCTTTCTCTGCCTCTCTCTGTCATTCTCTCTCTCCCTGGCCCTCTCTGCCCCTCCCTCCCCTCCCCCTACCAGGTTCCTTTGGCTTCTCCTCAGACGTCTTCATCATGGACACTATCGGGGGCGGGGAGGTGAGCCTGGGGGACTTGGCAGATCTCACCGTCACCAACGACAACGACCTCAGCTGCGATGTAAGTTCTCCGGGTGCCCCCCACACTGTCCCCATTGGCATTGCGCCCAGGGCCAGCCCCTGCAAGCTCTGACTGGGTGCCGCCCGTGCCCTGCTCATCCTGTTTCACAGAGGGGTGCAGATGTAGACAGTGGAGGGACTTGACTGCGGTCGCCAAGGCGCAGGGCCTGGAAGACTCTGGAGCCTGTGTTTTAATCACAGTTCCACGGCTCCTCCACTCTGCCCCTCCCACCCTGGTGATTTGGAATGCAGGAAGATGACCTGTAGCCACCCCCTGCTCTGCCAAGTCAGGCCAATCTAGTGTGAATGGGCAGCTGGGCTGAAATGAAATGTTCCGGGCCTCAGTGGACGGGCCTCTGGCCATCTGGGAGCCTTTGGCCAGCTGGGAGCCTTTGGCCAGCTGGGAGCTTTTGGTGTGGGTGTATGTGCACATTTTACTGTGACAGAATGGGATTTCCAGTGTTGGTGACCCTAGTAAGGCTGGGTGGGGACTGCTGTGAGATTCAGGAAGGGGGGTCAGAGCAGAGGCCTGAGAAGTGGAGTGTGCCATGGGGTCCCTCTGCACGCCCCAAGATGTCATTTCATCTTGGGGAAGTGCAGTGTTCTGAGCCCCGCTAGGGGAGGGGGTGAGTGAACCACACAGTAGCAGATCCTCTGACCCTAAAGAACTGTGGCAGAAGGGACAGCTAAGGCAGGGACGTCAGCTGGGAGCCCATCTTGGGGCATGGTGCTGAGGCTTGCCTGGTACTCTGCTCGTCATCTCTCCGGAACCTGGCCCTCTCCGGGTCCCCTGCTGGGTGAGCGGCACCAGGGCGCATGCAGCGTGGTGGACAGAGGCCCCCACAGCTCTCCCACTTGTGCACTGCCTCCCCTTCATGGTCACGTGTCTGGTCTCCATGCCCTCATCTCCCCTGGGACTTCCTGGCCTCTCAACCTCTTTCTCTGAGGCTACCTTTTTTTTTTTTTTTTGCTCCTTGAGGGGATCTCCCTATGTTACCCAGGCTGGTCTCGAACTCCTGGGGTCAAATGATCGTTCTGCCTTGGCCTCCCAAAGTTCTGGGATTACAGGCGTGAGCCACTGTGCCCCGTCTGTGGCTACTTTTACCTGCCCCTAATCTGAGCCTCTCAGGGGTGGCAGGAACAAGCCATGTCGTTCCCCTGCTCTAAACACTTCCCCGGCTCCTTGTTTCTCTGAGGCTTTTTCTTAGGATGAAATGCGCATTCCTCCGGGGCTCACCACCCAGCACCTGTCTCATCCCCTGCCACTCTCCTTGCCTCCTGCAGCCTGTACCACTGACCTCTCAGGCCTGGGCTCGCCCTTGCTGCCTCAGGGCCTCTGCACGGGCCCTTTCCCTCTCCAGGGCCCTCTCCTTATCTTGTGAAGTCCTGCTGGCTCGTGCTTCCTCAGGAAAGCCTCAGTGGCCCCCAGGGAGGAGGGCAGGCTGCCTGATGTCTCTCTGTGCATCTTTAATTCATTGCCCTGCTCATGGCTGATGATCCTGCACACTTGTGGGATGGTCCAGTTGTGTCCCCCATTCCCCTTCCTCTCAACTGCAAGACCCCAAGGGGTCAGGCTCACCTTTGTCTCTCCAGAACCCAGCGCAGTGTGGGGACTTGTTGGGCGAGCATGGAGACTCTGCCCAGCAGAGGAAGGGGAGAGTTCCCGGCTGGAGCCCAGGCTCTGAGGGCATTCCTGCCAGGGTCATGTGGGTGGAAGACAGGGGCCCTCAAGCCCTGGGTGTCGGTGTCTGCATGACTGCTGGGATGGATGCGAAGACACTGAGGCAGCTCCCCCCAACCCCAGCTGTCTGACAGCAAAGATGCTTTTAAGAAGACGTGGAACCCCAAGTTCACCCTGCGCTCGCACTACGACGGCATTCGTTCCCTGGCCTTCCACCACAGCCAGTCGGCTCTGCTCACCGCCTCCGAGGACGGCACGCTCAAGCTCTGGAACCTGCAGAAGGCGGTCACGGCCAAGAAGTGAGGGCAGCAAGCTCAGAGCCGGGGGCAGGGGCATCTGGGGACGGGGGTGACAGGGTCTCAGTGACATCAGGCTCCTCTGTCATCCCACAGGAATGCGGCGCTAGATGTGGAACCTATACATGCTTTCCGGGCTCACAGGTAGGGAGGTGCCCCTGAGCCTGCTAGAAACTCGTCCTAAATGCAGCCTGACTCCTGACCTGCTCACTGCCATCGCGGGAGGCCCACGGCAGGAGGCAGGACAGCAGGGGGCTCTGAGTCCCCGCCCCCTTCATGATATACACAGCCCTGGTTCTTGGGGCTCCATGCTGACTTTCACATGCCCTGGCAGCTGGTACTCAGCACAGCCCTTCAGGGGAGGAGATGGAGGTGGGGTGGGGGAGGGCAGGGGACAGGCAGCTTGTCCAGGTAGCATGGCCAGAGCCCCAGTCACTGAATTCCTTTTGGCCATCCTTGAAGAATGCTAGTAGGGAACTTAGGTCCTGTGGCCAGGGGAGGCCCTGAGCTTGTCTCATCCCCCTTTCCACATATTTGTCCCTTCCAGGGGCCCAGTGTTGGCTGTGGCTATGGGCAGCAACAGTGAATACTGCTACAGTGGCGGGGCAGATGCCTGCATCCATAGTTGGAAGATTCCAGACCTCAGCATGGATCCCTATGATGGCTACGGTGAGGACAACGCCTCCCGCCTTCCCCTCACATCCACTGGGGCCTGGCCGTCCCCTCCACGCACACACACGTCGCGTCCACCTCTTGCCAACACTGCAGGCCTCAGGAGTGCGTGTGACGGCTCCCCTGTCTGCTCTGTTGTGAGCAGCGCGATGCAGCGCGTGGCCAAGGGACGAGCCAGCCGGGATGGGAATGATGGCTGTGGGAGGAGGTGGTGAAGCTGCCTGAGAATCTCTGTGAGCCGGCGTCCAGAAGGCAGTGCTGAGGCAGCCCAGGCTGGGAGCAGCCCATGCACAGGCGTGGCTGGCCCTGGCAGCCTCTGCTCTGCCATGCCGTGTACTCTGTGTGTGGGGATCCGCCAGGGTCTCTGCGTGGTTGAGGGGAGGGCATGTCCAGAGAAAGCAGAGAAGGTGGAGTTAGCTGGGCCAGGCTGGAGCGCGTTGGGGCTTTCTCTTTGGAGCATCTAAGACCTAAGTAGGGAAGTGACCAGACTGTCACTTCTGTTCAACATCTGTCCCCCTGTTCTCTGCCTTTTTTTTTTTTTTTTTTTTTTTTTTGAGACAAAGAGTCTCACTCTGTCACCCAGGCTGGAATGCAGTGGCGTGATCTTGGCTTACTGCAACCTCTACCTCCTGGGTTCAAGTGATTCTCGTGCCTCAGCCTCCCGAGTAGCTGGGATTACAGGCACGCACCACCATATCCAGCTATTTTTTGTATTTTTGGTAGAGACAGGGTTGCACCACGTTGACCAGGCTGGTCTTGAACTCCGGACCTCAGGTGATCCACCCACCTTGGCCTCCCAAAGTGCTGGGATTGCAGGCATGAGCCACTGCGCCCGGCTCTGCCTCCTTGATCATGCACCTGGCCCTGTGCTCCACCTTGTCTGGGCAGAGTTCAGAGGTCTTTGTCTCCTCTCAAGGGGAGGACAGACTTTAGAGAACAGGCTCACCTGCACAAGGTCAGGATCGGTCCCAGCTACATTAGCCACCACACTTTCGGTGTCAGCAGGCCAGAGCTGCTGGTGTGGACTCCAGCAACCAGGGAAGCAGTGATTGGACCTCTGAATGACCAGGGGGCTTTGGAGAGACCAGGCAAAGCCCATGCACTTGGCCATGGGCTGAAAAGACTGCTCGGGCCAGGGTTGGGACCAACCCTTGTCCAGCACAGGCTGCGTGCCGCTCCTGGGGCCACAGAACCATGCTGTTCCTTCTTCCTTAATGGAGCCCGAAAAATTCTGTATTGAGCTCCCAGTTTCTGGGCCCTGCTTGGGGAGACAGCTGTGAATAGAGGGAAATCCCTGCCTTCTGGAGCCCTAGAACCTTCCTTGGAGAGCTAGTGGGCAGTGTGAGCAGCTGCCGGGCTGTCCTGGCAGTGGACAGTTCCGAGGGGCACCAGGTGTGAAGTGGGTGCGTGGGTGATTGGAGCCCAGCTGCCTGGGGCTTGGCAGAGCTGGGGCTCTGGGCTGTCCAGGGAGGAGCTGGCAGCCCTGACACAGCCCATTTCCTCCCTGCGGTGGGTGCAGACCCAAGCGTGCTGAGCCACGTCCTGGAGGGCCACGGGGACGCCGTGTGGGGCCTGGCCTTCAGTCCCACCTCCCAGCGCCTGGCCTCCTGTTCTGCTGATGGCACCGTCCGCATCTGGGACCCCAGCAGCAGCAGCCCGGCCTGCCTCTGCACCTTCCCCACAGCCAGCGGTGAGTGGGGGCCCCGGTGCCTCACCCTGGAGCTGTGCGGGATCTGGAGGCTATCAGAGTGGTTCCTGCTGAGGCCCCAGGCCTCCCACCCACTGTCCCCCACCCTGGGGCAGGGCTGGGTCTGAGGGTCCATTCAGCAGCCTTCTCTTCCCTGTGCCCTCAGAGCACGGGGTCCCCACCTCAGTGGCCTTCACCAGCACCGAGCCTGCCCACATCGTGGCCTCCTTCCGCTCTGGCGACACCGTCTTGTATGACATGGAGGTTGGCAGTGCCCTCCTCACGCTGGAGTCCCGGGGCAGCAGCGGTAAGGGGGCTGACATCAGCTCATGGAATTGGTCTCAGTGTCTTCTGGGCCCCACTTCCTCCTGGGGCTTTGGCGACCCCTTGTCAGTCAGCTCAGATGACTCCCCTGCACCCTCAGGCCCTGAGCAGGAAGGAAGTTGGGTCCCAGTGGAGGGCCCCCGGCCCTCACAGCCAGGGCACTGGCGGGGCTGAGTGGGGAGAGCGCGTCAGGGCCGCCCCGTCGGGCCCTCTTGGTAGAGTGGCGGAATGTGTTCATGTTTGTTATTCCTCTTCCCCCGCCCCAAAACAGGGCCCAGGGGCTGCTTGTGCAGAACCAGCGCTGCGGTCGGGGACCGGAGTGCCCTCGCCCAGCCCCCCTCGACATCCAGGCAGAGGCTGGTGTAGGGGCTGTCACGCTGCGCTTGTGCCTCTGTTCTGGTCTTCCTGATTTTCTGCTTGACATCCTTCCCTCTTCCTGCGTTTTCCTTCAGGTCCAACCCAGATCAACCAAGTGGTGAGTCATCCAAACCAGCCTCTCACCATCACCGCCCACGACGACAGGGGCATCCGCTTCCTGGACAATCGGACAGGTGAGGCCTAGCCCCTTGTGCTCGTAGTGGGTGGGGAGGGCCAGAGGCAGGCAGCAGAGATGCTTGCGTCCCTGTGGGAGGCTCTGGGAGTCTCTCGTCCAGTCCTTTCACTCTCTCAGGCGAGGCCCAGAGTGGGAGGGGAACCTGCCACCCGCCCTTCTCGCCTCAGGTAAGCCGGTGCACTCCATGGTTGCACACCTGGACGCAGTCACCTGCCTAGCCGTGGACCCCAACGGCGCATTCCTGATGTCAGGAAGTAAGTTGAGCACACTAGTCCCACCAGGGTTGGGGAGAAGGGGAGGAAGAGGCCTGGGCACTGGCTCCAGGCAAGTGCTCAGGGGGCCCCGGGGGCCAGGGCTGGGGGAGGCTGGTCTGGGCGGGAATGACCGTGGTGACCATAGGGGGCAGCACAGTCCGCTGGGGCCCTCCTCTGGGTCACTGGAGCTGCATCGTCTCATTCGGCCTCTAAGCAGCCTGTGCGGTTGGTACTTTGATCCCCAGTTTACAGATGTGGGCCCTGATGCCCAGACGCTTTGTAACTTGGCCATTGAAGCTCTGTAACATCAGTCCAGGTCTACCTGGGGGTACCCGTGGGACTTCTGTGCTCCCACCCTGTTGTCTCTGGATAAGGGCATTGAGGCCAGCAACGTGGCTGTGCTTAGAAGGGATGGAGTGTGACGTGGGTGGGTGGAGAAGGAGACTGGAGGTCGCTGTGGGGGTGAAGGGTGAGGCCTGCAGTGAGTGCAGCAGTGAGTGTGTGTGCACAGAGGCGCAGGCCGTGGTGTTGGAGGCTGTGGCTGGGCTCTGCCTCCGGGCCTGTGCTGGCAGCCTCTGGTGGGTGAGGGGCTGGTCAGTGAGCTCCAGCCCAGTGCCCAGACAGGGCTCTATTCTGGGGGCCACTAGACAGTGGAGGGAGCTGAGCCTTTGCCCTGCCTGATCCTCTTGACCCTAAATTAAACTTCTCCTCGCCAGGGCCCTGCCCAGCCTGCCGTCCTCTCCCCTCTTCTCCCCAAGTCCCTGCTAAGGCTCTTGTGGCCACCCCCACCTCCTGCCTCAGGACCTTTCCCGCCTGTCCTTCTGCCTGGAAGGCTCCCTGCATTCCTCCTGGGGCCATTCTGTCCTCACACTGACCGGCTGGGTTGCTTTCTTCTTTCTCTTCCTGTTGCCCAGCTGCAGCGTCAGTGCTGCGGGGCAGGGAGAGTTGCCTGTTTTGTTCACTGCCCCTGCCGCCCTGGGGCTCAGTGTGCAGTAGCTGCTCAAGAAATGCTGGGGGATGAGATGGACTGTGGACAGGAGGGGACCAGGGTTCTCCTTTGGGCGGGCCACAGGAGGTGATGAGCAGAGGGTGAGAGAGGAGAGTTGAGCCCCACTTCCCCTGAGGCCTTTGGACAAGGCCAGGTGAGGGGTTCCAGGGCTGCGTCTGAGCGAGGAGCCCAGTGACCACCCCTTCTGTCCCCGACACATGTGCAGGCCATGACTGCTCCCTGCGTCTCTGGAGCCTGGACAACAAAACGTGCGTGCAGGAGATCACGGCCCACCGCAAGAAGCACGAGGAGGCCATCCACGCTGTTGCCTGCCACCCCAGCAAGGCCCTCATTGCCAGTGCTGGCGCTGATGCCCTGGCCAAGGTCTTCGTATGATGCCCACCTGGCCCTGCCCTGGCCGCCACGCTGGCTGGGGTGTAGGGCCGGGCAGGTGGGGCTGAGGTGAGGGCAGAAACCCCGCATTCTGAGTCTCTGCACGCCCATGCCTAGTACTGCCAGGTGTGCTGAGCCCCGCAGTCCAGTCAGGGGCGTCCTGTGAGAATCACTGGGGGAGCCCTGGGCATGCAGGGGAGGGGTTGAGGCCTTAGAGGCGCCCTAGAGGCGGCGGCTCAGTCTCCCCTCCCTTCTCTTTCCCGCAGGGGACTCCCAGCCTCGCTGGAGGTGCAGAGGCCTGGCCTCTGTCTGTTTGCCATGGAGCCTGGTGGTGCTAACGGCCCTTTCCCCAGGAATCCCTCCCCAACGGCTGCCTTCCCCAAGCATCCAGCCTGGGGATGGGCCCCTTTCAGGAATCACCCCCGAGGATGGCCTCGGGGTTTCCCCCTGTGCCCTGACAGCCGCTCCTGGTATCAGAGCTGCTTTCCAGAGGGCAGCACAGCCAGGGCCGGGTGTCTTTAGGGATCAGTTTTTCCAAGACTCCAGAAGGTGCCAGGTTCTCCCCTTGAGCTCCTGCTCCCCCATCCCCCATCCTCCCAGACCTGGGCAGGAGCTGTGCTGGGAGAAAGGGTGGCAGCCGGGAGCCTCAGAGCTGAGCCCCGGCCTGGCTGCCCCTCCCCTCCGGCCCTCTCCACTGCTTTCCAGACACTAACCAAGGCTTCCAGGCCAGGGATTGCCCAACACTCCTAGGGCAGCCCTCCCAGCGCCCCATGGGGTCGCCCATGGGTAGAGACGGCTTTCTTGTGCCCCTCCCTGGGGCATGGAGGGTGGAGTGGGCCTCGGGTCCCCCTGAACTCCCTGTATATCTGTATAAATAACGGGATTTTCATGGCGCCGCCCCACCCGCATTATCACTGTGTGATGGTCTCAGTCAGTCTCCTCCCTGTCTCCACTCTTTCCCTCTATTTATTTCACTCTCTTGTTTGGTTCTACCCTGCACCCTCGGTCCCCTTCCAGGTTCCTGTTTATAAGCCCCAACCCCTCTGTCCCCATCTTGTATGTGAAAACTTGTCTCAATAAACCCTTTGGAGTAAGATGGGTGACGGTGCCATCTGTTGAGGGCACTGGGGACTTTGGGGGAGGAGTGACCGGCTCTGCCTGGGTTGGGTGGAGTTTGGAGAGAGGGGATATGATGGGTTGGGGTTTTGTGGTAGGGCAGCAGGGGCCGGAGACGGGCCCAGAGCTTGGGTGGGGTGTGGGTGGAGAGAAGTGGAGGCACTGGACCGAATCTCCTTGTGCCCTTTCTGTCCCTAAGTGCTCCCTCCCCAGGGGTAGAGCCCTGGGGAGCAGATACTATGATGACAGTCCAGCTGAAGCCTCAGCCCCGCCTGGGATGTGTGAGGGTGGTGGCGAGGCCAAAGGGCTGGTGCCCAGAGGACGTAAACCCCCTTCCTGTTCCCATCCCAGGCCCACAAGGAGCAGGGAGGGAAAAGGCTGCACCTGCCAGTGGAGGATGATGGCTTTGGGGCGCAGGCTCCTCCATGCTGGGAGGAGGTGCCGCAGGTGCCCGAGCCCTCGTGGCTCATGTCCTGATGCGTCCCTCCTTTCCCTTCTCAGTGGTCCACGTCTACTGTACTGAGTGCTTTACATGGCATTTCACTGGGTCCACAGCCTTAAAAAGAGGGAGCAGGTGTCCACATGCTCCAGATGAGACGGAGGGGACCGCTGCTCCTGTCTCGAGGAGGCTTCCACCACCTACCAGCCAGGCGTCCTCGGTAATCCTAGCACCTCTGCCACAGGGCACTAATGCCCAGTTCCTGGGTTGTAAAGGGCTGTGCCCCAGTCCCCCAGCAGGCCCCAGTGAACATACGAGAAAGGATGGAGGCCGCTGTCTGGACACTCAGGACATGGCAGCGTTTTGCTGGGACAGTCATCTGCCCTTCAGGAAAAAGGGTGCAGGTGGGCAGGAGGCCCTTAGATGACGCCAAGGGGAGCCTTCGTGGGCTCCACGTGGTGTGCTCCCTGCCCATCCCTCTGGGCTCAATGCAGTTCCCCAGGTGGTGGTTTGGGTTTTCACTCCAGCCTCAGACTTCCTTCCTCAGCCCCAGCCCCCGGATGTGGTGACAGAATCGATACTGTACCGACCTCAGCTACCCCCAACGGCCGTACACCAGGAAGAGGGGCTCTTCTGGCAGCCCCCATCCTCAGCCAGCCCTGCCATTTCCAGTCCTGCCAGCATCCCAGCCAGACAGGTGGCCCTTCTCTTAGAGCTCAAACCTAGGCCTTGACTTGTCAATCAAAGGGGTGGGTGGGGCAGCTTCCCTCAAGCAACTTCACTCTGGGATCTTGGGCAAGACGTTTTGCTTCTCTGAGGCTTCAGCTTATTCTGTGTAAACTAAATGGTAGCCACTATTTGATTATTAGCTGGGGAGGAGAGATCAAGCCTGACCCCTGTAGCGGCTGGAGTTTTACAGCAGGGCCCACCCAGCACCCAGTAGGTCCTCACAGATACTTGCTGGGTGACTGAATGGGTGTGCCCACCCATCAAAGCCTGAGTGCTGGAGGTGGCCACCCCTTTCCGCGTATTATCAGAGACAACCACCTCTTACTGAACTGCTGCGTTTCCAGGCACCAGTATACCATGGCATCGGCTCCCACCATCCCATGTGGGGTCAGTCCTATTACAGTCCCAACAGATGGAGGGACTGAGGCTCACAGAGAAGCCACTCACCCAAAGTCACATGGAGAGAAAGACACGCACACGTACTCCACATCCCCAGGAGACACACTCTGCATCTATGAAGTGGTATGGGTGTGCTGTCCTCCCTCGGGGCAGCCCCACACTATCCTAAGGCGGGGTTGGGGTGGGCGGGGGGATGGACCCTCCCCACCCATCCAGTTAGCGCCATGCACCTTGCCCACCATCGCTGGAGACAGACCTAAGGCGAGCCCCTTCCTACCCATCTGGAGGCCTCGGTCTTTCCATGTGTTAAATGGGCTGGGGCCGGGGGACGCTCTGCAGCACCCCCTTCCCTGGGCTGGGACGCGGCGGGGAGGGCAGGGGTGACGCTCGGAGAACAGAGAGGCCGAACCCAGAGAGCGGGCCGGGACCTGATACCGATTTCCCACCCGTCCCCTGCCATGGGCGCCGGACGCCTGCCGGAGAGGGCTCCCCTCCTTAAAGGGCCAGTGGCCTCCAAGCCCGACGCCTGCGACCGGCGGTGGGTGATAGTGTTTCCCCTCCCTGTCCAGCCGAGGGAAAAGTTAACTTTCCAGGCTTGGCTGTGTTCAGGGAAGGAACTGGTCTCGCCTGCCTGCCCTCCATCCCTCACACCATCCCTTGTCCCGGACCCTGGAGGCGGAGGTCCAGCCCCCAACTCGGAGGCCCCGGGCCCACCCTCCCCTTCCGCCCCCGGCCCCTCGGCAGGCTCCGCCCCTCTCTGACGTCGCCGAGGCCCGCGCCGATTGGTCGACTGCACTGTCGCTCCGGACACTTCCTCCTGGGCCGCCGCCGCCGCCGCCGACTTAAACTTTGGAGGGGGAAAAAGAGCTACTGGCGCCTGGCGACCCTCCCTGCCCCCCACCCAACCCCGCTCCGGCAACGCCCCCTTCCTCACGGCTCCCGACCGAACTTTTCTCCAACTTCTGCGACTCGTGAGATTCCCTTCTACCCACTCCGGCCCTCGGGACCCCTCTGCCCATCCCCTGGCCGGTCGGGTCCCTGCGAACCCCTTTATCTCTGGAATCCACTCGGTCCCCGACTCAGAGACTCCTGCCCTCCACCCCCAAGGTGAATTCCCCCGGGCCGCCTTCTGAGTGGGATCCTCTTCTTGGAGCACTGGATCCTGGGATTCCCTCTGCCCCCTTCTCAATCCCTCCTCTAGGGAAGGGGCCTTTGAATCGCGGGCTCTCCTGATCCCTGTGACCCCGACCTACTAGATTTCCTCTCAGGCTTCTTGGAATCTCAATCGCTGGGACCTCCAACCCACTACTTTTCTCCTTTCTGATCTTCTGGGAGCCCTGGATTCCGGGCCTCTGACCCACTATAGTGCCTTTCTCTCCTTCCCAGGACCCCGCCATCCTCAGGTCCCCTCCGCCTGCCAGATCTTTTCTCGGATCCCCGCTCTCCCACCACCTGCTCACGAGATCCCGCGGATCTAGAACCCAGGGTCCCCCGGGGCCCCCCGGCCGGGTCCCGGGTGGGCTCCAGGCGGCCGGTCCCCGGCCTCCCCCCATGGCCACCGCCCCCTCTTATCCCGCCGGGCTCCCTGGCTCTCCCGGGCCGGGGTCTCCTCCGCCCCCCGGCGGCCTAGAGCTGCAGTCGCCGCCACCGCTACTGCCCCAGATCCCGGCCCCGGGTTCCGGGGTCTCCTTTCACATCCAGATCGGGCTGACCCGCGAGTTCGTGCTGTTGCCCGCCGCCTCCGAGCTGGCTCATGTGAAGCAGCTGGCCTGTTCCATCGTGGACCAGAAGGTGAGGGCGCAGGCTCCCTGGATCCAGCTCGGGGAGAGGTTGAAGGAGGGGGCGCTGGCAGAGGGGTCTGGGGCCTGGTGTGCGGAAGAGGGAGGAAGGAGACCTGAGCTTTGGGTGATGGAGGGATAGGGGGCATTGCCCCCCTCCATTGCCCCTCTCCCCACCATCCCTTTGAGAGAGGACTGGGCAGGGGTGGGGTGCCCCAGAGGCCTCCCCAAATTTCATGTCCCTGCATGTCGTTGTTTTCTGCAGCAAACAGGGAGGAAGGGAGGGGCCAGCCAGGTGTAGAGAGGGGAGGAAGGGGCAGCAGATGTCGGCGGACCTCCACGTCCAGGCCCATCCCGGGCCTCCCATTTGGTGGAAACAGGAGAAATTGAACCCGGGCTGGCCATGGTGATCCGGTGACATGTGTGGGTGCAGGTGCTTGAGTTAGCTGCCAGGGGCAAGTGAGGTCTCGGAGCCCAATTCTGCCCTCCCCTAAGCCTGAGATATGTGTGGAGGGGCAGGCACTCCTACAGACCCTGGGGACTCTATTCCCTTTCCTAGTCACAGTGCTGTTAGCCTACTCTTAATTTTGGACACCAGGGTCCCCAGGGTGGGCAGCTGGGTGTTATGGCAAGAGGAAACCAGGTGGAACTCCACGTCTAAACCGTGAAATGTTAAAAGAATAGTGGGCTTCTGTGTTGGAGTACTGGACTGTAGAAATGTTAGAATATTAGAATCATAACTTGTTGGAATATGCATCCTAGGCAATTAAATTGCCCCCATGTTCGTGTTCAAATATTAGAATTCTAGGTTTGTGAAATAGTAAAACATTAAAATGCTGGAATATTAGATTCCTAGATTGTTGAATCCTAGAAAGTTAAAATGTTAGAATTTTAGAATGCTGGATGGATGAGGTCCTTGAATGCTAAAGAATTCAAAGAGCACAGTCCTAGCTTGTCAGACTCCTAGAATATTAAAATATTAGATTACCGCTTATTTAGGTTATTGAAATCCTAAAATGTATAGTGATACCAGGTAGGAATCTAGAATGTATAATTCTATAATGTGAGCATGTTGGAGTCCCAAAATATCCAAATTCCAGAATCTTTTCAGACTCCTGGAAATGAATCCTTTGGGCATCAGAGAAACGTGGGGAACTGGGCCAGCTCCCCCATTCTACAGACAAGGAAACTGAAGCTTAGAGAAAAACTTCCCAAGGGGTCAGGGCCAAGGCAGTCCTGGTCTTCTGTGGACTCTCTCTTAGCAGTGAGAACTGATAGGGTTTTGCCCACCAAATGCCTCAATCCCGCAGGCCCAGCTCACCACCCCAACTCAGCCCACTTCATGGGAAGCTGGTGGCAGTGGGGGTACGGGGGCAGATTGTCCCTTGGGTGAACTTCTTTGTCCAGTGCTCAAGTCCCCAGCCTGCCCCGCTCAGGCTTCACCCCAGTTTTATTTTTCTGCCAGGTCCAGGTGTGTTAGGGCCGCTTACCTTCCTTCCCGAGGCCCCACCGGGGCAGTTTCACTTTCTGTTCTACTAGGTTTCATTTCCTGCCCCCAGGCCCCCAAAGCTGAGGACCCAGACACCTGGGTCCTTTGAGCATTGGGTGGCAGGCGCCCTCCTTATCTCCAGCGCCCTCGAGTCCAAGTCCCCCGGCCCCCCCCCCCACTTTCCCAGGAGCCCCGAAAAGTCCTCCTTCCAGCTCGCCCCACCCCAGTGCTGGGCCTGGAGCCAGGTAACTGGGACAACAATAGACAGATCCAGGAAGGAAGCTGGGGGGCGGGTGTGTGAGCCTGGGGAGGAGGCACAGGGGAGGGAGTGTTCATTCAGCATCCCCTCCCACCTCCGCCAGGTTCCGGAAAATTCGAGGTGTCCACGCTCCCGGAGCCACTCTCCCTCCCACCCCAGCTCCCCCTTCCAGCCACCAAACCCACGCCGGCGCCCCCTCCCCGTACAATTGGGGCGCTGGCATCCTGCCCGGCTCGCGCTGGGGTTGGGAGGGGGCAGGCAGGAAGCGAGGGCCTGCGGGGTCTCTGCGTTTCCGGGGGAAACAGCCGGCCCTGCCCTGGGAGGGTCACAGTCCGCCCGCTGCTGAAGGCGGCTCTGAGCTTTTCCGTCGCCACATCCCTCTCCCGCCCCTCAGTTCCCTGAGTGTGGCTTCTACGGCCTTTACGACAAGATCCTGCTTTTCAAACATGACCCCACGTCGGCCAACCTCCTGCAGCTGGTGCGCTCGTCCGGAGACATCCAGGAGGGCGACCTGGTGGAGGTGGTGCTGTCGGGTGAGAGGTGGTGGCCGGCCTGGGGGCGGGGCCTCGGGTGGGGGCGGGGCATCTGGGGGAGGAGAGGGTAGGGGGAGTTAGAAGTCAGGAGAGGCCGGGTGTAGTGGCTCACGCCTGTGATCCCAGCACTTTGGGAGGCTGAGCTGGAGCTGGGGGGATCGCTTGAGCCCAGGAGTTCGAGATCAGCCTGGGCAACATAGTGAGATTCCATCTCTACCCCTTTCTCTCCCTCTGAAAAAAAAAAATAAGGAGAGTTGGGGGCTTCTGGAAGATGGTTACAGAGTGGGGTCATGAAGGCGCTCTTTAGGGACTGGTCTAAACTTTCATTTATGGATTAGGATGCTAGTGACACGCTTTGTACAGTTTGAAAATTCATTGAGCTGTGCACTTGTGATGTGCGGCCTTTCCTGAACATATGTTATACTTATTTATTTATAAAACTAGTCAAGTGCAGTAGTTAGAAGGGGGAAAAGAGGAGAAGAAGGAGTTGGATCTGTAACTGACTGTGTTATGCTTAAATATAAAGGTAAAAAATGGGCCAGCTGCAGTGGCTCACACCTGTAATCCCAGCAGTTTGGGAGGCTGAGGTGGGAGGATCGCTGGAGCCCAGGAGTTTGAGACCAGCCTGGGCAACATAAGGAGACCCCATCTCTTAAAAAAAAAAAAAAAAAAAAAAGTTAACCGGGCGAGGTGGCACACGTCTGTAGTCTCAGCTACTTGGGAGGCTGAGGTGGGAGGATTTCTTGAGCTTAGGAGTTTGAGGCTGCAGTGAGCCACGATCATGTCACTGCACTCCAGCCTGGGCAACAGAGAGAGACCCTATCTCTAAAAAAGAAAAAAAGTAGAAAAAGAAAAAAAAAAGTTATGATGTCCATGGCTCCTGCCACGAAAATGCTAAATTAAATCAGAATCTCTGCAAAGTGAGATGGAATCTGCACATCAGTATTTTTAAAAGCCCCCAGGTGATTTTCTAAGACACAGCCAGAAGCCAGTTCATCCACTCACTATTCCAGTAGTATAGATGGGCATGCTCTCAGCACCTTAGAGCAGTCTATGGCCCTTGGTCCCTCTTGAGGGTGGGGGCAGCTGCCTTTTTCATGGCTGCCTTCCCTGCTGCTCCGGCATACTGCAGTGCCCAGTGAAACCGGCTCAATGAATGAATGACAGAAGTCTGGATTTACACCTTTAGTGACCTTGTTCAGGCTTTAAGTACTCTTTCATATCATAAGCTGGCCTCACTTGAATTTTTATCTTCATTGTTGTCTCTCCCCTAAACCTGAGTTTTGTTTTGTTTTTGTCATTTTTATTATTTTTTGTTTTTTTAGACGGAGTCTCGCTCTGTCACCCAGGCTGGAGTGCAGTGGCGCAAACTCAGCTTGCTGCAACCTCTGCCTCCTGGGTTCAAGCGATTCTCCTGCCTCAGCCTCCCGAGTAGCTGGGATTACAGGCGCCTGCTACCACACGTGGCTAATTTTTGTATTTTTAGTAGAGACGGGATTTCACCTTGTTGGCCAGGCTGGTCTCGAACTGCTGATCTTAAGTGATCTGCCCACCTCAGCCTCCCAAAGTGCTGCGATTACAGGTGTGAGCCACCGCTCCCGGCCCTGTTATTTTGTTTTGAGGCAGGGTCTTGTTCTGTCACCCAGGCTGGAATGCAGTGGCATGACCACCACTCACTGCAGCCTCTACCTCCCAGACTGAAGCAATCATCCCGCCTCAGCCTCCTGAGGTGGCTGGACTATAGGCATTACAGGCATGCACCACCACACTGGGCTTTTTTTTTTTTTCTTTTTTTTAGACAGAATCTTACTCTGTCACCCAGGCTGGAGTGCCGTGGCATGATCTTGGCTCACGGCAACCTCTGCCTCCCGGGTTCAAGCAATTCTCCTGCCTCAGCCTCCTGAGTAGCTGGGATTACAGGCACGCGGCACCAGGCCTGGCTAATTTTTGTATTTTTAGTAGAGACGGGGTTTCATCATGTTGGCCAGGCTGGTTTCGAACTTCTGACCTCAAGTGATCCGCCCACCTGGGCCTCCCAAAGTGCTGGGATTACAGATGTGAGCCACCGGGCACCGCCTATCCATGTTCTTTTTTGTTGTTGGTGGTGGTATTTTTAATTAAAAATTTTTTAATTTGGTAAAATATACATAACATAAAAATTACTATTTTAGGCCGGGTGCAGTGGCTCACGCCTGTAATCCCAACACTTTGAGAGACCGAGGCGGGCAGATCACCTGAGGTCGGGAGTTTGAGACCATCCTGGCCAACATGGTGAAACTCCGTCTCTACTAAAAATACAAAAATTAGTCGGGTGTGGTGGCGCATGCCTGTAATCCCAGCTACTCTGGAGGCTGAGGCAGGAGAACTGCTTGAACCCGGGAGGCGGACTTGTGGTGAGCCGAGATCTCACTACTGTACTCCAGCCTGGGTGACAGAGTGAAACTCTCTAACAAACACAAACAAAAAAGCCCACAACATTTTAAGCACTTTTAAGCGTACAGTTCAGTAATTTAAAGTTCACGCACACTGTTGTGCAGCCGGTCTCCAGAACTGTTGTCATCTTGCGAAACTGAAGCTCCTTGCCCGTTAAACAACTCCCCAATTCCCGCTCTGTCCCTGCCCAGGGCGTAGGGATATATGTGTTTTGTTCAGGGGTGGAGCTGGGATTTGAACCCAGGCAGAATGTAGTATGAGAGCAAATGAAGGAAGGAAGGAAAGATCACACCTTGCGGCTGGGAGCACTGTGAGAAATCAGGGAACGTGGGGTCTGGAAAAGCTTTGGCCTACCCCGCCTCAAGCATCCACCCCTATTTTCCGCCTACAGCCTCGGCCACCTTCGAGGACTTCCAGATCCGCCCGCACGCCCTCACGGTGCACTCCTATCGGGCGCCTGCCTTCTGTGATCACTGCGGGGAGATGCTCTTCGGCCTAGTGCGCCAGGGCCTCAAGTGCGATGGTGAGAGCTAAAGGGTTGGGGGCGGGGCCTGGGGCGGGGCTCTGCACCGGGGGCGGAGCGTAATGGTCCTGGCACGGGGACAGCGTGGGGAGGAGGAGCGGGTCTCAGAGCTGGGGGCGCAGCCTAGGAAGTAATAATGGGAAGAAGGATGGGCCCAGAAGCAGAGCTTGGGGAAGGAGTGGTGGGGCTGGGCCGGGGCTCAGGTCTAGGGGCGGAGCCTAGGAGGTGGAGCTGGGAGGGACAAGTAGGGGCTTAAGAACAGAGCCTAGGGGAGCAGAAGGGTGGCGGGGGAAGAGGGTGGGGCCTCTATCAGTTAGGGATCAAGCAGAGAAACATCCAGGAGGAGATATATATTGAGATATTTATATGCAAGGAATCAGCTTACAGAATTGTGTGGGCTGGCTAGGCAACTCAAATCTGGCTGGGCACAGTGGGGGAGGCCAGTAATCCCAGCACTTTGGGAGGCAAAGGTAGGTGGATCACTTGAGGCCAGGAGTTCAAGACCAGCCTGGGCAACATAGCAAGACTCTGCCTGTACAAAAAATAATTAGCCAAGCATGGTGACAGACACTTGTGGTCCCAGCCACTTGGGAGGCTGAGGCGGGAGGATCACTTGAGCCTGGGAGCTCGACACTGTAGTGAGCCCTGATTGCACCACTGCACACCAGCCTGGGTGACAGAGCGAGACCCTGGCTCAAAAACAGGAAAAAGGCCGGACACGGTGGCTCATGCCTGTAATCCCAGCACTTTGGGAGGCCGAGGCGGGTGGATCACGAGGTCAGGAGATTGAGACCCTCCTGGCTAACATGGTGAAACCCCGTCTCTACTAAAAATACAAAAAATTAGCCGGACGTGGTGGCACACGCCTGTAGTCCCAGCTACTTGGGAGGCTGAGGCAGGAGAATTGCTTGGACCTGAGAGGAGGAGGTTGCAGTGAGCCGAGATTGTGCCACTGCACTCCAGCCTGGTGATAGAGTGAGACTCCTTCTGAAAACAGAAACAAAAACAAAACAATAAAAAGAAAAAGAAAAAAAAATCCATCCTATCAGGAAGGGCAAGTGGGAACTCAGGCACAAGCTGAAGCTGATGTCCACAGGTGGAATTTCTTCATCCGAAAAGTCTCTGATCTGCTTTTTAAAACATTCAGCTGATTGAATGAGACCCACCTAGAACAAGCAGGATCACCTCTCCCACTTACAGTCAGCTGATTATGGATTTTCATCACATCCAGAAAATACCTCCACTGGGCCGGGTGCGGTGGCTCACGCCTGTAATCCCAGCACTCTGGGAGGCCGAGGCAGGTGAATCACCTGAGGTCAGGAGTTCGAGACCAGCCTGTCCAACATGGTGAAACCCCGTCTCTACTAAAAATACAAAAAAGCCGGCGTGTTGGTGGACGCCTGTAATTCCAGCTACTCGGGAGGCTCAGTCAGGAGAATCTCTTGAACCCGGGAGGCAGAGCTTGCAGTGAGCTGAGATTGCACCATTACACTCCAGCCTGGGCAACAAGAGCAAAACTCTGTCTCAAAAAAATGAAAAGAAAAGAAAATACCTCCATGGGGCCTTCTCTTCCCAGTTCTTCCTGGAGTCGGGGAAAAGCTGGGTTGAGAAGGTGAAAAGAAAAAACAAACCTTGACTGGGCACAGTGGTTCACACCTGTAACCCCAGCACTTTGGAGGCTGAGGCAGGCGGATCATGAGGTCAAGAGATTGAGACCACCCTGGCCAACATGGTGAAACCCCATCTCTCCTAAAAATACAAAAATTAGCGGGCGTGGTGGCATGTGCCTATAGTCCCAGCTACTTGGGAGGCTGAGGTAGGAGAATCACTTGAACCCAGGAGACAGAGGTTGCAGTGAGCCGAGATCGTGCCACTGCACTCCAGCCTGGCAACAGAGCGAGACTCCGTCTCAAAAAAAAAAAAAAAAAAAAAAACCACAAACAAACCAACCTTCATGGCAACATCTAGATTAGTGTCTGAATAACTGTGGATCTCGCCTAGCCAAGCTGACACATTAACATGACTATCAGGGTCCATCTCTTGTCAACCTGGCACCTGTCTTAGTTTGTCAGGGCTGCCTTAACAAAATACCACCCTGCGTGGCTTAAATGACAGACATTTACTTCTCAAAATCCCTGGAATTGTGAGAGGCTGGAAAGACAAAGATCCAGATTCTGGCAGGGTTCTGTTTCTGGTGTAGCCTGCTTTCCTGCCTTGCAGAGGGCCATCATTTCACTGTGCGCTCACATGGGACACGGAGAGAGAGATCCCTGGTATCTCTTCCCTTTATAAGGAAGGCCAGGCATGGTGGCTCATGCCTATAATCCCAGCACTTTGGGAGGATGGTGGATCGCTTGAGTCCAGGAGTTCGAGACCAGCATGGGCAACATGGTGAAACCCCGTCTCTAAAAAATACAACAAATTGGCCAGGCATGGTGGTGCATACCTCTAGTCCTAGCTACTCAAGAGGCTGAGGTGGGAGGATCACCTGGGCCTGGGAGGTTGAGGCTGCGGTGAGCCGTGATCATGCCACTGCACTCCAGCCTAGGTGACAGAACACGATTGTCTCAGAAAAAAAAAAAAAAAAAAAAAAAAAAAGGTCACCAGTCCCATTGGATTACAGCCACACTCTTTCGGCCTCAATTAACCTTAATTACCTCCATAAAGGCACCGTCTCCAGATATAGTTGCATTGGAGGTTAGGGTTTCAACATAAGAATTTTGGGGGAGACACAGACATTTAGTCCATAACAGCACCCATACATATCTCCTTAAATCATAGTTTAAAAATATACAGGTTTTCTTTTTTGGAGACAGCGTCTCAGTCTGTCACCCAGGCTGGAGTGCAGTGGCGCGATCTCAGCTCACCACAACCTCCACTTCCCAGGCTCAAGCGATTCTCCTGCCTCAGCCTACCGAGTAGCTGGGATTACAGGCACACACCATTACTGCCCGGCTAATTTTTGTATTTCTAGTAGAGACGGGGTTTCACCACGTTGGCCAGGCTGGTCTTGAACTCCTGACCTCAAATGATCCACCCGCCTTGCCCTCCCACAGTGCTGGGATTACAGGCATGAGCCACCGCGCCTGTCCAAAACATACAGTTCTTTAAGCCAAGATGTCTCAAGGTTCAGCCCAAGTGTCAAGATCTATATAGGTCCTCTGTCCCTGTTATTCATGCTTCTGAGTGAGAATGTTGAAATCGGGGCTCTGCCTACAGATGAAGGCCATGTACCTGCATTGGCTATGAGGACAGATGACAGGTGAGGACCATCCATTCTGTGATGAGACCCTGTGGCTCCATTGTTTTGTGTGTGTGAGACAGAGTCTTGCTCCGTCACCCAGGATGGAGTGCAGTGGCGTGGTCTTGGCTCACTGCAACCTCTACCTCCTGGGTTCAAGCAATTCTCCTGCTTCAGCCTCCCAAATAGCTGGGATTACAGGTGCGCACCACCACTCCTGGCTAATTTTTGTATTTTTAGTAGACGGGGTTTCACCATGTTGGCCAGGCTGGTTTCAAGTAATCCACCCTCCTCAGCCTCCCCAAGTGCTGGGATTACAGACATGAGCCACTGCGCTGGGCCCCATGCGCCTCCATTTTTGTATGGTGTGCCCTGCAATTAGAGCCATATTCTTGGATGTTCCATTGGGTATTAGGTCTGAGACAGCATCTCTAGCTCCGTGGGTGCCACGCTTGTACAGAAATCCTGATTCTGGGCCAGGCACGGTGGCTCACACCTGTAATCCCAGCACTTTGGGAGGCCAAGGCGGGCGGATCATGAGGTCAGGAGTTAGAGACCAGCCTGGCCAACATGGTGAAACCCTGTCTCTACTAAAACTAGAAAAATTAGCTGGGTGTGGTGGCGGGTACCTATAATCCCAGCTACTCGGGAGGCTGAGGCAGGAGAATCATTTGAACCTGAGGGGGTGGAGGTTGCAGTGAGCCGAGATCATACCATTGCACTCCAGCCTGGGTGACAGGGTGAGACTCCGTCTCAAAAAAAAAAAAAAAAAAGAAATCCAGTTTCTCCAATATCCTGTGTTCCAGATCATCATGCAGTCCAAAGTATACTTGTATTATTTAAGGACTCTAGGCCTGCAGATACTGATTCAGTGCATTAAAAGCTCTTATAAATATTGCCATCGTCCACACACCATATCCAACTCTTGAGGTCTCAGCATATGCAGTCTTTGTCATGATACAGCCCTGGTGTCATCAAGTCCTAATGGGTTATCAGCACAGACTTCACTGGTGCAGCATCACAGATGATGGTCCCAGTTCCTATGGTGGCAAGAGAACCCCAAATGACTACATTCCGACAGGAGTTTAACTCTATCCTGAGACTCATTCTGAGAGTTATAGATAAGATTCTGAAATTCTGGAAGGCACATGAGTGATTCAAGGCCAACACTGGGAAATGGTTCCTGTGTGCAAAGACCATTTGCCCTGCTGAAGCTCTTCTTGCAGGGCCAACACCGTTCTCCAAGCTTGCCTCCGTGATTACAGCATGCAGCCAAGACAGTGCCTACAATGAGGAGGTGTGGAACTGGAAAGCCTGGAGCAGGCGGGTACCAGAAGGGCTCCCAAAGGCTGGAGGAACATTCTTCACTCCAGAATAGAAAGCGATCCTGGAATCGTTTGGAATCACTGGAGATGTATTAGAGCACACATACAGAACGTCCAGTGGGAAACAGGGAGTTGAGCTGATTTCTCCATGGATGAGGATTTTAAAAGATAAAATAGGCAGGGCACAGTGGCTCATGCCTGTAATCCCAACACTTTGGGAGGCTGAGGTGGGAGGATCACTTGAGCCCAGGAGTTCAAGACCAGCCTGGGCAATGTAGCGAGACCCCATCTCTACAAAAAAATAAAAATAAAAAAATTATCTGGGCATGGTAGTGTATGTCTGTGGTTCTGGCTACTCAGGAGGCTGAGGCAGGAGGATTACTTGAGCCCAGGAGTTGAAGGCTGCAGTGAGCTATGATTGTGCCATTGTGCTTCAGCCGGGGGTACAGGGAGATCCTGTCTCTACAAAATAAAATAAGACAATAAGAAGTCATACTTCTGCCTAGTATGGTACAATGGACCTGAGTACAACTGAGAACTCTTTTTTTTTTTTTGAAACTGAGTCTCGCTGTATTGCCCAGGCTGGAGTGCAGTGGCGTGATCTCAGCTCACTACAACCTCTGCCTCCTGGGTTCAAGTGATTCTCCTGCCTCAGCCTCCGGAGTAGCTGGGATTACAGGCGTGTGCCACTACACCCGGCTAAGTTTTGTATTTTTAGTAGAGATGGGGTTTTGCCATGTTGGCCAGTGTGGTCTCAAACTCCTGACCTCAAGTGATCCGCCGGCCTTGGCCTCCCAAAGTGCTGGGATTACAGGCGTGAGCCACCATGCGTGGCCCACACTACTAAGATTTAATCACACTACTTAGGGATTGCCTGGATTCCAGGTCTACAGAAAAGAGAAAGTGGGGTACAGGGGGTGAGCAGACCTGGAGGGATAGTGACCTTAGGGGTGGGGGTGAGGAGAGGCATTTTCTTTTGGAAAGTTGGGGTTGGGGAAAGAGGGGGAACCAAAGGGGCCTCAGAAAAAGGAAGGTCAGGGTTAGAAGGGGGAACAGGTGTCTCTAGGGAGATGGACAGGAGTTTTGGGGAGGACTAGAAGGAGGTGCTTACCATAGAGGACTGGGGCTGGGTCAGAGCTTTGGCGGGGACTTTTGAGGCATCCATTGTTGCAGTGGGAAAAGGTGGGGTGTGAGGCGCGTTCAGGGCCTGGGGGGCAGATGGGGTGATGTCGGGGCTACAAGCTGGAACTAGGGGTGGAGCTTTGGAGGGAACCTTTGAGGTATCCCTTGTTGGAGTGGGAAAATTTTGGGTGTGAGGCGTGTTCAGGGTCTGGGGGACAGATGGGGTGATGGCAGGGCTACAAGCTGAAACTGGGGACAGAGCTTTGGGGGGAGCCTTTGAGGTGTCCCTTGTTGGAGTGAGAAAAGGGGTGTGGGTGTGTTCAGGGTCTGGGGGACAGATGGGGTGATGGTGGGGCTACAAGCTGGAACTTGGGGCAGAACTCTAAGGAGGGGTGGGCCTGAAGGGGCTGATACACTTACGGATAGTAGTGCCTTTTGGAGGAGATCGTGCTGGCGGGGGGTGATGGGACAGGACCAGGTGAGAGATTGGGTGGAAAGGGCACAACTTCTCAAGAAGAGACCTAGGAGGGGCAGACGCCATGTCTCTTACTCTCTGGCGCCCCCTGCAGGCTGCGGGCTGAACTACCACAAGCGCTGTGCCTTCAGCATCCCCAACAACTGTAGTGGGGCCCGCAAACGGCGCCTGTCATCCACGTCTCTGGCCAGTGGCCACTCGGTGCGCCTCGGCACCTCCGAGTCCCTGCCCTGCACGGCTGAAGAGCTGGTGAGGAGATGGGGGATGGGACGGGTTGGTGGCTAGGGGGGTGACTTGGCCCAGGCATGGGGCCAACGCACTGATGTGTCCCCTCCATTCTTGCCAACGACAGAGCCGTAGCACCACCGAACTCCTGCCTCGCCGTCCCCCGTCATCCTCTTCCTCCTCTTCTGCCTCATCGTATACGGGCCGCCCCATTGAGCTGGACAAGATGCTGCTCTCCAAGGTCAAGGTGCCGCACACCTTCCTCATCCACAGCTATACACGGCCCACCGTTTGCCAGGCTTGCAAGAAACTCCTCAAGGGCCTCTTCCGGCAGGGCCTGCAATGCAAAGGTTAGCTGGGCCTGTCGGGGAGGACAGACAGGGTCAGAACCTCCTTCCCGCCCCAACCTGGTCTTGTGGCAGGACACAAGGATCTGAGCCTTGGGACCCCAGGGCCTCAGAAGGGGAGGGCCCTGAATCCTAGTGTTCTGGGACCTTTGGAATTCTGGAATCTTAGAACCTCAGTTGTGTGTGTGTGTGTGTGTGTGTGTGTGTGTGTGTTGTTGTTGTTTTTTGGAGACAGGGTGTCACTCTATCACCCAGGCTGGAGTGCAGTGGCGCAATCACGGCTCACTGCAGCTTCAACCTCCTGGGTTCAAGTGATCCTCCTGCCTCAGCCTCCCAAGTAGCTAGGACTACAGGTGGTGCCACCACACCCAGCTAATTTTCTTTTCTTTTTTTTTTTTTTGAGACGGAGTCTCACTCTGTCGCCCAGGCTGGAGTGCAGTGGTGTGATCTCGGCTCACTGCAAACTCTGCCTCCTGGGATCAGGACATTCTCCTGCCTCAGCCTCCTGAGTAGCTGGGACTACAGGCGCCCGCCACCATGCCTGGCTAATTTTTTTGTATTTTTAGTAGAGACGGGGTTTCACCATGTTAGCTAGGATGGTCTCGATCTCCTGACCTTGTGATCCACCTGCCTCGACCTCCCAAAATGCCGGGATTACAGGCGTGAGCCACCGCGCCTGGCCACACCCAGCTAATTTTTAAATCATTTGTAGAGAGAAGGTATCACTATATTGTTCAGGCTGGTCTTGAACTCCTGGGCTCAAGCAATCCTCCTACCTCGGCCTCCCAAAGTGCTGGGATTACAGGTGTGAGCCACCGCGCCCAGCTGAACCTCAGTCTTTAGAACCTTGGAATCCTAGATTCATAACGTGCTTAGCATGGAATTCTAAAACTGTAGAACCTGAGAATTCTAGAATCAGAACCATAGCATTCAAGAATTCCGAATGATAGAATTCAGCTAAAATAACAACAGAACTTTAGATTACACATCTTAGATCTCCCAAGTTATAGACTCTCAGAGCATGAGAATTTTGGAACCATGGGATTTGAGGGTAATAGAAACATAGGCACATCAAATTTGAGAGTCTTAGACGTCTAGAATCATATAAGCTTGAAACCATCGTAACCTAGAATCCTGGAAATTCTAGACTCCCAGAACTTTGAACAATCAAATTCTAGAATCCAGCCAGGTGTGGTGGCTCATGCATGTAATCTCAGCACTTTGGGAGGCCAAGGTAGGTGGATCACTTGAGCCTAGGAGTTTAAGACCAGCCTGGGCAACATGGTGAAACCCTGTCTCTACAAAAAAAATTAAAAATTAGCCAGGCATGGCAGCATGCATCTGTGGTTCCAGCTACTTGGGACTCTGAGGAGGGAGGATTGCTTGAGCCCAGGAGGTTGAGGCTGCAGTGAGCCATGATTGTGCCACTGCATTCCAGCCTGGGTGACAGAGCAAGAACTTGTCTCAAAAAAAGAAAAAAAAAAATTCTAGAACCTCAGAAGCCTAGATCCACATAAACTTAGAAACATCCAATTCAAGAATTTACTGGAACAATCAAATTCTAGAATCTTAGAAGCCTAGAGCTAAAGAAGCATAGAAACATCAAATTCTAGAATCTTGTATGTATAGAATCCTAGAACCTTGGAATCTGCAGATTCTGGAGGTAGAGAAGCCTAGAATTGTAGAACCCTAGAACTGTCAAATTTTAGAGTTTAGATATATAACACCCTAAAATCTTGGACATTAAAGAGTCTTAGAAGTGTTGACTCATAGATGTCTAGAGTTCTAGAAACTTGGACATCAAACTCTGAAGCCTTAGAAATACGGAATCAGGTCAGGGGCAGTAGCTCACACCTGTAATCCCAGCACTTTGGGAGGCTTAGGTGGGTGGATTGCTTGAGCCCAGGAGTTCAAGACCAGCTTGTACAACATGGAAAGACCCCATCTCTACAAAAAATACGAAAAATTAGCCAGGCATGGTAGTGCGTGCCTGTAGTTTCAGCTACTCAGGAGGCTGAGGTGGGAAGATCGCTTGAGCCTGGGAGGCAGAGGTTGCAGTGAGCCGAGATGGTGCCATTGCACACTCTAGTCTGGGTGACAGCCAGACTGTTTCTTAAAAAAAAAAAAAAAAAACAAAAAACAGAATCATAGAACCTTCATAAAATAGGTTTTTAGTAAACTCTAGAATCTTCGATGTATAGTGTCCCTAGAACCGTGGAAACACTGAACTCTACAGCAATGGTTCTCGACCAGGGGCCGTTTTGCTCCTAGGGGATGTTTGGCAAGGGTTGGAGATGGTTTTGTTTGGTACGCTGGGATAGTGCTACTGGCATCCAGTAGGTAGAAGTCAGAGATGCAGCTAAACATCCTACAATACACAGAGCAAGTGCCCTAAAACAAGGAATTATCCTGGGCACTGTGTTAGTGTCACGGGTTGAGGAACCCAGCCCTAGGGTGTTCAGAGTCTGGAGTCACAGCACATTAGAACCAATAACACACACACACACACACACACACAAGTCGGGCGCGGTGGCTCACGCCTGTAATCCCAGCACTTTTAGGAGGCCAAGGCAGGTGGATCATCTGAGGTCAGGAGCGCGAAACCAGCCTGACCAACATGGCGAAACCCCGTCTCTACTAAAAACACAAAAAAATCAGCTGGGCGTGGTAGTGGGCGCCTGTAGTCCCACGCCCAGCTAATTTTTGTATTTTTAGTAGAGACGAGGTTTTACCATGTAGGGCAGGCTGGTTTCGAACTCCTGACCTCAAATGATCTGCTCTCCCCGGCCTCCCAAAATACCGAGATTACAGGCGGGAGCCACTGCACCCAGCAGTCGTCGGGATTTTGAGTCTAGCCCTCCTACTTAATCAAGACCCCCCCGATGGTTGGGAAAACTGTGGCTGAAAGTGGGAAAATGACCAGGGCAGCAGCAGCCAGTGTTCTTACCCAGACAGCAAGAGTAGACTCTTTTGAGCCTGAGGCTTAGGGTCAAGGTTCAAGCCTTCCAGGTAACCTCTCTTCCCCTTCTCACCCGTTCCCTTGTTCCCTGTCCTACCAGACTGCAAGTTTAACTGTCACAAACGCTGCGCCACCCGCGTCCCTAATGACTGCCTGGGGGAGGCCCTTATCAATGGAGGTGAGAGGCTGGGGGGATGCTGGGGAGAAAGGGGAAGGGGCAGGACTGGGTGGAGACCCCTCTGATGCCTCCGTCCCCACAGATGTGCCGATGGAGGAGGCCACCGATTTCAGCGAGGCTGACAAGAGCGCCCTCATGGATGAGTCAGAGGACTCCGGTGTCATCCCTGGCTCCCACTCAGAGAATGCGCTCCACGCCAGTGAGGAGGAGGAAGGCGAGGGAGGCAAGGCCCAGAGGTATACACAGAACCCTCCAAGAGACCCTGGGGGAAGACCCTCCTGCACAGTGAACCTCAATTTCTTTTTCTCTACAATGGGCTGACATCACCTCATATTTATAAATTTTCCCAGTTCCTGAGGCAAACCTTTTAAAGCACTACAATTTTTTTTAAATAATTTTTTGTTTGAGACAGGGTCTCGGTCTGTCGCCCAGGCTGGTGCAGTGGTGCAGTCTTGACTCACTGCAGCCTCGACCACCTGGGCTCAAGCGATCCTGCCACCTTAGCCTCTCGAGTAGCTGGGACCACAGGCTCGTCCACCACACCCAGCTAATTTTTGTATTTCTGTAGAGACAGGGTCTACCCTATGTTGCCCAGGCTGGTCTTGAACTCCTGACTCCTGAGCTCAAGTGATCCACCCGCCTCAGCCTCCCAAAGGGTCTTGCTTTGTTGCCCACTGGAGTGCAGTGGTGTGATTGTGGCTCACTGTAACCTCAAACTCCTGGGCTCAGGTGATCCTCCTGCCTCAGCCTCCCGAGTATCTGGGACTACAGGGATGCACTGCTATCCCTGGCTAATTTTAGACGGCGTTTCGCTCTTGTTGCCCAGGCTGGAGTGCAGTGATGCAATTTCAGTTCATTGCAACCTCTGTCTCCTGGGTTCAAGCGATTCTCCTGCCTCAGCCTCCCAAGTAGCTGGGACTACAGGCACCCGCCCAGGCCCAGCTACTTTTTTTGTATTTTTAGTAGAGACAGGGTTTTGCCATGTTGGTCAGGCTGGTCTTGAACTCCCAACCTCAGGTAATCCACCTGCCTCGGCCTCCCAAAGTGCTGGGATTACAGGCATGAGCCACCGCGCCTGACCTATATTCCTCTTCTTTTTTTTTTTTTTTTTTTTTTAAGATAGGGGGTCTTGCTATGTTGCCCAGGGTGGTCTTGAACTTCTGCGCTCAAGCAATCCTCCCACCTCAGCCTCCCAAAGTTCTGGGATTACAGGTGTGTGCCACTGTGCCCCCAGCCTACACATTTTTAAACTATACACGGAGTTCATACTTAGTCAGCTCCACTGGAATGTGAGCTCAGGTGCATGAGGGCAAGGATATTTTCTGCCCTCCCAGGTGCCTAGGACAGGACTGGCTCAGATCAGGCACTTCCTATCTGGGTGTGGCGTGAATGTTTATTGAGAAAGCACAGTTCACACAGGCGCTGGAGGGTGACAGCCCAGATCCCAGCTCTACCACTTCACTTGCTAGGCGCTTCCCTGTGTGCCACGGTTTCCTCCTGGGGCGATGAGGTACCTACCCCACGGGGTGATAAACCTGGGGTAGGGGTAAGGGGGCACCCTCACAGGTGCACTGGAAAATATTTAATGAGCACCTGCTGTGTTCAAGCACACAGCTATGAACAAAAGAGGTAAAAGTCTGCCCTTCTGGAGCTGACTGCCTCAGTGGGGAGACAGCTAATAAATGCATCCATAGCATCGGGTATTGGTAATGGTGATAAAAACAAGAGGAGATGGAGAATGGGGGACATGCTATCTTAGGGTCCTTCAAGGAGACCTCGCTGAGGAAGTGGCAGTTGAAGGGAGGGGAGGGAAGGAGCCTTGTGGGGCTCTGGGGGAAAAGGCTTCCAGGCAGAGGCAACAGCGAGTGCAAAGGCCCTGGGGTGGAGGCACCGTGTTCCAGGGACAGCAAAGAGACCCATGTAGCTGCAGCAGGGAGGGCGAGGGGAAGAGGGTTGGACAGAAAGGGGATGGGTAAGCCAGTCACAGTGACGACAGAGTGTTTCCTGCGGTGCCTCCCAACCCAAGCAGCCTGAAGCCGCAGGTTCCCTTTCTCCCACGTCTTTCCTGGGAATGCCTAGTAACACCGTCATACACTGTCAAGAGTTGGACCTTGAGGGATTGGGGGTGGCGGGTGTGGGGAGAGGCAGCCCATTTCACAGATGGGGAAACTGAGTCTCAGGCAAAGAGATGTGATCAAGGCCACCCAGGTTCTGATCTAGCACAGGGATCCAGAGATTGTTGGTTCCAGAGTTGAGCAAGTCACTTAATCTCTCAAATCTCAAACTCCTGACCTCAAGTGATCCCCCCACTTCTGCCTCCCAAAGTGTTGGGATTACAGGCATGAGCCACCATGCCCAGCAGGCCACTTAATCTCTGTAGACCTTCCTTACTGTACTAACAGCATCTGCACAAATGAGGGAGGTGAGGCCCAGAGAGGTTGAATCACTTACCCAGTGTCACACAGCTGGCTCCACAATTGCTGGACTAAATACCAATTAGCACTTACTGGAGGTCCTCTGTATGCCAGGCACTGTACTAAGCTCCGTAGAAAGGTTTCCATTCCTCATAGCATCCCCTTTGGGTGGACAAACTGAGGCATGAAGAGGTTAGGTAATTTGCTAGGCAGCCTGACTTCAGAAAGGCCTACTACAGAAGCCCTCTCAAGAATCTCCTTCTGGGCCAGCGTGGTGGCTCACACCTGTAAGCACTCTGGGAGGCCGAGGCGGATGGATCTCGTGAAGGGATTCTAAGGGTGGGACTAGGGGCAGGAGTTAGGGAAGGAGTTGAGGCAAAGAGTTCGAGACCAGCCTGGCCAACATGGTGAAACCTCATCACTACTAAAAATACAAAAATTAGCCAGGGGTGGTGGCGTGCACCTAATGGTCACCGTGATTGTCCCGGCCACTCAGGAGGCTGAGGCACGAGAATCGCTTGAACCCGGGAGGCAGAGGTTGCAGTGAGCCGAGATCGCACCACTGCATTCCAGCCTGGGTGACAGAGCGAGCCTCTTAAAAACAAACAAAAAGCAACTCCCGGGTGTGTGTTGGGGGGAAAATGTCAAAACAAACCAAACAAACAAAAACAGTCCCCAACTCCCTAGTTTCCCAGAGATGCCCCCTGCATTCCCAAGCAGCATGGTCACTTTCTGCATGTGACTTCTCACCCCTTCCTCTTCCTTCGCAGCTCCCTGGGGTACATCCCCCTAATGAGGGTGGTGCAATCGGTGCGACACACGACGCGGAAATCCAGCACCACGCTGCGGGAGGGTTGGGTGGTTCATTACAGCAACAAGGACACGCTGGTGAGTGGCCGGGGCGGGGCCGGGTACGGCGGAGCGAAGGCTGGAAGAGGGGCGGCTCAGCTTGAGTAGGCGGGGCTAGGTGGGTGGGGCTGGAGCTAGGCGCGAGCGGGGCCAGTAGTGGGCTGGGCCGTGCTGGAGGCGGGGCTAGAATTAGAAGTGTGGGCTGTAAGGGTGGGACTACGGGCAGGAGTTAGGGAAGACCCGGGGCTCAGGGCAAGGTCAGGGGCGGGGCTAGAGTTAGGGGAGGAGCTTGGCTGGAGGAAGAGGGCTAAGTGGGGGCGAGTCTGGGGTTAGGGCGTGGGGGCTGGGCTAGGGTTAAGGCTAGGGGCGGGGCTGGGGTTAGGGCGTGTGGTGGGGTGGGGTTACGGCGTGGGGTAGGTGCTAGAGTTACGGCGTGCACGTGGTGCTCCAGGCACCTGGAGCCCCAAGCAGCTCCACGGGATAGGGACTGGGCAGGAAAGTCTGGCGGTTCACGTGACTCTTCAAACATCTCTGCAGAGAAAGCGGCACTATTGGCGCCTGGACTGCAAGTGTATCACGCTCTTCCAGAACAACACGACCAACAGATACTATAAGGTAAGCCTCCGGGCTTTCAGCTCCCTCGGACTTCCCGCTGTGCCCACAAACTTTCCCACACCTCCTCCTACCCCCAGTTACTCCAGACAGATCCTGCAAATCACACCCTCTGCCCACCCCCAGCCTCCCTGCTTCCAGCTCATCAGCAAGTGCTGCCCATCCGATTCTGGCCCCACCACTTTCCAGCCAGGGGGACTCCGGGCAGGTTCCCTTACTTCTCAGTGCCTCACGCTTCTCACCTGCAAAATGCCTCAAATGCTAATACTCACCTCAGGGCTGGTGCGAGAATTCAAAGAGCCAATCCACTAAACCAATTGGCTTAAGGCGTGGTATATATTAAGCTCCCAGTAATTCTAAGGCTGTTCTCACTATTCCTTTATTTTTTGTTATTTATTTATTTTTTGAGACAGAGTCTCACTCTGTCGCCCAGCTGGAGTGCAGTGGCGCGATCTCGGCTCACTGCAACCTCCGCTTCCCGGGTTCAAGCGATTCTCCTGCCTCAGCCTCCCACCCTAGGACTACAGGTGAATGCCACCACACCCAGCTAATTTTTGTATTTTTAGTAGAGACGGGGTTTCACCATGTTGGACAGGATGGTCTTGATCTCTTGACCTCATGATCTGCCCCCCTCGGCCTCCCAAAGTGCTGGGATTACAGGCATGAGCCACCGCACCCGGCCTCACTATTTCTTTATAATTAATGTATTGCATTGTGTGCGTATTCGTCACCACCTCCCATGCCCACACTGTGTCCCAGCCACTGTCTTCCACCTGGATGGTTTCAGCCTTCTCCTTGCAGGGTCCTTGCTTCTGACCTCACAACCTCTGTCATTTCCCCCACAGCCAGGGGAGTCTTCATTAAAACCGTCAAACCCCCCAGTGGCTCCCATTGTCTTAGAGTAATAAAACCTGGACTCCAGCTGTTACCTGCCCTGGAGCGTCTTCCTTGAACTTTCCATGGCTGGTTCCTTATCATCTTCCCATTTTGCTCAGACCACACCATCTAAAATGCTGTCCTTGGCCAGGCGTGGTGGCTCACGCCTGTAATCCCAGCGCTTTCAGAGGCCGAGGTGGGCGGATCACTTGAGATCATGAGTTCGAAACCAGCCTGGCCAATATGGTGAAACCTTGTCTGTACTAAAAATACAAAAATTAGCTGGGCATGGTGGCGGGTGCCTATAACCCCAGCTACTTGGGAGGCTGAGGCAGGAGAATTGCTTGAACCTGGGAGGTGGAGGTTGCAGTGAGCTGAGATCGCGTCACTGCACTCCTGCCTGGGCAACAGAGCAAGACTCCATCTCAAAAAAATAAAATAAAATAAAATATAATGCTGTCCTCACCATGCCCCCCCGACGTGTCCATGTCATCACCTGGTTTTATGGGCTGCCTAAGTCATTCATTCTTTCCTCTCTCCTACCTCCCTCCTTCCTCTTTTGACACGTTTCCCACCCCATAGTCCCTGTGCCTTCTGTCCCGCCTGGGTCCCCTCAGCCTCCTTCCTGGTTCTCTGTCTCCATCTCATTCTATTCCATCTGCCCTCCGCACACAAGCGGATGATGCTCAAAAGCCTTCAGTGGCTTCCTAGGGCCCTTGGACAAAGCCCAGGCTCTTCCTTGTGGCCCGCAAAGCCCTGTGTGGCCTCATTTCCTCCATTTATTATCAAACGTTTATTTTTGAGACGGAGTCTCGCTCTGTCACCCAGGCTGGAGTGCAGTGGCGCGATCTTGGCTCACTGCAACCTCCGCCTCCGGGGTTCAAGTGATTCTTCTGCCTCAGCCTCCCAAGTAGCTAGGATTATAGGTGTGCCACCACGCCTGGCTAATTTTTGTATTTTTAGTAGAGATGGGCTTTCACCATGTTGGTCAGGCGGGTCTCGAACTCCTGACTTTGTGATCCGCCTGCCTTGGCCTCCCAAAGTGTTGGGATTACAGGCATGAGCCACCATGCCCAGCCCATTTATTTATTTTGAGACAGGCTCTTGCCCTGTCTCCCAGGTGCAGTGGCATGATCATGGCTCACTGTAACCTCTGCCTCCCTGGCTCAAATGATTCTCCCACCTCCACAGTAGCTGGGATTACAGGTGCGCACCACCACACCTGGCTAGTTTTTTTATTTTTTGTAGAGATGGGGGTCTCATTGTGTTGCTCTGGCTGGTCTCAAACTCCTGGGCTCCAGCGATCTGCCTGCCTTGGCCTCCCAAAGTGCTGGGATTACAGGCTTGTGGCACCATGCCTAATTTTTAAATTTTTTGTAGAGCTGGGGTCTCACTGTGTTGCCCAGGCTGGTCTTGAACTCCTGGGCCATCTGCCCACCTCGGCCTCCCAAAGTGCTGGGAGTACAGGCACGAGCCACCACATCCGGCCATCAAATGTTTATCAAGCTTTTACTATGTCCAGGCACCGCCCATGTGATGGGGATACAGCTTGGCTTTTGAGCATAGCCTTTCCTTAGGGCCTTTGCACATGCTGTTCCCCTACTCCTTGCCAACTGGCTGCTTCTTACCTTTCTGGTCTCTGCTTCAATATCACTTCTGCCAGTAATTAGTATTATTATTATTATTTTTGAGACGGAATCTCACTCTGTCGCCCAGGCTGGAGTGCAGTGGTGCGATCTTGGCTCATTACAACCACCGCCTCCCAGGTGCAAGCGATTTTCCTGCCTCAGCCTCCCGATTAGCTGGGATTACAGGCGCACACCACCACGCCTGGCTAATTTTTGTATTTTCAGTAGAGACGGGATTTTGCCATGTTGGCCAGGCTGGTCTCGAACTCCTGACCTCAAGTGAGCTGCCCACCTCGGCCTTCCAAAGTGTTGGGATTACAGGCATGAGCCACCGCACCTGGCCTCTGCCAGTAATTATAAAAGAACAGTGAGAACAGGCTTAGAATTACTGGGAACTTGTCTGACCACTGTGCAAACCAGGCCCATCCCTATCAACATGGATCCCGTGTATCCTTCTGGGTAAGCACTAGAATTCCAAGGTCTGCCTGGCATCCTCACCTGTGCTGGTTCCACGTCCTGCAGGAAATTCCGCTGTCAGAAATCCTCACGGTGGAGTCCGCCCAGAACTTCAGCCTTGTGCCGCCGGGCACCAACCCACACTGCTTTGAGATCGTCACTGCCAATGCCACCTACTTCGTGGGCGAGATGCCTGGCGGGACTCCGGGTGGGCCAAGTGGGCAGGGGGCTGAGGCCGCCCGGGGCTGGGAGACAGCCATCCGCCAGGCCCTGATGCCCGTCATCCTTCAGGACGCACCCAGCGCCCCAGGCCACGCGCCCCACAGTAAGTCCTCCCACCTCGGGTCCTTGAGAGAATAGATCTAGATGGGTGGGGCACGGTTCTGGGGAATGGAAGGGCCAAAGAGGAAAGTGGGCAATGGTGGGGTTGAGAACGCAGCTTCTGGACTCAGCAGGCCTGGGTTCAAACTCTGTTAATCACTCCTGTTAATCCCAGCGCTTTGGGAAGCCAAGGAGGGAGGATCACTTGAGGCCAGGAGTTCAAGACCAGCCTGGGCAACATAATGAGATTCCATCTCTACAAAAAATAAAAACAATTAGCCAGGTGTGGTGGTGCACACCTGTAGTTCCAGGTACTTGGAAGGCTGAGGCAGGAGAATTGCTTGAGCCTGGGAGTAGTGAGTCATGATTGCATCACTGCACTCCAGTCTGGGTGACAGAGCAAGACTCTGTCTCCAAAACAGAAAAAACAACAACAACAAAAATCCACAACAAATCTCTGTTAAGCTCCTGGCCTGATATGTGGCCCTGGGCATATCACTTCCCCTCCATGAGCCTTGTCCCAGGTGCTGATAAGTCCTCATGCACTTACTGAGTGCCTCCTCTGTGCGGGACAGTGCTGGGGACCCAGTGGTGGCCAGGACAGCCCAAGACCTGCCCTCATGGGGCTCAGAGTCCAGTAGGGCAGAATACCCATCTTCAGAGAGTGACAGTCCAGGGTGGGCAGGGTTGGGACAAGGAAGCTAGGGAGCTAGAGGAGCCCAGAGGGGTACCTGACCCAATCTGGGTATATAGGGGGGCTTCCTGGAGGAGGTGACATCTGAACTGAGATCTGGAGGCCGAGGCAGGGTGAGATGTGGGAAAGAAAATGGGAGGTCATTTTAGGCAGAGGCAAAAAATGTTGAGAGAGTACCAGGTTCCCACCCTCTGGAGCTTATAATCCAGTGTGGGTGACAGACATTGATCATTAACCCATACAAGCAACGAGTGTGATGCAGAGCATTTGCGAGAGTAATCCAACTTGGTCCTAGGAGTGACATTTGAGCTTACACTTGAGGATGAGGAGGATTTAGCTAAGTCTAGGATGAAGGAAAGAGTATTCCTGGCAGGGGAAACAGCATATGCAGAGACCAGAAGGCAGAAGAGAGTTTGCTGTATTTGAGGCCGAGCAAGGAGGCCAGTGTGTCAGGAATAGCATGTTGGGGGTAGAAGTCAGAGGTAGATGAGGGTCTAGGCCATGGCTTTTAGGCCATTTAAGGGGCTCAGGCTTCTTCCTGAGGGCACTGGGGAGCCATGGCAGAGTTGTGAGCAGAGGAGGGACAGGGTCAGTCTTGTGCCTCAGTAAGATCCCTCTGGTTTCTCTGTGGGAGGTGAGTAGGAAGGGGCAGGATTGGGGCAAGGAGACCAGGGAAGGGGCTGTGGGGTGAGGACCCAGAGTTGGGGGGCGAGCAGGGGCCTAGACTGGTGGAAGAGAGAGACATTCAAATGGCAGAAGGATCGGACTTTAGAAATGTCTGGCTCTGGTTGGGTTTGTAGGGGGAAAAGTTCAAGGGAAGATGCAGGAGTCAGTCTGGGCTTTCCCTCCAAGACTCAGTTTCCTTCTCTGTACAATGGGGTCAGTCTGCCTCCCCTGGTGCTGAGATCCTGGGGTAAAATGCTCAGCAAAATCATCTGTAACATCACTCCTTTAGCCACTCAGCACATCTCATTTACTCCTCCTGGTGGCTCTATGAGGGAGGTCCTTTTATTATTCCCATTTTCTAGATGAGGAAACTGAGGTTCGTAGTGGACAAGTCACCAGCCTGAAGTTGCACATTGTATCGAACATTGGATTCAAATCTGGGTGGCCTGACTCCCAAGTCTGCTTTTGCAGGTATGGGTGGAGATAATCCTGAGCCTGGAGTCCCCTCACCTCTGTCTCTCCCCTCTCCCTAGGACAAGCTTCTCTGAGCATCTCTGTGTCCAACAGTCAGATCCAAGAGAATGTGGTGAGACTCCTGCCCCCACCTGATGCCCTCCCCTCCCACAAACCCTCCTCAGCTCTCTCGTCTCCTTGACTCCCCCTTCCCCATTTCCATTTGCACCCCTGACCTGCCCTGTCTTCACCCTGTAGGACATTGCCACTGTCTACCAGATCTTCCCTGACGAAGTGCTGGGCTCAGGGCAGTTTGGAGTGGTCTATGGAGGTGAGGACACTTCAGAGCTAACCCAGAGGGAGCCCCGGGCTGGGGGAAGCTGCTGTGGCTCCAGCCCTTTCTTTCTGGCTCCAACCCTTCCTTTCTGATTGGTCACATGCTCACCTCCCATGTTGATTGGCTTAGCTAGATCCTGGGTGGACTGATTGCAGGTTCTCCTTTTCTCATTGGGAAAAACCAATGGACATTCCTCCTGTTATTAATAGGAAGGGTAAATTCGGCACTCTGATTGGTCACAGAGGTAGATTTTGATTGGATAGGGAAGGTAGATTCTGCACTCTGATTGACCACAGAGCTAGAACCTAGATTCTGATTGGATAGAGTAGATTCTGCATTCATATTGGCCACAGAACTAGTTCGTAGATTCTGATTGGAAAAGAGGGTAGATTCTGCACTCTGGCCACAGAGCTAGATCCTAGATTCTGATTGAATAGGAGGGTAGATTCTGCATTCTGATTGGCCACAGGTCTAGATCCTAGATTCTGATTGGATTGGAGGGTAGATTCTGCATTCTGATTGGCCACAGGCTAAATCCTAGATTCTGATTGTATGGGGCGGGTGGTAAATTTTACACTTTGATTTGCCACAGAGCTAGATCCTAGAGTTCAATAGGACAGGGAGGGTAACTTCTACACTCTAAACTCTAAGACTCAGTTTCCTTCTCTGTATAATATGGTCAGTCTGCCTCCCCTGGTGCTGGTGTCTCTCCCCTGTCCCCAGGACTCTTACGGGTCACACAAAACTAGATGCTAGATTCCGACTGGTTATAAATCCAGTTTCCCATGTTATACATTCCCTTCTTCGGAGCTTTTTGTTTGTTTTTTGCTTTCCTTCTTTCTGCCTTTACTCCCAAGGTGCACCTCAGGTGGCCTTTTCACGTATCTCCTGGGGCCTTCCAACTCTGCCCAACTCTGGCTGTCTCCATGGTGGGGGGCAGAGGTTGGCAGAGGTGGAGATACTCCTGCCAGGACTGGGTGGTCTTGCTCTCTCATCCCCCATCTCTTCTACTCCCTGTGCAGGAAAACACCGGAAGACAGGCCGGGACGTGGCAGTTAAGGTCATTGACAAACTGCGCTTCCCTACCAAGCAGGAGAGCCAGCTCCGGAATGAAGTGGCCATTCTGCAGGTAACCACCAGGCCGCCTTCCCTTTCTGCTTCTTCCTTTCATGGGCCAGCTGACCCAGTGTAGGGGTGGTCAGGGAAGGCTTCCTGGGGGAGGGCATGTGCATGTTGAGACTGAAGGGGAGAAGGTGTTCTTAGCAGAGGGACCAGCCTGTACAAAGACCTGGTGAGAGGGAGCATGAGGTTTTCTAGAAAGGAGGTACTGGGAGATGAGGCCAGGGAGGAGGGCGGAGCCAGACCCTTTGGACTTTCTCCTGAGGGTACTGGAGAGCCACAGAAGGCTTTTGAGCAAGGGAGGGGCAGGATCAGGTGTGTACGTTAGGAAAATCCCGCAGGCTGCCATCTGGAGGGTGGGTGGAAAGGGAAGTGATTGTAGCCAGGAGGCTGAGTGGGGATCTGGGTGGGAGAGAGGGGTTAGGCCAGGATAGGACTGGAGAATGTGAGAGGGGGTATGGATTTAAAAGATACAGATGTGCAGAGCTCTCCCCATTTCTCCAAGCTCCCCCTCCTCCCTCCTGCAACCCTGGGCCTCCACCAGAATTTCAGGATGTAAAGATCCTTCTGGGCCGGGCATGGTGGCTCACGCCTGTAATCCCAGCACTTTGGGAGGCTGAGGTGGGAGGATCACTTGAGGCCAGAAGTTTGAGACCAGCCTGGCCAACATGGCGAAACCCCATCTCTATATTTAAATAGAAAGAAAAAAAAGATCCTTCTGGGCACCTGGCAGGTGGGGTGGAGGTGGGCCTGTTCTGTCTTGGCCTGTGGGAAGCCCCCTTCCCTCTCCAAGTGCCAATACCCCAGGGACATCCTTCTCCTTGTTTGTCATCCTCCTGCTCCTATACCTGACCCGTTGGGGTCTGAGTTTGTGGGTTACCTGGGCCCTGACCCCGCTCCCCACCCTGCAGAGCCTGCGGCATCCCGGGATCGTGAACCTGGAGTGCATGTTCGAGACGCCTGAGAAAGTGTTTGTGGTGATGGAGAAGCTGCATGGGGACATGTTGGAGATGATCCTGTCCAGTGAGAAGGGCCGGCTGCCTGAGCGCCTCACCAAGTTCCTCATCACCCAGGTGCGTCTGCCCTGCCCGCTGCCACCCGCCCCTCCCCATCAGGTGTCAGCTTGGAGAGGCCCTGTATGCCTAGGGGGTCAAGCAGACACTTGGGGGAGTCACAATAGCAGATAACAGAAACCATCATCAGGCTGGGCGCAGTGGCTCACACCCGTAATCCCAGCACTTTGGGAGGCCCACGAGGTCAGGAGATCGAAACCATCCTGGCTAACATGGTGAAACCCTGTCTCTACTAGAAATACAAAAAATTAGCCGGGCATGGTGGCAGGCGCCTGTAGTCCCAGCTACTCGGGAGGCTGAGGCAGGAGAATGGTGTGAACCTGGGAGATGGAGCTTGCAGTGAGCCGAGATCGCGCCACTGCACTCCAGCCTGGGCGACAGAGCAAGACTCCATCTCAAGAAAAAAAAAAAAAAAAAAAAGGAACCATAATCGTACAGAAGTAATAATAACCATAATAGAAAAAATAAGCCGGGCATGGTAGCACGTGTCTGTGGTCTCAGCTACTCAGGAGGCTGAGGCAGGAGGATCACTTGATCCCAGGAGTTCTGTGCTGATCAGGTGTCCTCATTAAGTTTGGCATCCATGTGGTGACCTCCCAGGAGTGGGGGACCACCAGGTTGCAAAGCAGCCCAGGTTGGAAATGGAGCAGGTCAAAGCTCTCTTACTGATCAGTAGTGGGATCACATCTGTGAAGAGGCATTGCACTCCAGCCTGGGCAACATAGCGAGACCCCGCCTCTAAAAAGAAAGAAAGAAAAAAGAAAAATAATAGTGACAATAACAATTAAAAATAAAGAGTATGCCAGGCGCGGTGGCTCACGCCTGTAATCCCAACACTTTGGGAGGCCAAGGCGGGTGGATCACCTGAGGTCAGGAGTTTGAGACCAGCCTGGCCAACATGGTGAAACCCTGTCTCTACTAAAAATACAAAAATTAGCTGAGCATGGTGGCAGGCACCTGTAATCATAGCTACTTGGGAGGCTGAGGCAGGAGAATCCCTTGAGCCCAGGAGGCAGAGGTTACAGTGAGCTGAGATCGTGCCATTGTACTCCAGCCTGGGGGACAAGAGTGAAACTTCGTCTCAAAAAAAAAAATAATAATAATAATAATAATAAAGAGTAATCATAATAATAGAAAAAAATAGACTAGCGGTAATGATAGCTATTTTTATTATAAAAAATAAATGATCAGTCAGGCTCCCTGGACCTGACTTGACTCATCTAGAAAAAAGGGGAGTCAGGCATGGTGGGGTACACCTGTAATCCCAGCTACTCAGGAAGCTAAGGCCAGAGGATTGCTTAAGCCCAGGAGTTTGAGCCAGCCTGGGCAACATAGCAAGAGCCCATCTCAAAAACAGGCTGGCTCATGCCCGTAATCCCAGCGCTTTGGGAGGCCAAGGCAAGAGGATCGCTTGAAGCCAGGAGTTGGAGACCAGCCTAGGCGACATAGTGAGATCCCACCTCTACAAAAAGTAAAAAAAAAAATAGAAAACCTAGCTGGATGTGGTGCCTGGTAGCACATGTCTGTAGTCCTAGCTGCTTGGGAGGAAGGGAGTGGAGAGGCTCTCTTGAACCTAGGTGGTTGAGGCTGCAGTGAGCTATGACCGTGCCACTGCACTCCAGCCTGGGTGACAGAGCGAGACCGTGTCTCAAAACCAAACAATAGAAAAAACGGGCAAGCAGCCCTTTTTCTCTCATTCATTCATTCAGTTGGTCAACAAACACTCCCTAGTCCCTGCTCTGTGCTTGGTCCCTTGCTGGTCAGTGTTGAGGACACAGGGATGACCAATACAGCCCCATTCTTAGACAGTGATAGCTCAGGTGAGCAGGGCTAGGACAAGGGAGGCTGATAATGGTGATGATAAATAATGTGGTCACTAACATTTATTGAGCACTTACTATGTGCCAAGCACTCTTCAAACTCATTTAATCTTCATAGTAACCTGTGCAGTAGGTGCTATTATTATCAATCCCCTTTTATGGTTGAAGAAACTGAGGGTCAGAGACATCAAATATCTTGTCCAGGGTCACATAGCTGGTGGGATTTGAACCTAGGATCTTTGCTTTTAACTAGTGATGTCAAACTCATTTGTGTTACATTCAAACAGATTTTCCTTGTGTGCCTGTGCTTTTTGTTTGTTTTTTTGAGACAGGGTCTCGCTCTGTCACCCGAGCTGGAGTGCAGTGGTACAATCATGGCTCACTGCAGCCTTGACCTCCCGGGTTCAAGCAATTCTCCTGCCTCAGCCTCCTGAGTAGCTGAGACAACAGGCATCAGCCATCACACCCAGCTAATTTTTATAAAGACATTTTTATAAAGACTTGCTATGTTGCCCAGGCTGGTCTTCAACTCCTGGGCTCAAGTGATCCTCCTGACTCGGCCTCAGCCTCGCAAAGTTCTGGGATTACAGGTGTGAGCCACTGTGCCCGGCCTCTGTTCTGCGTTTCTTTTTTTTTGGTGGAGGTGCACATTAGATTCTTATCACTTATATTGTTCAATGGTTTTATCCCAGTGTTTGCCTCTTTATTTTATATTTAGTTTTTATTTACCATAGGGTTTTATTTATTTTATTTTTTATTTTTTTTTGAGACGGAGTCTTGCTCTATTGCCCAGGCTGGAGTGCAGTGGCACCATCTCGGCTCACTGCAAGCTCCGCCTCCCAGGTTCACACCATTCTCCTACCTCAGCCTCCCAAGTAGCTGGGACTACAGGTGCCCACCACCACGCCCGGCTAATTTTTTGTATTTTCAGTAGAGACAGGGTCTCACTGTGTTAACCAGGATGGTCTCGATCTCCTGACCTCGTGATCCACCCGCCTCGGCCTCCCAAAGTGCTGGGATTACAGGTGTGAGCCACCGCGCCTGGCCTATTTTATTTTTTTTTTTGAGACAGGGTCTCATTTTGTCACCCAGGCTGGAGTGCAGTGGTGTAATCATAGTTCACTGCAGCCTCAAACTCCTAGGCTGAAGCAATTCTCCTATCTCAGCCTCCTGAGTTAACTGGAACCACAGGCATGAGCCACCACGTCCAGCTAATTTTTTTTTTTTTTTTTTTTAATGTTTTTGTAGAGACAAGGTCTCGCCATGTTGCCCAGGCTGGTCTTGAACTCCTGGGCTCGAGCGATCCTCCCATCTCAGTCTCCTGAGTTAGCTGGAACCACAGGCATGAGCCATTACACCTGGCTAATTTTTTTTTATGTTTTTGTAGAGACAGGGTCTTGCCATGTTGGGTCTCGAACTCCTGGGCTTAAGTGGTCCTCTTGCTGCAGCCTCCCAAAGTTCTGGGTTACAGGCATGAGCCACTGCGTCCAGCCGGCCATAGAGTGGAACTTTTACGATGTTAAATATCCCCTTGTGTGGTTTCTGTGTTTCACATCCTTCCTAGAAAGGCTTCCTTCTGGTGGGTGCCTTGCCTTCTTCTGAGACATCTCTGTGGGTCTCAGAGCCATCGTTGCTGTGTTCCCTTTACCCTGGCCCAGCACCCTTATCCTCTCAGGCAGTGTGCCTGTGTTTGTCAGGCTGGCTTATGGGGTGGGGACAGAAACCCACTGATGCACCCTCATCCAGACTTTATTATTTATGTATTTTTGAGACAGAGTCTCGCTTTGTTGCCCAGGCTGGAGCGCAGTGACACGATCTCGGCTCACTGCACCCTCTGCCCCCTGGGTTCAGGTGATTCTCCTACCTCAGCCTCCCGAGTAGCTGGGATTATAGGTGTGTGCCACCATGCCTGGCTAATTTTTGTAATTTTAGTAGAGATGGGGTTTCATCATGTTGCCCAGGCCAGTCTCAAACTCCTGACCTCAAGTCATCTGCCTGCCTCAGCCTCCTGAAGTGCTGGGATTACAGGCATGAGCCATCGTGCCCGGCCACATCCAGACTTCAGGTGTGGAAAGGAATCATGGTTCTCACAGGTGGCTGCTTTCAGCAGCTGAGGGGGTTTCTCTTTCTGGCCTTCATCTCTTCCTCTCTTTTTGCCTGCTCGCTCTTCTTTCTCTCTCTCTCTCTCTCTGCAGATTTCTGCTTTCTGGGCTCTTGCCTGCCCCACACCTAAGCCCTGTGCTAAGCCCTTTACCTCCTGAGCTTATGTAGGCCTCACCACCATCCTAGGAGGTAGGTATTGTTATAAACCCCATTTTATAGATGAGGAAACTGAGGCTCAGGGAGATAGCAGTCTCCCTCGAGGTCACAGCCAAGTAGCTTTCCAGCCAAGATTTGAGTCTGGATCTATCTAGCTTCCAACCTGCCCTCTTTCTTTTCTTTTTTTTTTTTTTTTTTTGAGACGAAGTCTCACTCTGTCACCCAGGCTGGAGTGCAATAGTACAGTCTCAGCTCACTGCAACCTCTGCCTCCCAGGTTCAAACAATTGTCCCACCTCAGCCTCCTGAGTAGCTGGGACTACAGGTGCGTCCCAGTACACCGGGCTAATTTTTGTATTTTTAGTAGAGACGGGGTTTCACTATGTTGGCCAGGCTAGTCTTGAACTTCTGACCTCGTGATCCACCCGCCTCAGCCTCCCAAAATGCTGGGATTACAGGCGTGAGCCACCATATCCGGCCAATGTTTTTTTTTTTTGAGATGGAGTCTCGCTCTGTTGCCCAGGCTGGAGTGCAGTGGCGCTATCTCAGCTCACTGCAACCTCTGCCTCCCAGGTTCAAATGATTCTCCTGCCTCAGCCTCCTGAGTAGCTGGGAACACAGGCACACGCCACCATTCCTGGCTGATTTTTGTATTTTTAGTAGAGATGGGGTTTCACCATGTCGATCAGGCTGGTCTTGAACTTTTGATCTCGTGATCTGCCCGCCTCAGCCTCCCAAAGTGCTGGGATTACAGGCGTAAGCCACCGTGCCCGGCCTAACCTGCCCTCTTTGTTCACATGAACTGGGAGAAAATCAACTGACAAAATCTGGAAATGGGCGGGGCGAGGTGGCTCACGCCTGTCATCCTAGAACTTTGGGAGGCCAAGGCAGATGGATCACCTGAGGTCAGGAGTTTTGAGACCAGCCTGGCCAACATGGTGAAATCCCATCTTTACTAATAATACAAAAATTAGCCAGGTGTGGTGGCATTCACCTGTAATCCCAGCTACTGGGGAGGCTGAGGCACAAGAATTGCTTGAACCTGGGAGGTGGAATTTGTGGTGAGTCGAGGTCATGCCGTTGCACTCCAGCGTGGGCAACAGAGTGAGACTCCATCTCAAAAAAACAATCTGGAGATGACATATACAACACATGCATCTTTCCAGCTTGGTCTCCCAGTCTGTAGAATGAGGAGGTTGGTCAGGCATGGTGGGTCGTGCCTATTATCTCAAGGTTTGGGTAGCTGAGGTGGGAAGATCATTTGAGGCCAGGAGTTTAAGACCAGCCTGGGCAACATAGCGAGATGCCATCTCTACAAAAAGATTTTTTTAAAAAAGAAAACAATCAGAATAAACACAAGTATTTAAACTCTGAGACAGATACACAAGTATTTAAACTCCGAGACAGATAATAATTGCAGTTGTACAATTGCTTCTGGTGTACTTGGCATTTTGAGTTACAGAGAATCAAGAAATATGATTCTCACAGATGAATGGTTACAAATGGTAATTTTTTTTTTAATCAGCTCACCTTATCATAGGAACAGATACAGCAGGAGAAGCTTTATTTAAGAGACACAAACAAATATATTTACCAACAAGCCATCACAAAAATAATAACTAATAACAACAACAGTAACAGCTAACATACAGTGGTTAGCTATCCTAAGCGTTTTACATGCATCTTTAGATATGCTTTAAACCTTATAGCAACCTGTAAGGTTGGTACTCTTTTTTTTTCTGAGATGGCATCTCACTCTGTCGCCCAGGCTGGAGTGCAATGGCGCGATGTCGACTCACTGCAACCTCCACCTCTCCAGTTCAAGCGATTTTCCTGCCTCAGCCTCCCGAGTAGCTGGGACTACAGGCGCCCACCACCACGCCTAATTTTTGTATTTTTAATAGAGGCAGGGTTTTGCTATGTTGGCCAGGATGGTGTCTAACTCCTGACCTCAGGTGATCCACCTGCCTCAGCCTTCCAAAGTGCTGAGATTACAGGCATGAGTCACCATGCCCAGCCAAAGTTTTTTGTAAGGATGAAAAATATTTTTTTTAAAAATGAAATCAGGCTGGGCACAGTGGCTCACGCCTATAATCCCAGCACTTTGGGAGGCCAAGGTTGGTGGATCACGAGGTCAGGAGTTCAAGACCAGCCTGACCAACATGATGAAACCCCGTCTCTACTAAAAATACAAAAATTAGCCGGGCATGGTGGTGTGTGCCTGTAATCCCAGCTGCTCAGGAGGCTGAGGCAGGAGAATCAGGAGGCCTTCTCAAAAAAAAAAAAAAAAAAGGAATCAAAGCCCGACATGGTGGTGGTGGCACATGCCTGTAGTCCTAGCTATTTGGGAGACTGAGGCTGGAGGATCACTTAACCCCAGGAGTTTGAGGCTGTAGAATGATACTGCACTTCAGCCTGGGTGACAGAGGGAGACTCCATCTCTTCAAAAAAAAAATGGGTGAGGTGGGGTGGCTCACGCCTGTTATCCAAGCACTTTGGGAGGCTGAGGTGGGTGGATCACTTGAGTGCAGGAGTTTGAGACCAGCCTGGGCAACATGGTGAGACACTGTCTCTACAAATACAAAAATTAGTCAGGTGTGATGGTGTGTGCCTATAATCCCAGTTACTAGGGAGGTTGAGGTGGGAGGATGGATTTAGCCTGGGAGGTCGAGGTGCAGTGAGCTGTGATCCCGCCTCTGTGCTCTGGCCTGAGTGACAGAGCAAGACTCTGTCTCAAAAAAAAAAAAAAAAAAAAAATAGAATCACATAGTTGGATCTTGGAAATGCCTGCTCTGTCAGTAGCATTCAGGAGTTTACCACATGCTAGAAGATCTTGGGATCTTCACAGCCCCACTCATCTAGCCCAGACTTTCTAGTTTACATTTAACTCTTATCTCTCAGATGTAAATGGTTCTATGATTCTGAGATTCTTTGGTGCTCCAGTGCCTCCTGTTTCCCTGGCTGGGGTGTCTGCAGGGGTGTGTAGGAAGGCATGGATGGGGCCAGGCGCAGTGGCTCACTCACGCCTGTAATCCCAGCATTTTGGGAGGCCAAGGTGGGTGGATCACTTGAGTCCAGGAGTTTGAGACCAGCCTGGTCAACATGGTGAAACCCTGTCTCTACTAAAAATAAAAGAAAAAATTATCAGAGCAAGTCTGGGCCCGGTGGCTCACGCCTGTAATCCCAGCACTTTGGGAGGCCGAGGTGGGGAAATCACGAGGTCAGGAGTTTGAGACCAGCCTGGCCAACATGGTGAAACCCCATCTCTACTAAAAATAGAAAAAATTAGCTGGGCATAGTGGCCAGCGCCTGTAATCCCAGCTACTCGGGAGGCTGAGGCAGGAGACTCACTTGAGCCCTGGAGGTAGAGGTTGCAGTGAGCCGAGATCGTGCCACTGCACTCCAGCCCAGGCGACAGAGTGAGACTCCGCCTCAAAAAGAAAAAAAAAAATTAGCTGGGCATGGTGGTGCACGCCTGTAGTCCCAGCTACTTGGGAGGCTGAGGCAGGAGAATCACTTGAACCCAGGAGGTAGGGGTTGCAGTGAGCTGAGATCATGCCACTGCACTTCCAGCCTGGGCTACAGAGCGAGACTCTGTCTCAAAAAAAAAAAAAAAAAAGTATGGATGGGTTTGGAGGGCTGGCTGCTGAGGTTGGGATTTGGCTGAGTACCTATCTACCTTTCTTACTGGGCCCATCTGCTCCCCTCAGATCCTGGTGGCTTTGAGACACCTTCACTTCAAGAACATTGTCCACTGTGACTTGAAACCAGAAAACGTGTTGCTGGCATCAGCAGACCCATTTCCTCAGGTCAGTTATGTCCCCTCCTGATTTGGGGAAATCCAGGCAACACTGATGGCCGGGGTGGGGGTGGGGAAGGGGATTATACTAATCAAGATGTGGGGGCGAGGCACAGTGGCTCTTGCCTGTAATCAGCATTTTGAGAGGCTGAGGCAGGAGGATCATTTGAGCCCAAGAGTTTGAGACCAGCCTGGGCAACATAGCGAGACCTCATCTATACAAAAAATGAAAAAAAAAATAGCCGGGAATGGTGGCGTGCGCCTATAGTCCTAGCTGCTTAGGAGGCTGAGATGGGAGGATTGCTTGAGCCCAGGAGTTGGTGGCTGCAGTGAGCTATGATTGTGCCACTGCACTCCAGCCTGAATAACAGAGTGAGAGCTGTCTCTTAAAAAAAAAAAAAAAAGACTGGGTGCGGTGGCTCACGCCTGTAATCCCAGCACTTTGGGAGGCCGAGGCGGGCAGTTCACGAGGTCAGGAGATCGAGACCATCCTGGCTAACACGGTGAAACCCCTTCTCTACTAAAAATACAAAAAAAAATTAGCGGGGCGTGGTGGTGTGCGCCTGTAGTCCCAGCTACTTGGGAGGCTGAGTTAGGAGAATGGCATGAACCCGGGAGGCGGAGCTTGCAGTTAGCCGAGATCACGCCACTGCACTCCAGCCTGGGTGACAGAGCGAGAGAGCGAGACTCTGTCTCAAAAAAAAAAAAAAAAATATATATATATATATATATATAGTTTATCCCAACATATAGCACTTTATTCAACATGTAGTCAACATAAAAATTATTAAGGCCAGGGGAGGTGGCTCATGCCTATAATCCCCGCACTTTGGGAGGCCAAGATGGGAAGACGGCTTGAGACCAGGAGTTCAAGTCTGAAGTGAGCTATGATTGTGCCACTGCACTCCAGCTGGGGTGACAGAGCAAGACCCTGTCTCTTAAAAAAGAAACAAAACTCAATGAAACATTCTGCTTGTTTTTCATACTATGTCTTCAAAATCTGGTGTGTATAACAGTTGGGGAAATAGATTGACATGCCCAAGTTGTTCCAAACATATTTAAAAGTTTTCTGGTTGAGCGCAGCGGCTCATGCCTATAATCCCAGCACTTTGGGAGGCTGAGGCGGGCAGATCACTTGAGGTCTGGAGTTGGATACCAGTCTGGCTAACATGGCGAAACCCCGTCTCTACTAAAAATACAAAAATTAGCTGGGCATGGTGGCGGGAACCTGTAATCCCAGGTTCTCAGGAGGCTGAAGCAGGAGAATTGCTTGAACCCAGGAGGGTGGAGGTTGCGGTGAGCCGAGATCACACCACTGCACTCCAGCCTGGACGACAGACCAAGACTCGTCTCAAAAAAATAATAATAAAATAAAAATTTTAAAAAAGATCCATAGGAAAGTATAGATCTTGGAAAAGAGAAAGAGCTATAAGATCTGTAGAAAGGGCAGAGTACCTCAGGAAAGGGTGGCTGTCACATTGAGATTCAGGTCAGGGGTTGAGGCGTGGCTGGTTTCAAAGGTGACAGAGGCTTCAGGCTTCAAGGATTTGGGGCTCTATCCTGCAAGCAACAGTGAGCCAAGGAAGGGTTTTGAACAGGGAAAGGACAGTACATGAACAGAGCTGGGAACCAAGGCTGAGAGGTAGGCAGCAGAGCAAGACCTTGAACCCAGGTCTTGCTGGCTCCAAAGCCTGTCCATGACCTTAGACTGCAGCCATTAACAATGAGGGTATGGGGCCAGGTGTGGTGTCTCATGCCTGTAATCCCAGCACTTTGGGAGGCTGAGGCAGGAGGAACACCTGAGGTCAGGAGTTTGGGACCAGCCTGGCTGATGTGGTGAAATGTCGTCTCTACTAAAAATACAAAAATTAGCCAGGCATGGTGGCGGGTCCCTGTGATCCCAGCTATTCGGGAGGCTGAGGCAGGAGAATTGCTTGAACCTGGGAGGCAGAGGTTGCAGTGAGCCAAGATCACGCTACTGCACTCCAGCCTGGGCGACAGAGCGAGACTCCGTCTCAAAAAAAATAAAACAATGAAGGAAAGGTAGGCATACACCATACTGTCTGCCAGCTACCGCAGTCAGCACCCACTCCTACCTAATCCCCAGGAAAGCCTGAGAGGAGGCTGCTATCAACAACCCCCCAATACAGATGACAAAATCAAGGCCTGGAGAAATTAGGTCCTTGACCTGAGATCATCGAGGGTCATTCTGTGCTAGACACTGCTCCTAACACGTTGCATACATTTCTCTTTCAGTCTAAACAAGCACCCTTTAAGGTAGGGACTGTTAAGATCTCCATTATGTTTCATGTTTTTTTTGTTTGTTTTTTGAGACGGAGTCTCGCTGTGTCACCCAGGCTGGAATGCAGTGGTGCGATCTCGGCTCACTGCAACCTCTGCCTCCCAGGTTCAGGCGATTCTCCTGCCTCAGCCTCCTGAGTAGCTGGGACCGCAGGCGTGTGCTAATTTTTGTATTTTTAGTAGAGATGGGGTTTCATCGTGTTGGCCAGGCTGGTCTCGAACTCCTGACCTCAAATGATCCATCTTCCTTGGCCTCCCAAAGTGCTGAGATTGCAGGCATGAGCCACCACGCCCCAATCATGTATATTTTGAGGCTATTAAAAAAAATCTGCATTATTCAAAAGAGGAAACAGCGACCCATTGGAGGTGGCAGAGGTATAGCAGCAGCTAGCATTTATTGTGCACCAACTGAATGCCAAATATTGTCCTGTGGGCTTTGGATGGTTTAATTCACTAACCATCATGGCAGTCCTCTGAGATAGGTGCTCTTCTGCTCTTCTTCCTATAGATGGGGAAACTGAGGCACAGAGGGGGGAAGTCACCTGCCCAGGGTTGCTCAGCTAGTGAGCCAAGGAGCCTGGATTCAAACCAGCATCCAGCTTTCTCTGGAATACCATGGAGGGTGGTGTGGTGGGGATGCTGGGGTGGGTGCGGCTCCATCACCTGGTGGAGCCTCCATCCCTTGCCCTCTGCAGGTGAAGCTGTGTGACTTTGGCTTTGCTCGCATCATCGGCGAGAAGTCGTTCCGCCGCTCAGTGGTGGGCACGCCGGCCTACCTGGCACCCGAGGTGCTGCTCAACCAGGGCTACAACCGCTCGCTGGACATGTGGTCAGTGGGCGTGATCATGTACGTCAGCCTCAGCGGCACCTTCCCTTTCAACGAGGATGAGGACATCAATGACCAGATCCAGAACGCCGCCTTCATGTACCCGGCCAGCCCCTGGAGCCACATCTCAGCTGGAGGTGCCTGGGGCCCGCCTACCCCATGGGCGGGTGGGTTGTGGGGTGGGGCTGGAGAAGTGGGCGGAGCCATGAGAGGGGGGTGGACCCGGAAACAGCCTGGCACCTTGGGGGTGGAGCCCAGTGCTGGGGCGGGCCTACTGGAGGGATGTGGCTACAGGAGGAGCCGTCCTGTAAAAGATGGGCTGGGACTCAGGCCTAGACTAGGTTACTTGGGCTGGAAACCAAGTGCCCCAGAAGCGCTGAGGACACTTGGAACCTTAGGGGGGCTGAGTGAGACTTGGCTTGTCTAGGGTGGGACCAGGAAAGGGACTGGACTTGAGGGTACCAAAGGGCTGCGGTGACCAGGAGAAGGGGCTGAGCCTCCCAAGGCATTGGCTGGGACCTGGAGCCTTTGGGTTTACGACCCCAAAAGGGTCAGCCTTGCAAAAAGGAGGCACCGGTGGGTAGGGTTGAGAAACAAGGGCATGGCTACTTTGCTGTGTACTGGGGCCGTGACTTGGGTGAAGATGGGCCTGAAGCCTGGGGTCGGTTCAGTGACCAAGGGAGCCAGTCTAGGGACGTGGCCGTGGAGGGTTTCCGAAGAGGTCCAGGAACAGGGCTGACCCTGAGTCCTGGAAGCTGGGAGTGGATGGGAGTGGGGAGGAGAAGGGAGCCAGGACTGAGGCAGACATTGCACTCTGCATTCTGGGGCTTTGGTGTTGTGGCTGGGCCTGATGAAGTGGCACCGGGCCTGGTGACTTGAACCTACTTGGGAATGGGTCTGTAACTTTCCCTGCTTGGAAAAGTTAAGTCCTAAGGCCTGGAGCTTTGAGGCTGGGTGTGGGATGGCATGTTTAGAGGGCCAGAGGCAGGGCTAAGATACTGGGGTGTGTCAGAAGCCAGGAGAACAAGGGACCTGTGTTGGAGCCAGGGAGCTCAGGAAGACAGATGGAGTATGGGAAGGGGGGGGATCATTCATTCATTTATTTATAACCATTTATTCAACAAGTACATTCATGTATTTGTAACCATTGATTCAACATGTTGAGTGCCCACGATGTGCCAGGCATTGACTGTTCCAGCTCTGGGAATACTGTGATGACTTGGACAGAAGGGGTCAGGTGCAGGGTAGCTCATTGAGTGGTCCGCGAAGGGTGGAAAGGGGAAGGGTCCTCTCTGGAGGGTGCGGCTTCATGGAGCAGGTGGAGCAGGGTGACACGGAGGTTGCTCGGTGCAGGACAAGACAAGGTCTTGGTGGTGGTCTAAGAGCATGGGCCCTAAGCAGTGAGAATGTGGATTGACTTGAGTCCTGGAGTAATATTGGGGGTGCTCAACACTGGCTTTTTTTTTTTTTTTGAGGTGGGGTCTCGCTCTTTCACCCACGCTGGAGTGCAGTGGCGTGATCTCGGCTCACTGCAACCTCCACCTCTTGGGTTCAAGGGATTCTCCTGCCTCAGCCTCCCGAGTAACTGGGATTACAGGCACACAGCACCATGCCTGGCTCATGTTTTATATTTTTAGTAGAGACAGGGTTTCGCCATGTTAGCCAGGCTGGTCTTGAACTCCTGACCTCAAGTTATTTGCCCGCTTCAGCCTCCCAAAGTGCTGGGATTGCAGGCATAAGCCATCACACCCCGCCAGCATTGTCTTTTGAGACCCACTCAGAAGTCCCTCAGTAAAAGTGCATCGAGTGTGCACAAGTGAATTTAAGTGTGGTTGCACCTGTGTGAGGATCACAGAATCCTGTGGGTGTTGACGGGAGCAGGGTGCCTGTGTGCACCAGGCCTCTCCTCGGATGGGTTCATACAGTGAAGCCTTGTCCTTCATGGCTTCCCATCAAGGAGAGAGCCTCGGATGAGTGCTGGCTTGTCTTGAAGCTTGACATTCGCTAGTCCTCTTTTTCACAATGAACAGGCCTATCTCTGAGCCTTCTGCAGGCAATGGTGACTAACTACCATCTGATGACATTTTGTTTTGTTTTGTTTTGTTTTGAGACGGAGTTTCGCTTTTGTCACCCGGGCTGGAGTGCAGTGGCACGATCTTGGCTCACTGCAACCTCTGCCTCCTGAGTTCAAGCGATTCTGCCTCAGCCTCCTGAGTAGCTGGGACTACAGGCATGCGCTACCATGCCCAGCTAATTTTTTGTATTTTTAGTAGAGACGGGGTTTCCGTGTTGGCCAGGCTTGTCTCGAACTCCTGACCTCGGGTGATCCACCCGCCTCGGCCTCCCAAAGTGTTGGGATTACAGGCATGAGCCACCGCGCCCAGCCTGATGACATAGATGCTCCCTGATTTGCACTGGGGTTAGATAAACCTGATAAACCCATTGCCCATTGTAAATTGAAAATATCATAAGTTGGTCAGGCGCAGTGGCTGAAGCCCATAATCCCAGCACCTTGGGAGGCCAAGGTAGGCAGATTGCTTGAGCCCAGGAGTTCAAGACCAGCCTGGGCAATGTATCTCTACAAAAAATACAAAAATTAGCCGGCCATAGTGACAGGTGCTTGTAGTCCCAGCTGGCTGCTCAGGAGGCTAAGGCAGGAGAATCAATTAAGCTGGGGAGGTGGAGGCTTCAGTGAGCATTGATCACGCCACTGCACTTCAGCTTGGGTAACAATGAGACCCTGTCTCAAAAAAAAAAAAGGAAGTATTGTAGGTTGAAAATCCATTTAGGCCGGGCGCAGTGGCTCATGCCTGTAATCCCAACAATTTGGGAGGCCAAGGCAGGCGGATTGCTTGAGGTCAGGAGTTAGAGACCAGCCTGGCCAATATGGTGAAACCCCATCTCTACTAAAAATACAAAAAGTTAGCAGGACATGGTGACACACACCTGTATTCCTAGCTACTTGGGAGGCTGAGGCAGGAGAATCACATGAACCCGGGAGGCGGAGGTTGCAGTGAGCCAAGATCGTGCCATTGCACTCCAGCCTGGGCGACAGAGCGAGACTCTGTCTCAATAAATAAATAAGTAAAAATAAAAAGAATAGTACAGGTGTAATTGTATGTACCTGTATATGACAAAAAGAAAAAAAAAGGTGACATAGGGGAATGGGGAAATTGAAGTAGAGAACAGGTGAAGAGAGGGAGCTGGTGTGAACATGCATGGGCAGGAGGAGACAAATTTGTAATGTAATGAGGAAATGGGTGGGTGAGTGATTGGCACAGGTGAGGCTTCTGAGCCACCTGAGCTGGTGCAGAAGGAAGGTGTTGATGGCAGGCAGGTAGGCTAGGGGGTGCCTATTGGAGGAGGAGTGACCCTTGACCTGTAGGGCTTGACCTGTTTCTCTTTCCTGTGCAGCCATTGACCTCATCAACAACCTGCTGCAGGTGAAGATGCGCAAACGCTACAGCGTGGACAAATCTCTCAGCCACCCCTGGTTACAGGTGATGCAGGGGGCAGGGCTGGCCCATTGGCTGGATTGGAGGAAGGGGTGGGAGTAGATCGCTTATTGGCTAGGCAGGTTGTGAAGGATGTAGGTTTCCTTGGGTCTGGAATGTGGCTAGGCCTCCCATTGGCTGGGTGCAGGAAGAGGGGGTGGAGCTAAATGTCTACTGGCTGGGTGGGTTGCAGAGGGTATGGCTTCACCTTCATTGGTACCCAGCTCTCAGTGGCAAACCAGAGGATATCCAGGCACTGCTCCAATGCAGACCCCAAGCTAACCCCAGTTCTCTCGGGCCCAGGAGTACCAGACGTGGCTGGACCTCCGAGAGCTGGAGGGGAAGATGGGAGAGCGATACATCACGCATGAGAGTGACGACGCGCGCTGGGAGCAGTTTGCAGCAGAGCATCCGCTGCCTGGGTCTGGGCTGCCCACGGACAGGGATCTCGGTGGGGCCTGTCCACCACAGGACCACGACATGCAGGGGCTGGCGGAGCGCATCAGTGTTCTCTGAGGTCCTGTGCCCTCGTCCAGCTGCTGCCCTCCACAGCGGTTCTTCACAGGATCCCAGCAATGAACTGTTCTAGGGAAAGTGGCTTCCTGCCCAAACTGGATGGGACACGTGGGGAGTGGGGTGGGGGGAGCTATTTCCAAGGCCCCTCCCTGTTTCCCCAGCAATTAAAACGGACTCATCTCTGGCCCCATGGCCTTGATCTCAGCACACGGCACTCTCGAATCATTACTCTGTTGTACCAACATGGAGTTCATCTGGAAGGAGGACTGCCTGAAAAGAGGAAGGATGGAAGGGGTGGGGAGAGAGGACTGATGGGAGAGGAGTCTTGGAAGGAGGACGAGCTGGGGTAGAAAATATACAGGAAGAGTGCCAGGAGAGAAGATGAGAAGGGAGAGGGAGGAGTAATGGAGGAGGAGTTGGAAACTGGGGAGAGATGGAAGGAATGTGACTGGAGGGTAGAGAACTTGGAGAAAAAGTAATCTCATGGTTTGTGATGACTGATTTTTTATTTGGTGGTGGTGTTACTACTAATCACAACTATTAATTCAGGCTGGGTGTGGTGGCTCATGCCTATAATCCCAGCAATTTGGGAGGCCGAGGCAGGCAGATCCCTTAGATCTCAGGAGTTTGAGAGCAGCCTGGCCAACGTGGTGAAACTCCCTTTCTACAAAAAGTTCAAAAATTAGCCAAGTGTGGTGGCTTGCACCTGTGGTCCCAGCTACTTGGAGGTTGAGGCTAGAGGATCGCTTGAGCCCAGGAAGCAGAGATTGCAGTGAGCCAAGATCACACACCACTGCACTCTAGCCTGGGCAAGAGAGTGAGACCCTGTCTCAAAAGTCAAATAATAAAATGCAGTTAGCCCAAGTCTGATCCATACTAGAAAACTGATACGTAACATTCAGTATTTTATTTTATGTTGATGTGATGACTTCTCTATCTATGAAATAGAGAAGTATATATTCACTCATTCCTTTGTGTCACTGAGCTGGGTGATGCTGGGGACACAGTGGTGACTGAGACAGCCAAGGACTGCCCTGCCAGTAGAGAGACATACCTGCCCCTGGACAGTGATGACCCAGAACGGGAAGGGCTGGACTGGGGGAGTTTGGGAGGCTTGGGCAGCCTAGAATGAGCTCAGGGGTCAGAGAGAGTGGGGAATCAGAGGTGACCTCTTAGGCTTCATCTTGGCCTTGAAAGACTGAAGGCAGAGGGAATGAACTGGAGGGAACACGTATCCACCTCTCTCTACCTTTGACTCCAGCCCTCCACCTCCCCAGTTCTCCAGTAACACCCTAACACATGGTCCTCCACCTTCCACAGCTGAAGGTGAACGATCCGAGCATGGACCTGAACAAGTTTTCTTCAGACTTTCAGAACGCTCTGACTTACGTGCTGCAAAGACCTATCTGAAAGCTGGGCATGGTGGCGGGTGACTGTATTCCCAGCTACTTAAGCGGCTGAGGTGGGAGGATCGCTGGAGTCCAGGAGTTCGAGTCCAGTTTGGGCAACACAGCCTTAAAAAACCCAGGAAAACAGGAAAGAATTTAGTAGCCAATTTAGGCTAATACTGGGAGCTTACTCTGGGATTTTCCAATTTGATTTGTATCACCTTGTCCATCTGATGGTTCCAGAGCTGCAGCTTTTTTTTTTTTTCCTGAGGCAGGGTCTCTGTTTCCCAGGCTGGAGTGCAGTGGCATGAACACAGCTCACTGCAGCCTTGACCTTCTGGGCTCAAGTGATCCTCCCACCTCAGCCTCCTGAGTAGCTAGAACTACAGGCACATGCCACCATGCCCAGCTAATTTTTTGGATTTTTTGCAGAGGTTTTACCATGTTGCCCAGGCTGGTCTCAAACTCCTGGGCTCAAGCGATCTGCCTGCCTAGGCCTCCCAAAGTGCTGGGATTACATGCATGAGCCACTGCGCCTGGCCAAAATGCAGCTCTTTGATTTGAAAATGCTAAACGAGCCTCAGTAAATGAAGGTATCCAAAGGAGCAGTATACCTCTGAGGCATAGTTGCTAAGACTATTGGGGAAAGGCTCTTAGACTCCATCCCCAGTGCCTATCCCTCTGTTTAGTCTAAGGTCCAGAAGTGTAGGCAACATAGAGATGAATCCATCTCCCGTGACAGACCCAGGCTAGAAAATGTATGGAAAAGACTATCACCCCTGATCTGCTTCTGTCTTGGCCACTAGTTAATATCCAGAGACCAGAAATGAGAGACGTGATTCAAAAACATTCCTCAATTATAGAATTCCAGGAGATAGTGTATATCATGAGGATGCCATGAAAGATAAAATCAAGGCCGGGCGCAGTGGCTCACGCCTGTAATCTCAGCACTTTGAGTGCTGAGGTGGGTGGATCATCTGAGGTCAGGAGTTTGAGACCAGCCTGATCAACATGGAGAAACCCCGTCTCTACTAAAAATACAAAATTAGCCGGGCATGGTGGCACATGCCTGTAATCCCAGCTACTCGGGAGGTTGAGGCAGGAGAATCGCTTGAATCTGGGAGGCGGAGGTTGCGGTGAGCTGAGATCGTGCCACTGCACTCCAGCCTGGGCAACAAGAGCGAAACTCTGTCTCAAAAAAAAAAAAAAAAATCAAATCCATACAATGAAAACTTAGGGCCCTATAACTTAAATCATTAGAGACAAAAAGTTTATCCTATCAGGACCACTGGAATCACAAAACCTAATTTTGTTTGTTAGAGACAGGGTCTTGCTCTATCACCCAGGCTTCTGTGCAGTGGTATGATCGTAGCTCACTGCAGCCTCAAACTACAGGGTTCAAGCCATCCTCCCCCTCAGCCTCTTGAGTAGCTGGGACTACAGGCATGAGCCACCACACCTCGCTAATTTTTTGTTTTTTATGTAGTTTTTAATTTTTTTATTATTTTATTATTTTTTGAGATGGAATCTTGCTCTGTTGCCCAGGCCAAAGTGCAGTGGCATGATCACAGCTCACTGCAGCCTCAACCTCCTGGGCTCAAGTGATCTTCCCACCTCAGCCTCCCAAGTAGCTAAGACTACAGGCACATGCCACCACGCCCAGCTAATTTTTGTATTTTTAGTAGAGAAGGGGTTTTGCCATGTTGGCCAGGCTGGTCTCGAACTCCTGACCTCAAGTGATCTGCCCACCTCGGCCTCCCAAAGTGCTGGGATTACAGGCATGAACCACCGTGCCCGGGCATGTTTTTTATTTGTTATAGAGATGGGGTCTCACTATGTTGCCGAGGCTGGTCTTGAACTCCTGGGGTTGAACGATCCTCCACCTCTCAAAAGTGCTGGGATTACAGGTGTGGGCCACTGCACTCAACCTCAAAACCTAATGTTGATAGAGACACTTGTATATACTGTAAAGAAAAGGGACATTGGACTTGACACTATTTAGCTTTGAAATGCAAAAGGAATTTGAGTCTAAGATTCAGTCTCCCAGTGACTCACTTCCAGCCAACTTTCTCCTCTGTGTCTATAAGGATTCCTTAACCTTCAGGGGGAAATGACCATCAATCCCCTTAATGAGCATCCTGCCAGGGTTTTTGTAGACACAGGGGCCACATGCTTTGCCATAAATATCTCAGTCCCCCCTCCCTACCTCAGTACACAGCAATAATGGTGATGAGACCACAATTAGCCACATGGTTTATGCCTGTCTAAGCCACTCTTGGGCTCATTGGGCTCTCTACTACCCAGCACAGTTTCTTATTCAAATTACTCCAATAATCCCTTTAGAAAGGGATGTTCTATCAACGTAGAACAATAATATTTCTTTTTTGTTTGTTTGTTTTTGAGATGGAGTCTCGCTCTGTCACCCAGGCTGGAGTGCAGTGATGCGATCTCACCTCACTGCAACTTCTACCTCCCAGGTTCAAGCGATTCTCCTGCTTCATCCTCCCAAGCAACTGGGATCACAGGTGCACACCATCACAACCGGCTAATTTTTGTATTTTTAGTAGAGGCAGGGTTTCACCATGTTGGACAGGCTGGTCTCAAACTCCTGACCTCAAGTGATCCACCTGCCTTGGCCTCCCAAAGTGTTGGGATTACAGGTGTGAGCCACCGTGCCCAGCCAAAGCCATAATATTTCATATTCACAAGAGGGCTTATGTCTCCCAGTCCCTAATTCTGCCCTTGTTCATCTCAGTCCACTAACTTTCCCACCACTCCAACCACCCCCTTCCCAAAACATCCACCTCTCCCTCAGACCTACATATCCAAGATCTGTGACTTGCATTCCTGATTCTCTTTGAGCCCCCAACTCAACAAATGTAGGGTGCCTCTGGGAGGCTGAACCTCTTAAGGTAGAAGTAGATCCTTTCTTTTTAGAATTAAAAAAAATTTTGTTTAAATAGAGACAAGGTCTTGCTATGTCGCCCAGGCTGGTCTCAAAGTCCTGGCCTCAAGCAGTCCTCCCACCTCGGTCTCCCAAAGTGTTGAGATTACAGGTGTGAGCCACTGCACCTGGCTCCCTTTTTTTTTTTTTAACCAATTACCCCAAGTTGTGGAATAGAATTAGATCTTTTCATGCCCTTCTTGAAGCTGCCTTAATGTGCTCTGACACCAGAGGCACACTAGGGCCCCCAACCCATTATTCAGAGCCTCCTACTATCCACTTCCATCCCCTACAACACTCCTGTCTGCCAAGAATCCTAATGATAACACCTGTAATTTGGGAGGCCGAGGCGGGTAGATCACCTGAGATCAGGAGTTGTAGACCGGCCTGGCCAACATGGTGAAACCCCGTCTCTACTAAAAACAAATTAAAAAATTAGCCGGGCATGGCGGCAGGTACCTGTAATCCCAGCTACTCAGGAGGCTAAGGTAGAAGAATTGCTTGAACCCGAGAGGCAGAAGTTGCAGTGAGCCGAGATCGCGCCATTGCACTCCAGCCTGGGTGACAGAGTGAGACTCTGTCTCAAAAAAAAAAAAAACAAAATCCCAATAACAGTCTCGATAAAGGATACCAGCAAGTCCAAGACCTCAAGGCTGTAAACAAAATAGTCACACTGTGGTTCCTGCTATTTCCAATCCAAACATTATACTGGCCTCTATTCTAGACCGGCCAACACCACCCACTCGACTGTACTCACATGCCCTCTGCCTTCTTTCACACACCTGATGATCCACAGCCCCATTTCCCTTTCCCCTTGAAAGTCAACAGTAAACATACATACACTGCTATGCCTCAGTGGTTCGTTGAAACCCCTACTTACTTTTTTTTCCGATCCTGAATGCTAATTTGAGGGATTTGGTTTTCTCCTGTAATTCCATTCTAATCCCATACATAGATGATGTCCTGTCTGGTCAGTTCATTCCAGCAGCTCACTCACTCACACTCCACACGTGCCCCAAGTTTCTGCAATTATACAGGAAGTAGGAAAAACAAATAAAAATCGGCCCCAAGCCCTTGCTCATAAAGGACAGGCTCATGTCTGTAATCCCAGCACTTTGGGAGGCCAAGGTGGGAGGATCACTTGAGCCCAGGAGTTCGAGATTAGCCTGGGTAACATAGGGAGACCCCCATCTCTACAAAAATAAAAAATAAAAAAATTAGCTGAGTGTGGTGATGCATGCTTCTAGTCCCAGCTACTCAGGAGGCTGAGGTGGGAGGATTGCTTGAGCCTGACAGGTTGAGGCCGCAGTGAGCCGAGATTGCATCACAGCACTCCACCTGGGCAAAAGAGCAAGACCCTGTCTCAGAAAAAAAAAAGGGTGTCTAGGATAAATTATAACTATGTAATTCATAAGTACAAGATTTAGGGCATGACCTTGCCCTTGAAGGCAAAACCTTATCCACACAGCATGCATTTATACCATTATTATTTTTGTTTTATCCAAGACTAAAAGGCAACTCCAGTGGTTTCTGGGCTGGTCATTGGTTGAATTTTGTCTCCCTAGTACCTCAGGATATGACCCTACTTGGAAATAAGTTCATTGCAGATGTAATCAGTTAAAAGGAGGTCATACTGGAGTAGGGTGGGCCCCTAATGCAACATGACTGGTGTCTTTTTTTGTTGTTTTTTGAGATGGAGTTTCGCTCTTGTTGCCCAGGCTGGAGCGCAATGGCGCGATCTTGGCTCACCGCAAACCCTGCCTCCCGGGTTCAAGCGATTCTCCTGCCTCAGCCTCCCGAGTGGCTGGGTTACAGGCATGCACCACCATGCCCGGCTAATTTTGTATTTTTAGTAGAGACGGGGTTTTCTCCATGTTGGTCAGGCTGGTCTCAAACTCCCGACCTCAGGTGATCCGCTCGCCTCGGCCTCCTAAAGTGCTGGGATTACAGGTGTGAGCCACCGCGCCTGGCCGAGTGGTGTCTTTATGAGAAGGTGGCCGCGTAAGACACAGGGAGAAGCATGTGAGGATGAAGGCAGAGCTTGGAATGATGCAGCCACAAGCCAAATAATGTTAGAGATTGCCAAGAGCCACCAGAAGCTGGGAAGAGGCAAGGAAGGATTGCCTGGGGAATTGGAGCTCCCTAACATGCTTTTTTTTTTTTTTTTTTTTTTTTTGAGACAGGATCTTGCTCTCTCACTCAGGCTGGAGTGTAGTAGCACGATCATAGCTCACTGCAGCCTCAAACTCCCAGGCTCAAACAATCCTCTCGCTTCAGCCTCCCTACTAGCTGGAACTACAGGCATGCACCACTATACCTGGCTAAGTTTTTAAATTTTTTGGAGATAGGGTCTCACTATGTGGCCCAGGCTGGTTCCCAACTCCTGGCCTCAAGCGATCCTTGTGCCTTGGCCTCCCAAAGTGCTGGGATTTACAGGCATGAGCCACCAGGCCCGGACCCAGATTCTTTTTTTTTTTTTTTTGAGATGGAGTCTTGCTCTGTTGCCTAGGCTGGAGTGCAGTGGTGTGATCTCAGCTCACTGCAACCTCTGCCTCCTAGGTTCATGCTATTCTCCTGCCTCAGCATCCTGAGTAGCTGGGACTACAGGCACCCACCACCATGCCTGGCTAATTTTTTGTATTTTTAGTAGAGGCAGGGTTTCACCGTGTTAGCCAGGATGGTCTCGATCTCCTGACCTTGTGATCCACCCACCTGGGTCTCCCAAAGTGCTGGGATTACAGGCGTGAGCCACTGCGTCAGGCCCCCGGGCCCCAGATTCTTATTCTTTCTTGTCCTGACCTTGAAGAGCCTCCATGTGACAATCTCGTGTCACCCTCTTTGTGGATGGCCCTTCACCTTAAACACCCGGCAGGAAATTTCTAAGCAGTAGGCTCTCTTCTGACTTTCAACAAGCTCATAGTGTTTCCATGCCTCCCTGAACCCAAGTCAGCCCAAACAGCACACTCAGCGCCAGAGGGGGGATGAGGAAAAGGAAGATTTTAATTTTTTTTTGTAGAGACAAGGTTTCACTGTGTTGCCTAGGCTGGTCTTGAACTCTCGGGCTCAAACGATCCTCCCACCTCGGCTTCCCAAAGTGCTGGGATTACAGGCATGAGCCACTGTGCCTGACCCAGGAAAGATGTTGATCAAAGGTACAAAGTTTCAGCTAGACTGGAGGAATACATTTTAGCGGCCCATTGCACTGCACAGTGACCACAGTTAATAATTGAGACAGGGTCTTTTTCTCTCACCCAGGCTGGAGTGCAGTGGTGCAATCTCAGTTCACTGCAACCTCCGCCTCCTGGATTCAAGCGATTCTCCTGCTTCAGCCTCCTGAGTAGCTGGGATTACAGGTGCGTGCCACCATGCCCGGCTGATTTTTTGGATTTTAGTAGAGATGGGGTTTCACCATGTTGGCCAGGCTGGTCTTGAACTCCTGACCTCAAGTAATCTGCCCACCTTGGCCTCCCAAAGTGCTGGGATTACAGGTTTGAGCCACCGCGCCTGGCCGAGACTGGGTAATTTATAAAGGAAAGAGGTTTAATTGACTGACAGTTCCACATGGCTGGGGAGGCCTAAGGAAACTTACAGTCATGGCGGAAGGTGAAGAGGCCCATCTCGCATGGCAGTAGGCAAGACAGTGCGTGTGTGTAAATGCAGGAAAAACTACCATTTATAAAACCATCAGATCTCGTGAGAACTCCCTCACTGTCACAAGAACAGCCCCCATGAGCCAATCATTTCCCACCAGGTCTTTCCTTAAACACCTGAGGACTGCAGTTCAAAATGAGATTTGGGTGGGTCACAAAGCCTACCCATACCATATCAAGCAGGCTAATCCAGAGAACCAGTGGGTACTCCCATTTCACAGAAATCCTTTAGCCCTATTGCCTATGATCATCAGGACAAATTGAACATGCCGATTCAGTCTCGTCAAACTTAAACTTGCCAAACTAACTGAAGAATTGAACTTACCCTTGCCCACTGTTGTCCCTTGACTTCCCCATAACCACAAGCATTAGCTTATTTTCCTTTTTCTTTTCTTTTTCTTTCCTTTTTTTTTTTTTTTTTTTTTTTTTTGAGACAGAGTCTTGCTCTGTCGCCCAGGCTGGAGCACAGTGGTGCAATCATGGCTCACTGCAGCCTCAACCTCCTGGGCTCAAGTGATTCTTCCTCCCCAGCCTCCCCAGTAGCCAGGACTTCAGGCATGCACCACCACGCCCAGCTAATTAAAAAGTTTTTTGGGCCGGGTGCGGTGGCTCACACCTATAATTCCAGCACTTTGGGAGGCCAAGGCAGGCAGATCACTTGAGGTCAGAAGTTTGAGACCAGCGTGACCAACATGGTGAGATCCCGTCTCTACTAAAAATACAAAAATTAGCTGGGTGAGTTGGCTCATGCCTGTAATCCCAGCTACTCGGGAGGCTGAGGCAGGAGAATCACTGTAACCTGAGAGGCGGAGGTTGCAGTGAGCCGAGATCGTGCCACTGCACTCCAATCTGGGTGACAGAGCAAGATTCTGTCTTGAAAAAAAAAAAAAAAAAAGACAAGGAGAGAGGCACAGGGATGTGTGCACACATACTGGAAACCATGTGTGGACACAGTGAGAAGGTGACCATCTGCAAGCCAAGGAGAGAGGCCTCGGAGGAAACCAGCCCTGCCGACGCCTTGATCTTGGACTTCTTGGCCTCTAGAATGGTGAGAAAATAAATTTCTGTCGTTTAAACTATGTCTGTAGTGTTTCGTTATGGCCACCTTAGCAAATGAATACACTGCTAGAATAAATCACCATGAATGTGGTGGCTTAAAACAACACAGATTTATTTTATTTTATTTTTTGAGACAGGGTCTTTCCCTGTCGCCCCAGGCTGGAATGCACTGGCACAATCACAGCTCACTGCAGCATCAGACTGGTGGCCTCAAGCGATCCTCCTCCTAGATAACTGGGACCACAGATGTGCGCCATCATGCCTGGCTAATTTTTTGATTTTTTTTTTTTTTTTTTGTAGAAACGTGTTGCCCAGGCTGGTCTCAAAGTCCTGGCCTCAAGCGATCCTCCCCCACTCGGCCTCCCAAAGCTTTGGGATTACAGGTGTGAGCCACTGTGCCTGGCCCGGCCTCTGCTTCTATATTTACATATTTCTCTGACTCTAACGTTCTTGCCTCCATCTTATAAGGAAACTTGTGATGATACTGGGTCCACCAGGATAATCCAAGATAAATCTCCCTATCTCAAGATTCTTAATCACAAAAAGTTCCTTTTTCCATAAAAGGTGCTATATTCACAGGTTCCAGGGATAAAGATGTAGACATCTTAGGGGGGGGCCATTACTCTTCCTACCAGAGCACATATCAATAATCTTCTTATGAAATAATCACTCAAAGACTCACAAGGATTCTACTCCTATTGGGCCCTTGAGGACTCTAATCTATTACAATCGACATTCTCAGATATTATCAAGGACTAAGTACACTTATGCTTGTCACTAACAAGTGTGAGCTGCCTTCCCTCCAAATACTCCATCACGGCCTCTTCATAATTTCCAAACAGGGAATTTAGTCCTCCGGAAAAGACATCGCAGGAAGACTAACCTTGAACTCAGATGGGATGGACCCTACACTATTGCAAACACCAGACTGTCCTGCCTTGGGTTCATATCTCAGAGATGAAGAGATATAAGACCTGTGCTGAATGGGAATCCACTCCCGTTGGAGACCTCAGAGGGAGGCTCTTTCAAGAGCCCTGGAAGCAGACGAGGCTGCAATTGTAGACAGCTCTCCCAAGAACCTTGGGTTAAGCAGACAACATCATGAGACAGCCTGCTCCTGGAATCAGAAACTCCAGGATTCCCTCCCACACACGCTATTTTAGAGACAGGGTCTCACCATGTTGCCCAGGTTGGCCTTGAACTCCTGAGCTCACACAATCCTCCTGCTTCTGTCTTCTGGGTAGCTGGTACTACAGGTGCATGTCACAGAGCCTGGCTAGGATTCCCCATTTTAATACCCACTCTGGTCCTCCCGTGCCTGCTTCTCATCATATGACTTTTGCCTTTCATTTGCATTCTCTCTCTCTTTATTTATTTATTTATTTAGAGACAGAGCCTCCCTCTGTTGCCCAGGTTGGAGTGCAGTGGCGTGATCTCGGCTCAGTGCAACCTCCACCTCCCAGGTTCAAACGATTCTCCTGCCTCAGCCTCCCAAGTAGCTGGGATTACAGGCGTGCACCACCACACCCAGCTAATTTTTATATTTTTAGTAGAGACGGGGTTTCGCCATGTTGGCCAGGCTGGTCTTGAACTCCTGACCTCAAATGATCTGCCTGCCTCTGCGTCCCAAAGTGCTGGGATTACAGGCATGAGCCACCCCACCCGGCCTCATTTGCATTCTCTTTGACTGATCTTTGATTACATGCTTCTCAGATCACAATTCTCCAGCTGTAACTTCTGTCTCTTCCCAAATGACACATCTCCCCTCCCTATTCTACCTTCCAGCCTGCAAGATCCACAATGCCCCTGGCTTACTTTTGCAAAAGTGTTTACTCAGTCTTACAACTGCAATTAGGATTGTCAGTTTTGTTCCCCTTTCTCAGCACAAATCACTACTCCCAGGGCCCCATCCCCTTCACTCGCACCACCAAAGCCTTTGGATGGAGCACTGTGCCCTACACGCCTTCCTCAAAGGCCTCTCCCAACGCACCACTCGATTTTTATGGGAACCTCTTCCCATCCCTACCATCTATAAATCAAGGTCTATGAGCTTCTGCAACTTCATTAACAGCCCCTGCATGGGACTCAGTCTCTGTAATCACAATTTTTTTTTTTTTTTTTAAAGATTGGGTCTTGCTCTGTCACCCAGGCTGGAGTGCAATGGTGCAATCATGGCTCACTGTAGCCTCAGCCTCCCAGGCTCAAGTGATCCTCCTGCCTCAGCCTCCTGAGTAGCTCGCACTACAGGTACATGCCACCATATCCAGTTTGTGTGCCATGTTTGGAAGCAACTGTTGCTTGTTGATTCTCCAGACATCTATCTTTCTTTCTCTCTCTCTTTCTTTTTCTTTCTTTCTTTCTCTCTCTCTCTCTCTCAATTTCTTTCTTTCTTTCTTTTTTTGAGACGGAGTCTCCCTCTGTTACCCAGGCTGGAGTGCAGTGCCACAGTCTCGGTGTGTGCCATCATGCCCAGCTAATTTTTGTATTTTTAGTACAGATGGGGTTTCGCCATGTTGGCCAGGCTGATCTGAACTCCTGAACTCAGGTGATCTGCCCGCCTCAGCCTCCCAAAGTACTGGGATTACAGACGTGAGCCACTGCGCCTGGCTGATTCTCCAGAAATCTTTTGGCATCATCATTAATAAAAGCATCAAGAAGTCAAAAAGGAAATCAAGTGATCCTCCCGCCTCAGCCTCCCAAGTAGCTGGGGCTACAGGTGTGCACCACCACACCCGACTAATTTTCTAAGTCTATTTTGAACAAGAGGAAGACTGAATAAAGGTTGTCTCTAATAAATTTCAAGACATTTCCCCCCGGAAACTTACTAGATTAGTTTTTAAACTTATTTGTCAAACCCTTCTGTGGCTCTTAATCCATGGAAGACACTGCTCCAAGTACCTAATACATTTCATTGAATCCTCAGAACAACTGTATGAGGCAGCCAGTATTATGATCCCGTGATCAGATGAAGAAACGGTGGCACAGAGAGGTTAAGTAAGTTTTCCAAGGTCACACAGCTGGAAAGTGACAGATCTGTGACTCACCCCGAGGAAGTCTGGCTCCTGGAGACTTTGCTGTCTATCGCCACTATCAATTTCTCTCCATCTCACCACCAGAAGGTCACTTCGTGCACGGGGAATCATAAAAGAGGGAATTTCTTGTATGATCTTCTGGGCCTTGGCTTTTAGGGAGCCAAGGTCTGTCTGAGAGATGAGTATGAATATTAGAGCTAGGTCTTGGAAGTTGGTAGAGGCAGGCTCGGCGTAGTGATACAGATTGGCCGCCTGAGGGTGCCCCAGCCCTGCTTGCGGAGCCTGGAGAGACAGCAGGAAGCCTTGGAAACGAATGTCAGGCTCAGACTCCTAGGACCAGAGAACGTTGAGAATAGAGCATCATAGAAGGCTGAGAACAAAGCCCCTTAGAACGTAGAACAAAGGCCCCTGGAATGGAAGAATGATGAGCACACATCCTCCTAGCACCTGGGAGACAAAAGCTGCTTAGACTCTCTTCTGGTCAAAGCATAGAATCTTCCACCCAGGGTCTTATAATTCCAGAATTTGGAATGCAATCGATCTTAGACTCTTAGCAGCAAGACCGGCTACATATTTGGCCTAGTGCAAAGTGAAAATAAGGGGCCCCTTGCTCAAAAACTAAAAATTTCAAGACAGAAATTGCAGAACATTCAACCAAGCGCGAAGACCCTTCTAAGTGGATTCCAAGCCGGTGAAGCCGGCCCTAAGTAGAAACAATTTCATCGGAGGACGTCCGTCTGGTTTTACAGCTGAGTGTCTGGGAAGGCTTCTTGGAAGAGGAGGCGAAGTCAGGGCTCGACCCCCTAACCCTTTTCTCCCCCTGCGCAGCCTCAGAAGCTGAAGGTTGGGCGGGGTGGAGGGGTAGGAGCAGCTGCCAAACTGTCACGTGTACCCATTCCCTATTTATAGATCACCCTTCCCCTCGCGCCGGACAGTCCAATGGTAGCCAGCGCTCGCCCGCAAGAGGGTGGAACCTGCTGCAGGACCGGCCAGGCACAGACCAATGGCATTGAAGCAAGGGCGGGCTTGTTTCATTGTGACGCGTGGGGGGGCGTGGCCAGGGCCCCGAGGCAGTTGCACGGAGGGGGCGTGGCGAGCGGAGTGAGTAGGCAGTTGCGAGCATGCGTCGTGTTGGGCGGTGCGGTTGCACGCCCGAGAGTCTTCGTCAGGAAGCTTATTCGCCAATAGGCGGCTGTTGCTCGGTCGCCGGGGGCGTGGCCATGCAGATAAGGCGCGGGTGGGCGGCCCAATGGGCGGGCGCCTATGCAGATGAGACGGTGACAGCCCGGCCAGCGGGCGGGCGGGCAGGCTGCTGGGGCGGGGAGGTGGGACCGGGAGAGGGGTGGCCGCGGGGCCCGGCCGGGCTGGGGCGGGGGGCCGCAGCCATGATCCGGGCCTTCTCGTTCCCGGTGAGCCCTGAGCGGGGCCGGCTGCGGGGCTGGCTGGAGGGTAGCCTGGCCGGGCTCTGCGAGTTACATTGGCTCCGGGAGAGGCAGGAGTACCGCGTGCAGCAGGCGCTGCGGCTGGCCCAGCCCGGAATGGGGGGCGCCGAGGCCGAGGACGAGGAGGACGCCGATGAGGATGAAGATGCGGCGGCGGCGCGCCGGGCCGCAGCGGCCCTGGAGGAGCAGCTGGTAAGGGGCTGCCTGTCCGTCCGTCCCTCCACCCCCGTCTGTGTCTGTCTGTCTCGGTTGGATGCTCAGACACCGGGCGGGGGTTGGGGACCCGGGTAGGCAGGGAGTGAGAAAGGACAGGGGGTGGGGCTGGCGACCCCGGAGTTCCGGCGGCGGGCCGGACCTGGCCTCCCCGCCCCCAAATCGGGGGAGGGGGAACTGCATCGCCCCCACTGGGGCCTCGTGAGAAACACAGGCCCTGTCTCTTACACCCCTTCCCCAAAGAAAATCCTTGTGGGCGCCAAGTATGTGTCAAACCCGAGACCGGGTACTTTGCAGGCGTTGTCTTCTTGCGGCTTGGGAAACGGGGTGATAGTCCCCATTTAACAGAGAAACAAATTGAGGCTCAGAGAGAGCAAGCGACTCACCCAAGGTGACACAGCCAGGCTCCAAACATGCCCTTCTCTGGGCCCCGCCACCAGGGCTCCATCTTCCCTAAGTCCTGGTGTGCTTGGAGATCTCTGGAGGGGGCGGGGTGGGAGGAGGGGAATCTCAGGGCCTCCAGAGGGAGGGACCACTGCTGAGAGGAAGCTCACAGTCCCTGAGGACCCCCCACTGGGATCTTGACCCTTTGGTGACACTTCCCCTGCTTCCTACCTGGCCCCAGCTCTCCTTGACCCAAGGGGAGGCAGGTCGAGGCAGCGCCTGGGGGAGACTTCTGGACTCTGGGTGTTCTCATGGTGGAAGATGGGCAGAGGTCTCCGGAATGACTTGAGGACGCCCCATGCCTCTCCCCTTTCTATGTCATTCCTTGAGTCTCCCGATCTCGTCCTGGGTTCTGTCACTCTCTCCGTCCTGCCACATCCCTGTGACTTTCTGTGTCTGCTTCTCTTTCTTCATCCTGTCTCTCTGTCTCTGTGATCTCTGTGTCCCTCTGCATCTGTCTCCTTGGCCTTCCCTTCCTGCCTGTCTGCACCTCGCTCTCTTCTTCTTGCCCGACGTCCCAGGCTCAGTCTGTCTTCCCCTCCCCCCAGCCCGCACACCCTGGCTCCACGGCAGATCCCCATCCCCAAGCCTGTGTGTGGCCAGAGCTTCCCGTTTCGGGAAACCTGAGCCGAGGTGGCAGTGGAGGGGGCTCTCCCCGCCGCTGACCTCGACCGCCCCCTCCCCAGATGGGGAGTGGGGAGGAAGACTGAAGCCAGGCTCCCGGGGCTGCACGCCCGGCCCCTCCCCCTCTCAGGAGTGGGACCCCCCTGCACATTCTTTTCTGGAAACAGAAACAGCTGTGGGAGGCCCCACCCCCTCCCAAAGTTAGAGACGGATTGTGGGGGCCTTCGCTAGCTCCCCCCACCCCAAGCTGGCTCGGCTTGGAAGGCGCCTTCCATCCTGACAAGGAGAATGCGAGGCATGAGGTTGGGGTAGCTGTGGGTAGCTGTGTCCTCTCCCCCTCTGCCCTCGGTCTCTCCCCTTTTCACCCTTCACCTTCCCCATCTCTGCCCTTCAGTCTCCCTCTCCTCGGTCCCTCTGTCCCCTCCTCCCCCTCAGCCCTCTGTCCTCCCGGCACGAGCTGATAGTGGAGAGGCCTGTCCCCCCACCCCCCAGTCTCTAGGCAAAGCTTGTCCCAGCATCAGGGAGGAGGCGGTGGCAGGCGGGGGGAGGAGGAGGAGCAGAGAAGCGCTAAATATAAACTTCTCTAGTGCTGGGGGTTCCTGGGTCCCTCTGAAGAGTGGATTAGGGCTTCTTCTGATCCCCCAACCCTTGTCTTATGACTTATCCCCCCACCCCCAGCCCCTGCCAGGAATACACTTCCTTCAAGGCAAGAAAGACTGAAGCCAGACTTGATTACTTTCTAATAGGAATGATGGGGATACCAGGTAAAGATCAGGGGTGTGGCAGAGAAGAGAGGCAGGAATCCTGGGTGAGGGCAGGGGCTCCCTGGGTCCTGCTTGCTCTCAAGAAGGAAAAAGGTTCCTTTCATCAAGAATAACTTAAGTTAGACTTGCAGAATGACTTCCTAATAGAGATAAATGGGCACTGGATACCAACGAGGGGCACGTGAGGGGAGAAACAAGGTAAGGGAAGTTTGGGCAAAGGGGTCTCCAGGGGTCCTAACCACACTCTTATTAAGCCTGCAGAGGAAGGATGAGGGGCACCGTGAGGAGGCAGAGAGCCAGACTCAGGCCAAGGACTTTCTAATCTTTTAAAGATTCATCCTTTTGCAACTGGAAGGAATGAGGCCAGACTTGCAAATAGAGGGGTGTAGACTTGGAATATTTTTGGGGGGCGTCTAGGTGCTGGAGAGGAGGAGGCATCTCCTGTCTGTCTCCCTAATTTCTGCTCTTCCTTGTAATGGAAGAACCGGAATTAGACTTGGCAGAACTTACCAAAAAGTCTATCCTTTCACGTTTATTTATGTATTTTTAAATGATATATTTATTTATTCATTTATTTTTGGAGACAAAGTCTCTCAGGCTGAAGTGCAGTGGCACGATCATAGCTCACTGCAGCCTCTAACTTGGCCTCAAGCAATCCTCCTGCCTCAGCCTCCCAAGAAGCTAGGACTACAGGTGCACACCGCCACATTTGGCTAATTTTTTTTTTTTTTTTAAAGATATGAGGTCTTGCTATGTTGTTCAGGCTGGTCTCCAACTCCTGGGCTCAAGCAATCCTTCTGTCTCAGCCTCTCAAAGCACTAGGATTGCAGGTGTGAGCTACTGTACCTGGCCTTTATTTATTTATTCATTGAGACAGAATCTTGCTCTGTCACCCAGGCCAGAGTGCAATGGCACAATCTCTGCTCACTGCAACCTCCACCTCCTAGGTTCAAGTGATTCTCGGCTCACTGCAACCTCCACCTCCTGGATTCAAGCAATTCTCCTGCCTCAGCCTCCCGAGTAGCTGGAATTACAGGCATGCACCATCACCCCTGGCTAATTTTTGTATTTTTAGTAGAGATGGGCTTTCACCATGTTGGCCAGGCTGGTCTTGAATTCCTGGCCTCAAGTGATCCTCCCGCCTCGGTCTCCCAAAGTTGTTGGGATTACAGGCGTGAGCCACTGCGCCCGACACCTACATTTATTTTTAATTAAACAATGGAAACATTTTCTATTTTCCTTATAAGAAATTCATAGCTTTCCTGTAATCATACAAACTGGCATTTATTATGTGTCAAAAGAAACTCATTGGCCGGGCGCGGTGGCTCACGCCTGTAATTCCAGCACTTTGGGAGGCCGAGGCAGGCAGATCACAAGGTCAGGAGATTGAGACCATCTTGGCTAACGTGGTGGAACCCCGTCTCTACTAAAAATACAAAAAATTAGCTGGGCGTGGTGGCGGGCACCTGTAGTCCCAGCTACTCGGGAGGCTGAGGCAGGAGAATGGCGTGAACCCGGGAGGCGGAGCTTGCAGTGAGCCGAGATTGTGCCACTGCACTCCAGCCTGGGCGACAGAGCAAGACTCCGTCTCAAAAAAAAAAAAAAAAAAAAAAAAAGAAACTCATTTAATCCTCACAATAACCTCCAGGAGATGGTGTCCTATGATGCCCAGTTATAGATAAGGAAACTGAAGCCCAGAGAGGTAAAGTCACCCACCCAAGGTCACACAGCTGGGGAGCAGCAGAGCTTAATGTGATGCCAAGTCACGCCTCCTTAAACACTTCCTTCCACCATCCAGTCCCCTCATTCCTCCCTGGATCCCCTAAATCCAACCTATCCCCTGAGGTCACCATCATTGTCACCTTAGTGTCACCTCCCAGACCTCTTCCAACATATCTCCTAACAGAAACTGTTTACATACCAAAAAACGTAGAGCTTTTGTCAAAGCTTTGCTTTTTACAAATTCTAGTTTCTTGGGTGAGGTCCCAGAGACTATGCCAGTCAAAGTGTGGCCTCCTAGCCAGCAGCACCACATGACATGGAACTTGTTAGCCATACAACTACTTGGGCGTGACTGCAGGCTGTAATCAAAAGCTCTGGGAATGGGACTCAGTCATTTGGGCTTTCACAAGCCCTCCAGGTAATTCTGAGTCACTCATACTATATATATTCTGCCCTTTTCTGTTTCTGCTCAATGCTATATCTTGGTAATGATTCTATATAGAAATTTGACTCATTCCGTTTTAACAGCTGTATAGTATTCCATTGTATACATTCATTCTTTCATCTAATATTTCTTTTTAAAAAATAGACAGCTGGGTGCAATGGCTCATGCCTGCAATCCCAGCACTTTAAGAGACCGAGGCGGGAGGACTGCTCAAGCCCAGGAGTTCGAGACAAGCCTATGCAACACAGGGAGACCCTGTCTCTACAAAAAAATACAAAGATTAGCGGGGGTGTGGTGGCATGTGCCTGTAGTCCCAGCTACTTGGGAGGCTGAGGTGGTAGGATCACCTGAGCCCAGGAGGTGAAGGCTGCAGTGAGCCGTGATCGTGCCACTGCAGTCCAGCCTGGTGAGACAGTGAGACCTTGTCTCAAAAATAAAATAAAAAAGACCAGGCACAGTGGCTCACGCATGCAATCCCAGCACTTTGGGAGGCTGAGGTGGGCGGATGACTTGTAGTCAGGAGTTCGAGACCAACCTGGCCAACATGATGAAACCCTGTCTCTACTAAAAACACAAAAATTAGCCAAGTGTGGTGGGACATGCTTGTCATCCCACCTGCTTGGGAGGCTGAGGCAAAAAAAAAAAATCACTTGAACCTGGGAGGTGGAGGCTGCACCACTGCACTCCAGCCTGAGCGGTAGAGCTAGATTCCATCTCAAAAATAAATAAATAAATAAATAAATAAATAAATAAATTTCATATATATACATATATGTGTATATACATGTGTGTATATATAGTGTATATATGTGTATATATATGTGTGTATATATATATGTGTGTTTGTGTATATATATATATATATATATAGAGAGAGAGAGAGAGAGAGAGAGACTGGGTCTCACTATGTCGCCTAGGCTGGTCTTGAACTCTCGGCCTCCAGCGATCCTCCCGCCTTGGCACTTCCAGAGTGCTGGGATGATAGGCATAAGCCACCACACCCAGCCCATTAAATATTTCCTGAGCACCCACTTTGTGCCAGGCACTGTTCTAGGCACTGGGTGGGGGTGCACCTGTGAGCTAAACAGACAAATCTCCGCGTTCCTAGGGCTGACATTCTAGTGAGAGATTCAACAAACAAATGATACCTTGATGTATACTTTTATTTTATTTTAGTTGTTTTTGGAGATGAAATCTTACTGTCGCCCAGGCTGGAGTGCAGTGGCGTGATCTCGGCTCACTGCAACCTCCGCCTCCCTGGTTCAAGCAATTCTCCTGCTTCAGCCTCTTGGGTAGCTGGGATTACAGGCACACACCACCACACCTGGCTATTTTTTGTATTTCTAGTAGAGACGGGGTTTCACCATGTTGGCCAGGCTGATCTTGAACTCCTGACCTCAAGTGATCCTCCCTGCCTTGGCCTCCCAAGGTGCTGGGATTACAGGCGTGAGCCACCGAGCCTGGCCTGATGTATAATTTTAAATCAAGAGGTCATTACTGATATGTAGAAAAAACCCGAAAAGCAGGGCAACGGGGTACACAATGACAGGGGAGCTATTTTGGAAAGGTGTCAGAGAAGAGATCACCAAAGATCTGAATGAAGCAAGGAAGGTATGTGGGGGAAACATTCTCCCGAGGTAGGCGCATACATGGTATGTTCGAGGGACGGTGGCAAGGCCAGGCGTGGCTAGAGGGGAGTGAGCATGCCAGTGATTTGTGACGGACGTGACATGGGGTACATGGTAGGTCCGAGAGATTTTTTTTTAGTTACTTCCTGATGCTGCACAATTCAGCTGCTTTTTTGAGTTCCGCTCAAAGATGACTTCACTGTGAGCATCTCAATATACCCAGGGCAGGAGCCCAGAGTGGAAGGATTTGTTGACCTTCCTCAAATAAACAGGCCCGGATGGGGGCTTCTGTTCTAGGGGGATGGGAGAGGCTGGGCCCTGGAGAGACTGGGATGGGGCGGGGGGGTTGTGGCTGCCGGGGAGCCGGCCAGTCTTTCTGCCCTAAATAGGCAGGGTTGGGTGCCTGCCCTCCCAAACCCTCCTCCCCACTTCCCTCCCTCCTGCGGTCCAGACAAGCCGCTTTTGTCTGAGGGTCAACCGTCAGCCCGAGGCTGCCTGCTGCTACCCGGCCTCACTCAGACCCATGTGAGACTTTTTCTGGCTCTGACCCTCTCTTTTCTAAAATGAGATTAAGTCCTAATGTCTTGGAGACCCCATCCGTGAGAAGTGCTCTTTTCCTGCAGCAAGAAGGATCCAGGGTAGACTCATGGAAATTTCTTTTTCTTTTTTCCTTTTTTTTTTTTTTTGTCAGTCTTGCTGTGTTGCTTAGGCTGGAGTGCAATGGTGTGATCTCGGCTCACTGCAACCTCTGCCTCCTGGGCTCAAGCAATCCTCCCGCCTCAGCCTCTCTAGTAGCTGGGACTACAGGCGCAAACCACCACGCCCCGCTAGTTTTTGTATTTTTAAGGGAGACAAGGTTTCACCATATTGGCCAGGCTGGTTCCAACTCCTGACCTCATGTGATCCGCCCGCCTCGGCCTCCCAAAATGCTGGGATTACAGGCGTGAGCCACTGCGCCCGGCCTGACTCCCCGAAATTTCTCATGGCGATGAGGAAAGGTAGACTCACTGGAGCTTCCTGGTGGGAGTGGACCAAAGGCAGAAGGAGGATGTGGTCTCTAGGGCAAAGGAACGTGCTGGGATGGCTGCTGCAGTACCAGTAAGGCTAGACTCACAGGACTGTCTAGGAGGCTTGGGAGGTTCTTTCTGAAGGGAGAGCAAAGACGTTTATGAGTCGTGGTCAGCCTATTTTACCCATATGGGGGAAAGAGGCAATCTGCAGCAGGAAGGACTTAAGGAAGACTCACAAAAGGACCTTCTCTTGGTGATAAGGGGCAATGGGCGTATCTGAGAAAGAAGGTCAAAGACGGGGAGAGGCTGGGCGCAGTGGCTCATGCCTGTAATCCCGGCACTTTGGGAGGCTGAGGCAGGTGGATCACCTGAGGTCAGGAGTTCAAGATCAGCCTGGGCAACATGGTGAAACCCTGCCTCTACTGAAAACACAAAAATTATCTGGGCGTGGTGGCGGGCGCCTGTAATCCCAGCTACTCAGGAGGCTGAGGTGGGTGAATTGCCTGATCCCGGGAGGTAGAGGCTGCAGTGAGCTGGGATCACGCCACTGCCCTCCAGCCTAGGCGACAGAGTGAGACCCTATCTCAAAATAAATAAATAAATAAATAAATAAATAAAAATAAAAAAAGAAAAACTTGGAGAAGAAGGCAGACCTATGACTAAGGGATCTGGGGGTCCTGGACACCACCTTTTAGCAGTAAACTGTCCTTACAGCAATCCTGAAGTTAGACTCAAAGAGGGACATTCTAATCAGGGTTGAGGGGCTCTGAGCACAGATTGGGGGTAGCAACTGATAAAGACAGGGCAAGAGATGGGGGTTTTCTGAGGCCTCATCACACCTAAGAGGGAATGAGATGGGGCTGCAGCATGAAGGACTGGAGTTGGAACGTCAGAAGGACTTTCTAATGGGGATGAAGGGACACAGATCTTGAGGGGGTCCTGGGACTGAGGTACTGCTTTTATCCTTTGAAGCGAGAGCCTCATTGTCAAAGTGAAACTCTGCCCATGAGCTCGTGGAATAGGGGACCAGTCGGCAGAGGACTGGGGGCCTTCTGACCATCCTTCTCTCCCTATGCCTTCAGGAGGCCCTGCCTGGTCTCGTCTGGGACCTGGGACAGCAGCTGGGAGACCTGAGCCTGGAGTCTGGGGGCCTGGAACAGGAGAGCGGGCGTAGCTCGGGTGAGCATGGATGGAGGGGTAGGGTTTGCCTGGGACGCCTCCATGTTCCCCGTATCCCTATTTCTGAGGCCCCCTGTGTCTCTCCCCACGCCATCTCCTCCTTTCCCCAGCTCTGGTTTTCCCACCCAAACCCCCTGAAGTCTCTCTGCTTCTCCTGGAAATTTAGGCTTCTATGAAGATCCCAGCTCTACAGGAGGTCCAGATTCACCACCCTCAACCTTCTGTGGGGACAGTGGCTTCTCTGGATCCAGCTCCTATGGTCGCCTGGGTCCCTCTGAGCCCCGGGGCATCTATGCCAGTGAGAGGCCCAAGTCCCTAGGTAAGGTGGGTGAGGGTGGGGCCCTGGGGCCAGGGAAAGGACAGTAGGAGGATGGTTGTGGGCACAGACTTCCGAATCGGGCCTGGATTCCAATTCCAGCTGTGACATTTCCTTTTCACATGGTTATGAGCAGGTCTCTTATTTCTGGGTCTCTGTTTTTCCATCTGTTAAAATGAAATATGGCTGGGTGCGGTGGCTCACGCCTGTAATCCCAGCACTTTGGGAGGTGGGCGGATCACTTGAGGCCAGGAGATTGAGACCAGCCTGGCCAACATAGTGAAACCCCGTCTATACAAAAATTAGTTGGGCGTGGTAGCGAACACCTGTAATTCCAGCTACTCGGGAGGCTGAGGTGGGAGGATCGCTTGAACCTGGGAGGTGGAGGTTGCAGTGAGCCAAGATTGTGCCACTGCCCTCCAGTCTGGGTGACAGAGCAAGACTCTGTCTCAAAATAAATAAATAAATAGGCTGGGCACAGTGGCTCATGCCTGTAATCCCAACACTTTGGGAGGCCAAAGCAGGTGGATCACCTGAGATCAGGAGTTCGAGACCAACCTGACCAATATGGTAAAATCCTGTCTCTACTAAAAATACAAAACTTAGCTAGGCGTGGTGATGTGTGCCTGTAGTCCCATCTACTCTGAAGACTGAAACAGGAGAATTGCTTGAGCCCTGGAGGTGGAGGTTGCAGTGAGCCAAGATGGAGCCACTGCACTCTAGCCAGGGTGACAGAGTGAGACTCCATCTCAAAAAATAAATAAATAAATATAAAATGGTATAATAACAGTGCCTCAATAGCCAGGCATTGTGGTGCATGCCTGTATCCCAGCTACTTGGGAGGCTGAGCCAGGAGGATTGCTTGAACCTGGGAGGCAGAGGTTGCAGTGAGCTGAGATGGTGTCACTGCGCTCCAGCCTGGGTGACAGAGCAAGACTCTGCCTCAAAAAGATAAAAATAAAACACCAACCACACACACACACACACACACACACACACACACACACACACACACACAAACAGTGCCTGCCCTAAGGGGATATTTTTGAATATTCAGTGAGCCTCTGCTCTAAGGCATTGGACTTGGTGCATGGCAGTCACTGGTAAACAGGAACTGCTGTCATTCATTCATACAAGTAAGTTTTTGAGCCCCCACTATGTGCTACCTAGCAGTATCCCAGGAGCAATGAACAAAATGAACAGTAATGAACAAAACAGGCAAATCCCTGCCCTCAGGAAACTGCCAGCCTAGTTGGAGGAATAGATAAAATACAGGATAAATGGCCAGGCGCGGTGGCTCATGCCTGTAATCCCAGCACTTTGGGAGGCCGAGACGGGCAGATCACGAGGTCTGGAGTTCCAGACCAGCCTGACCAACATGGTGAAACCCCGTCTCTACAAAAAATACAAAAATTAGCTGGGCGTGGTGGCGCGTGCCTGTAATCCCAGCTACTCAGGAGGCTGAGGCAGGAGAATCGCTTGAACCTGGGTGGCAGAGATTGCAGTGAGCTGAGATCATGCCACTGCACTCCAGCCTGGGTGACAGAGCGAGACTTCGTCTAAAAAATAAATAAATAAATAAATAAATAAATAAATAGATAAATAAATAAACCAGGATAAATAAGTAAAATATCTAGGGTACGAAATAATGCCATGTGCTATGACAAGAAATAAGCCGGGGAAAGGGACTCAGAAGTGTCCCTTTGAGTTTGGGGAGGGAAGTGCAATTTTAGAAAATATGGCTGGGGAGGGCTTCACTGAGACTGTAACATTTGAGTTGTGCCCTGAACTAAGTGGGGGAGTGGACCTAGCAGATATCCAGAAGGAAGAGCATTCCGGGCATCTGGAATCTGGAATGGGAAGCAGAAAGGCTCTGAGGCCAGAATGTGACTGGCGCCTGCTTTCAGGAGGCCAGTGTGGCTGGAGTCCTATAAGTAGAGGAGAAGGGTCAGCTCAGTGGTTCATGCCTGTAATCCCAGCACTTTAGGAGGCTGAGGCGGGAGGATTATTTGAGCCTGGGAGCTGGAGACTAGACTGGGCAACACAGTGAGACCCCATCCCTACAAAAAATAAAAAAATCAGCAGGGCATGGTGATGCGTTCCTGTAGTCCCAGCCGTTCAGGAAGATAAGGCGAGAGGATCCCTTGAGCCCAGGAGCTGGAAACTGCAGTGAGCTATGATTGCGCCACTGCACTCCAGCCTGGGTGACAGAGCAAGCAAGAACCTGTCTTAAAAAAAAAAGGCCAGGCGCAGTGGCTCACACCTGTAATCCCAGCACTTTGGGAGGCCGAGGCGGGAGGATCACGAGGTCAGGAGATCGAGACCATCCTGGCGAACACGGTGAAACCCCGTCTCTACTAAAAATACAAAAAAATTAGCCGGGCGTGGTGGCGGGCGCCTGTAGTCCCAGCCACTCAGGAGGAGAATGGCATGAACCCGGGAGGCGGAGCTTGCAGTGAGCCGAGATCGGGCTACTGCACTCCAGCCTGGGCGACAGAACGAGACTCCGTCTCAAAAAAAAAAAAAAAAAAAAAATAGGGGGTAAGATGTTGTGAGAGTTGGAGAGGCAGAGGCAGAGGCAGGACAAGTCACGCAGGGTCTTGTAGGACCCTGTAAAGATTTTATTATGAATTTTACAAGAAGGAAGGTGTGAGAGCAGGGTTTTTGCTGCGATGAGGATGGAAGGGAGGGAGGCAACCCGCCCCTTCCGGGCTGGATGAGAAATGGGAAAGGACTTTGAGAGCCCCTCCACTCTCTCTTTTTTTTTTTTTTTTGGCCTTCCTTCCCTAGGAGACGCCAGTCCCAGCGCTCCGGAGGTGGTGGGCGCGCGGGCAGCGGTGCCGCGGTCCTTCTCAGCGCCCTACCCGACGGCAGGGGGGTCCGCCGGCCCGGAGGCCTGCTCCTCGGCGGAGCGGCGGGCCCGCGCCGGGCCCTTTCTGACGCCCAGCCCCCTGCACGCCGTGGCGATGCGCAGCCCGCGGCCCTGCGGCCGCCCTCCCACCGACTCGCCCGACGCGGGGGGCGCAGGGCGGCCCCTGGACGGCTACATCTCGGCGCTCCTGCGCAGGCGCCGCCGCCGGGGGGCGGGCCAGCCCCGGACCAGTCCCGGGGGCGCGGACGGCGGCCCGCGGCGCCAGAACAGCGTGCGCCAGCGGCCGCCCGACGCGTCTCCGTCCCCCGGCAGCGCGCGACCCGCGCGGGAGCCCTCGTTGGAGCGCGTCGGGGGCCACCCCACCAGCCCTGCCGCCTTGAGCCGCGCCTGGGCGTCGTCGTGGGAGTCGGAGGCGGCACCCGAGCCCGCTGCGCCGCCCGCCGCCCCCTCACCCCCCGACAGCCCGGCTGAGGGCCGCTTGGTGAAGGCGCAGTACATCCCGGGCGCGCAGGCGGCCACCCGAGGCCTCCCTGGCCGCGCCGCCCGCCGCAAACCGCCGCCACTGACCCGCGGCCGCAGCGTGGAGCAGTCACCACCCCGGGAGCGTCCCCGGGCCGCCGGCCGCCGTGGACGCATGGCCGAGGCTTCGGGCCGCCGCGGCTCGCCCAGGGCCCGCAAGGCCTCGCGCTCCCAGTCTGAGACCAGCCTGCTGGGCCGCGCCTCCGCGGTCCCTTCGGGGCCCCCTAAGTACCCCACGGCGGAGCGGGAAGAGCCTCGGCCTCCACGGCCACGCCGCGGCCCAGCGCCCACGCTGGCGGCCCAGGCCGCAGGGTCCTGCCGTCGCTGGCGCTCCACTGCGGAGATCGACGCTGCCGATGGGCGCCGCGTGCGGCCCCGAGCCCCTGCGGCGCGTGTTCCCGGCCCCGGCCCGTCCCCGTCAGCTCCCCAGCGTCGTCTGCTTTACGGCTGCGCGGGCAGCGACTCCGAGTGCTCGGCTGGGCGCCTGGGGCCCCTGGGACGCCGGGGGCCTGCGGGAGGCGTCGGCGGGGGTTACGGGGAGAGCGAATCGAGCGCCAGCGAGGGAGAATCGCCTGCCTTCAGCTCTGCCTCCAGCGACTCAGACGGCAGCGGTGGCCTCGTGTGGCCGCAGCAGCTGGTGGCGGCCACCGCGGCCTCTGGGGGTGGAGCAGGTGCAGGGGCGCCCGCAGGCCCCGCCAAAGTCTTCGTGAAAATCAAAGCTTCCCACGCGCTCAAGAAAAAGATACTGCGTTTCCGTTCGGGTTCTCTCAAGGTCATGACTACAGTGTGAGTTTGGGGATTTGCTTGGGCTCCCCCTTCATGGCCTCTGCACCTCCACACTCCCAACCACTGACCCTTCCACATCTACCTTCCAAAGACCATCGTTTTCTCTGCTTCCAAAGACCCCCCTCACTCTCCCCACTCCTAACAGTCTTGGTTGAAAAGGCTCCCCCACCACCACCGAGAGGAATGGGGAGGAGCCCTGTTTGACCCAGTTCAGCTTCTAGCTTGGAAGCCCTTGGGCAAGACAGTTCCCCTTCTCTGGGCGTCACTTTCCTCATCTGTACAGTAAGTGTCCATGTATGCAAAAGGGGTAATTCGGTTTGAATTTCCCCGTTTTAGTTTAGAAGCCTAGTCTGTTTGTTCCCCTCCACCGCTCTCCCTCTCATTCCTGATGAGCCCTCTCATTCCTCCTTTCCTTGCCCAGCTATGGCCCCCTCTCATTCACAAAGTGCCCCCTCCATGTCCCTGGACCCTTAAGATATCCCCTTGGCACCCTGGTCAGAGACTCTGTGTCTGACTCAGGTGGTCCCTGCAGAGTGCCCTGGGAAGGGAAGGAGCACTGATTTGGGGGTTTTGAGGGTCAAGTAGGGGTTGGTAACACCTGGAAAGAAGGACTCTTTCACTTCGATCCCTGGACAATTATGGAGGATTCGGAGGTAGAAGAGGGGAAGGAAGATGGTTTCTATCTCATGACCCCCACTCCCTGTGAGAGGGAATGGGGGAAGCCTGATGACCCTCAGCTGTTCCAATCTAGTATTTTTTTTCTTTTTTAAAATTACTGTATTTATTATGACGATGGTGACTCCCCAGTGCAAAGGGGGGCCAGATTCTGTGTGTTTCTCTAACCTCTTTGTAAATAAATGCACAGTGTAACATATGTGGTGGACTCTCACTGAATGATTAAATGGGAGAAATGCTCTTTTTCCTTTGGACTAACATTTATTGAGCAACTTCTGTTTGCTGTGGATATGGCAGTTTCCAGGGAGGTCCCAGGGTGAATCTCAACATCATCTTCCTACCATTGGCTATTTTACATCAAGGAATCTAACCTTTGATTGGGTTATGTTTGGTTATAAATACGATTTCAGGCGGGATGTGATGGCTCATGCCTATAATCCCAGCACTTTGGGAGGCAGGGGTAGGGGGATATCTTGAGCCCAGGAGTTCAAGACCAGCTTGGGCAACATGGTAAAACCCCATCTCTACAGAAAATACAAAAATTAGCTGGGTGTGGTAGGTCATTCCTGAACTATCAGCTGCTCAGGAGGCTGAGGTGGGAGAATCATGTGAGTCTGGGAGGCCCAGGCTGCAGTGAGCCATGATTGTGTCACTGCACGCCAGCGTGGATGACAAGCAAGACCCTGTCTCAAAAAACAAAAAAATATGGTTTCACAAAAATGGGAACAGCATGGGAAACAGACAGCCCCTAAATCCCCTCTCTGACGGTCATCATAATCAGCAGTTCGATGTGCATCCTCCCATGTTTATGTGTTTGCATATATATATGAATCTAAATAACTATATAAATATATATGTATGAATATACATATAGTTATATATGTAATATATGTGTGAAATTATATATTTACATAAATTGAACTATATGTATGCAGTGTTTATCACTTCTTTGTGTGAAATCTCTGTGCCTGAAGATTTCTTTATGAGGAGGGTTTAAATTAAGGATTGAATTTCTTTGATAGTTATAGTACTATTTAGGTTTTCTATTTTTTCTTGTGTCAGTTTTGCTAGGCCCTATTCATCTAAGAATTTGTCCATTTCGTCTAAATCTACTTATTTTTTCTTTTGTTTTTTGAGATGGGGTCTTGCTCTATTACCCAGGGTGGAGAGCAGTGGTGTGATGATGACTCACTGTAGCATCAACCCTCAGGCTCAAACAGTCCTCCCACTTCAGCCTCCTGAGTAGCTGGGACCACAGGTCCACGTCACCCTGCCCAGCTATTTTTAAACTTTTTGTAGAGATGGGATCTCCTTATGTTGCCCAGGCTGGTCTTGAACTCGTAGGCTGAAGTGATCCTCCTGCCTTGGCCTCCCAAAGTGTTAGGATTACAGATGTGAGCCACCATGTCTGGCCCATTTCATCTAAATTTAGGTAACACATTTTCCTATCACTATATTATTATTGATAGGTGCATATAAGACTCCATTATGGCCAGGTGAGGTGGCTCACACCTGTAATCCCAGCACTCTGGGAGGCCAAGGCAGGTGAACCACCTGAGGTCAGGAGTTCGAGACCAGCCTGGCCAACATGGCAAAACCCTGTCTCTACTAAAAATACAAAAATTAACCAGGTGTGGTGGCGTGTGCCTATAGTCCCAGCTACTCGGGAGGCTGAGGCAGGAGAATCACTTGAACCTGGGAGGTGTAGGTTGTAGTGAGCCAAGATCACTGCACTGCACTCCAGCCTGGGTGACAGAGTGAGACTCCATCTCAAAAAAAAAAAAAAAAAAAAAAGAAGACTCCATTATGGGGATTCTCATAATCTAACCCTATTGTCAGCTCTCCAATTCTTTTGCTATTATGAATCTTGCTACAGTAATGTCCTTGTATTTGCCTCTTTGTGCATGTCTGTGTGTATTTTTATAGGACCCATTCCTAGAAATAGAGTTGCTTGGTCATTAATAGTATGCCAATTTAAGAACTTTTAATGGACACTGCCACACTTCCATCCATTAGCACTGCCCCCAGCTGACATTTCTAACAGCAGTTTTTCAGATGTCTGTTTTCTACCCCTTCACCAAACGATAGATGCTATTGATCATTTTCATTTTGCAAATCTTATGGGGAGAAACTGTGTTCTGTTTTAATTAGCACGTTTCCTCCCTTTTCCTTGAGGTAACACATAGTTTTGGGTGCTTATTGGCTCTTGCATTTCCTCTTATGTGAATTGCCTTTTTACTCTTTTCCTTCCTTCCTTCCTTCTTTCCTTCTTTCCTTCCTTCTTATTTTTTATTATTTTTTTTTGAGACAGGGTCTTGATCTGTCACCCAGCCTGGAGTGCAGTGGTATAGCTCACTGCAGCCTCGAACTCCTGGGCTTCAGCAATCCTCCCACCTCAACCCCCCTGAGCAGCCGGGACTAACAGGCATGCACCACAACGCCTGGCTAATTTTCCAATTTTTTGTAGAGATGAACTCTCACTATATTGCCCAGGCTGGCCTTGAATTCTTGACCTCAAGCAATCCTTGCACCTTGGCCACCAAAAGTGTTAGGATTTCAGGCGTGAACCACCGTGCTCGTCCTGTTTTTCTATTGGGTATGTAAAATTATACTCAGTTCTCAGGTGGGTAAATGGAGGCTTAGAGAAGAGCCATTACTTTCCCTGGTCACAAAGCAAGGGGGATCCAGGGCTAGGACCCAGCCCCCACCTGAATCCACAGTCAGAAGGATGGGGTGTGTGTTGCTGCTTTGACCTTTGAATCTGCATGGGTAGATCTACCTCCCTTTGAGCTCGGAAAGAGCAGGGACCAGGCCTGCTGTGTTCACTTGTATCTTCAGCGCCCAGCCAGGCACTGGGGTTAGAGCAGGGGACAAAACAGGAAAAAAAAACCCTGCCCTACGGAGCTTCTATGGTGGGGGTAGGGTGAGGGATAGACCTATGTTTCACTTAGAGTAATAATGAATAAAAGTTATTTTTAAAAGTTTTTCCAGGAAAAGCTATTGCTTGGCAGGTCCTTGGGAACAATTACTCCAACTTCATTCCATAAAAGGGGCAACTGAAGTCAGAAAGGAGAAGAGATTTGTTTGTCTAGGGCTACATAGGTCACTTAGTGGCCAAAATGGTTGAAGTAAATATGGATGGATATTTAAGGGTCTCCCTTTTAAGGTTTTAGTGCTTACAAAAAATAACAGCTAACACTTATTTGAGCACTTATGACGTGCTGGACTCTATTCTCACCACTTTACACATATTGACCCATTTAATCCTCTCCACCTGTATTAGTCTGTTTTCATGCTGCTGATAAAGATATAACCTGAGACTGGGTAATTTTTAAAGAAAAAGAGGTTTCATAGACTCACAGTTCCACGTGGCTGGGGGGGCCTCACAATCATGGCGGAAGGTGAAAGTCACGTCTCACCAGGTCAGGAGTTCGAGACCAGCCTGGCCAACACGGTGAAACCCTGTCTCCACTAATAATTAAAAAATTAGCCGGGCGTGGAGGCTGGGCGCAGTGGCTCACGCCTGTAATCCCAGCACTTTGGGAGGCCGAGGCGGGCGGATCACGAGGTCAGGAGATCGAGACCACCTGGCTAACACACTGAAACCCTGTCTCTACTAAAAATACAAAAATTAGCCGGGCGCGGTGGCGGGCGCCTGTAGTCCCAGCTACTCAGGAGACTGAGGCAGGAGAATGGTGTGAACCCAGGAGGCGGAGCTTGCAGTGAGCCGAGATCGCGCCACCGCACTCCAGCCTGGGCGACAGAGTGAGACTCCGTCTCAAAAAAAAAAAAAAAAAAAAAAAAGAATTAGCCAGGTGTGGTGGTGGGCGCCTGTAATCCCAGCTACTTGGGAGGCTGAGGCAGGAGAATCACTTGAACTTGGGAGGCAGAGGTTGTAAGGTTGTAGTGAGCCAAGATCACACCACTGAACTCCAGCCTGGGTGACAGAGTGAGACTCCATCTCAAAAACAAACAAACAAACAAACAAACAAAAATGTATCTGAAGCTCATAGGTGGCAAAGCCAGGATTCAAATTCAGGCACACTATTTTCAGAGTTCATGGCCTTAGTCAGTGCCCTACATGGTCTATTTGCTGGAACCATGATCTTAAAAAGGATATACCAGGAATGGGTCCCAGGGAGGGAAGCTGGGGGTGGTGGTGGTGGTACCATAATAAATATATTCTATAGTTTGTTAAAGGTGATGACTATAGGGAAAAACTGACCAGAGATATGAGGGGATTGGGTGGGGTGGTGAAGCGGGGAGTTTGTAATTTTACTTATTATTTTTTGAGATAGGGTCTCACTTTGTCACCCAGGCTGGAGTGCAGTGGCATAACCATGGCTCACTACAACCTTGACCTCCTGGGCTAAAGGGATCCTTCTGCTTCAGTCTCCCAAGCAGCTTGGCACACACCACCATGCATGGCTAATTTTTATTTTTTTTGGCAGAGGCAGGGTCTCACCATGTTGCCCAGGCTGGTCTCCAACTCCTAGTCTCAAGTGATCCTCCTGCCTAAGCCTCCCGAAGTGTTGGGATTACAAGCATAAGCCAGTGTGCCTGGCCAAGGGAGTGTGTAATTTTAAGTAGAGTGATCAAGAATGGTCTAATTGAGAAGATGGTGGCTCATGCCTGTAATCCCACCACTTTGGGAGGCCGAGGCAGGTGGATCACCTGAGGTCAGGAGTTTGAGACCACCCTGGCCAACATGGTGAAACCTCGTCTCTACTAAAAATACAAAAGTTAGCCAGGCGTGGTGGCATGTGCCTGTTGTCCCAGCTACTCGGGAGGCTGAGGCAGGAAAATCGCTTGTACCCGGGATGCAGAGGTTGCAGTGAGCCGAGATCGCGCCATTGCACTCCAGCCTGGGTGACAGAGCAAGACTCCGTCTAAAAAAAAAAGAATGGTCTAATTGAGAAGATGACATTTGAACAGAGACCTGAAGGAGGTGGAGGAGTGAGACTTATGAATATCTTGGGGAAGAATATCCTGGGCAGAGGAAATAGCCAGTGCAAAGGCCCTGAGGCAAAACTCTGCCTGGCATGTTGGCAAAACAGCAAGGAGGCCAGCTGGAGTGGGGAGGTGAGAGGGAGAAGAGGTAAGGACTGTCACATCATGGGGGCCTCGTGGGCTATGGTGGGGATTTTGGTTTTTATTTCCTGGCACCCATGGGAGAATTCTGAGCATATAAAAGAGAGTTTTTAAAGTTTTTTTTTTGGTGGGGGGGAGGGTTAATAGCTGTACTGAGATATATTCACCTACCAAAAAATTTACCCACGTAAAGTATACAGTTCAATGTTTTTAAATATATTGAATATAAAAGACATTCAGTATTTTAGTGGCCAGGCGTGGTGGCTCATGCCTGTAATCCCAGCACTTTAGGAGGCTGAGGTGGGCAGATCACTTGAGATCAGGAGTTCAAGAGCAGCCTGGGCAACATGGTGAAACCCCATCTGTACTAAAAATACAAAAATTAGCTAAGCATGGTGGTGCACGCCTGTAATCCCAGCTACTTGGGAGGCTGAGGCAGGAGAATCTCTTGAACTTGGGAGGCGGAGCTTGCAGTGAGCCGAGATCACGCCACTGAACTTCAGCCTGGGCAACAGAGCAAGACTCAGTCTCAAAAAAAAAGAAAAAACCAGTATTTTAGTATATTCAGAGTTGTGCAAATATCACCACAATGAATTCTAAAACATTTCCATCACCACCTAAAGAAACCCTGCACCACAGCTGCCATCCTCCAACCTTCCCAGCCCCTGGCAACCAGTAATCTACTTTTGCCTTCTATAGATTTGCTAGTTCTGGACATATCATATAAATGGAATCATACAATACAGGCCTTTAGTGACTGGCTTCTTTCACTTAGCCCAGGTTGGAGAGTAGTGGTGCAATCACGGCTCCCTGCAGCCTCTACCTCCTGGGTTCAGGTGATCCTCCCACCTCAGCCTCCTGGGAAGCTGAGACTGCAGGTACATGCCACCGTGCCTGGCTGATTTTTTAATGTTTTTTTGTAGAGACAGGGTCTTGCCATGTTATTCAGGCTGGTCTTGAACTTCTGGGCTCAAGCAACTTGCCTGCCTCGGCCTCCCAAAGTGCCGGGGTTACAGGCGTGAGCCACCGCACCCAGCCAGCATACTGTTTTCAACTTTCATCCATGTTGTAGCAGGTATTAGTACTTCATTTCCTTTTATTGACAAATAATTGATAGTCCATTGTCTGGATAGACCACATTTCATTTGTCCATTCATCAGTTGATGAACGTGTGTTGTTTCCACTTTGGGCTATTATGAATATTGCCTCTGTGAACATTTTTATATACGTGTTTGTATGTTTTTATTGCTCTTGGATATACACCTAGGAGTGGAATTGCTGGGTCATACGTTAACTCTATGTTTAACCTTTTGAGGAACTGCCAGGGTTTTTTTTGTTTTTTTTTTTTGAGATAGAGTCTCACTCTGTCACCCAGGCTGGAGTGCAGTCGTGCGATCTTGGCTCACTGCAACCTTCACCTGCCAGGTTCAAGCGATTCTCCTGCCTCAGCCTCCCAAGTAGCTGGGATTACAGGCGTGCACCACCATGCTCAGCTAATTTTTGTATTTTTAGTACAGATGGGGTTTCACCATGTTGCCCAGGCTGCTCTTGAACTCCTGACCTCAAGTGATCTGCCCGCCTCAGCCTCCCAAAGTGCTGGGATTACAGGCATGAGCCTCCACGCCCGGCCTGCCAGGTTGTTTCCTAAAGCGACTTCACCATTTTACATCCCCACCAGCTTATGAGGGTTCAGGTTGCTCCACATACTCACTTGCTATTATATGGGGACAGTTTGAAACAGTGTCCTTTTGGCTGCTCTGTGGGAAACAGGCTGAGGGGGACAGGGAGAAGATAGGAGGTCAATGCAGAGGTCACTGTAATAGTCCAAGCAGGAGGGAACGGTGTCTGGACCCAAGTGGGGACAGCAGAGGAAGTGAGAGGGATTGGATTCTGGAATTGCTTTGAAGATAAAGCCAACAGGATGTCTTACTTGGTGACTTGTGGAGTGTGAGAGAAGGCGGGGAGTCAAGGATGACCCCAGCCCAGGTGTGGTGGCTCACAGTTCAGGACCAGCCTAAGCAACATAGCCAGACCCTGCCTCTAAAAAAAAATAAAAAGTTAGGCTGGTTACAGTGGCTCACGCCTGTAATCCCAGCACTTTGGGAGGCTGAGGCAGGTGGATCACTTGAGGCCAAAGTTTGAGACCAGCCTGGCCATCATGGTGAAATCCCATCTCTACTAAAAATACAAAAAAAGTAGCCGGATTTGGTGGCACATGCCTGTGATCCCAGCTACTCAGGAGGCTGAGGCATGAGAATTGCTTGAGCTTGGGAGGCGGAGGTTGCAGCGCGCCGAGATTGTGCCACTGTACACCAGCATGAGTGACAGAGTGAGATTCTGTTAAAAAACAAAACAAAACCTGTTCATGGTTGTGCATGCCTGTAGTCCCAGTTACCGGGGAGGCTGAGGCAGGAGGATCACTTGAGCCCAGGAGTTCAGGCTGCAGTGAGCTATGATTGCACCACTGCACTCCAGCCTGGGCGACAGGCAAGACCCTGTTTCAAAACAACAACAAAAACTCAGAGATTTACCATCACTTGAGATGGGTAAACCTGAAATAAGAGCGAATTTTGGTCGATGGAATCAGCTCAGTATTGGATGCGTTGAGCTCGAGAGACCCACTAAACACCCAGGCGGCTGGGTATTTGATCCTGGAATTCACTCTTGCCGTTTGTTGATGATTTCTTGAATAATTAACGTCAGAACGGAATCCGAATCCAGGGCCTCAGTTTCCTCTTCCAAAAAATGGGGACTGTAATGCCTTCAAGCGCTAGGCTGTCATGAGGCTGGGGCACAGGACAGGAACTGAGGTCATCTGCTGCGGTCTGCAGCTCAGGAGAGGAACGGAGGCTGCGCTCACGGCAGGCAGTGTCTGTCTGTCCGTCTCCCCCATCCCCCAGCTTCTGGCCGCGGTGGAGGAGCGGGAGGGAAGACTGGATCGTCACCCTGTCTTCCCCCTCTCTGAGCTGGTTTCCTCCTCGGGGGCTGCCCAGGCCAGACTGCTGATAGAAACCAGCTGCGAGAGGCGCGGAGGCTCGGCACACGCCCAGGCCCCTCCTCGGCGCCGGCGGACCCCGATGGCGGGGCGAGGAGCGCCTTGGCTCCCCTCCCCTCTTCCGCAGCCGGGCCTGGGGCCCTGGCACGTCCGGCGCGCCTGATGCTTTCCAGATGTGGGCTTGGTTTCCCTCCTTTATCTGGCCCCGTTGAGCCCGCAAGGGGAGGGGGGAGGGGAGCTAGGGTCCGAGACCCAAATCTCCACCAGGGACTCGGGTCGGGGTCCCCTCCCCGCCCGTCTCCCTTCCCTGTCCAGGCGGTGAAAACCGAGTTAGGGTGGGCCGACTGCAGTAAAGATGCTCCTCCCCACCTCCACCTCTTCCTAGGGCTCCCGCCTTCTCCAGGTCCAGAAAGAACCCCAAGCCCCGTCCATCGGGACACGCCCCCAGGTACACCGAGGGGCACGCCCCCTTAGAAACCCCGCCCCGGACCCCTCCCCTTCGGTCGCGCCTCTGCAGGCCCCGCCTCCGTCGTCGGGTCCCCACTGGAAGGCGCCCTCTGTGCATCTCTTTGTCTCTCTGGCCGCCTCTGCCTCCATCTCTGTGTGTCTGCGTCTTCGTCCCTGTCTCTGAGTTTCGGCTTGGGTGTCTCTCTCCTACCCCGGTCTCTCTGTGTCCTGTCTGTCTCTGCCTCTCCTGTCCCTCTCTCCGCAGCGCCCTCCCCGTCTCTGTCTCTCTGAGTCCCTAGCTCGCTCCTTCTCTAAATCTGTGTCCCTATAGCCCCCTGCGTCTCTCTGACTCTCCCTGCATCTCCCTCCCCTGTCTGTGAATTTCTCTGTGTCCATCTTCTGTCCTCTCCCTCCGGTCCCTGGCTCCCTGCCGTGCTTCCTCTGGTCCCGAGTCTCCCCTTCATCTCCCGCCTGGCCCTCCTCCCTGTGGCCACCTCCTCCCTGCGGCCTCTCGGGGCAGGGTGGGCGCCTGGGCGTGCTGCGCGCGCCCTCATGTGGCCGGCAGACGCTGCGTGTGAGCGCCAAAAGGGGAGTGCTGGGGAGCGGGGGACGCTGGTGTTCGCGGTGACACTGGGAAATGGCGTGTGACACCTGGAGGCTGTGTGAGTGTGTACTGCCGGGAGACGGCGTGAGACATCTGGAGAGTGTGTGAGTGTGTACTGCCGTGATGGTGTGTGACTCCAGGAGATCTGTGAGTGTGTACTGCTGTGAGATGGTGTACGACGCCAGGAAACTGTGTGAGTGTCGACTGCCGTGAGATGGTGTGCAGTGCCAGGACCAGGACACCATGAGTGTGTACTGCCATGATGGTGTACTGGTGAGATGGTGTGTGGTGCTGGGAGTCTGTGTGTGACTGATTGATATGAGATTATGTGCGACAAGGAGAGACTGAGTGGGACTGCATATGTCAGAGATGACATGTCGCTGACTGTGTGTGACACTGAGATTACTGGTGATGCTGAGAGATTGTGGGTGACTGTGTGTGCTGATGAAAGGTTATGTGTGATCGGGTGTGGGAGAGACACTCTTTGGGGCTCTGTATGGGACATTGAGAGACCGTATGTGGGAGTGAGAGACCGTGTGTGACGGTGCGTGTGAGGGGGCAGTGTGTGTGGCTGTGTGCAACATGGTGAGCATACGGTGCTGTGTGTGTCACACAAGTAGATTCTGTGTGAGAGAGAGTGAGACTGATGACTGATGTACACTGAGAGGTGGTGTGGGCAGGTGTCATGAGAGGCACATAGGGGGCCTGGGTGGGACAGACACAGTGAGTGTCAGTCTGTGTTGGCCACTCTGTGTATGGCTTGTGAAAAAGTGCGTGATCCGGGCACATTGCTGTAATCCCAGCACTTTGGGTGGCTGAGGCGGGAGGATCCCTTGAGGCCAGGAGTTTGAGATCAGCCTGGGCAACATAGGGAGACCCCTCCCCCCACCCCCGCCGTCTCTACCAAAATAAAAATAAAAGAAATTAACCAGGTGCGGTTATGTACCTCTGTGGTCCCAGCTACTGGGAGGCTGAGGTTGGAGGATCGCTTGAGCCTGGGAAGTGGAGGCTGCAGTGAGCTAAGATCGCGCCACTGCACTCCAGCCTGGGTGACAGAGAGAGAGACCTTGTCTCAAAAAACAAAACAAAACTGCGTGACTATGTGTGACACTGAGCTGGTGAGAGATGGCAGCGTTGTGACAGTGCATGCGAGAGTTTGCGGCTGTGCAGGGCACTCGGAAGCGAGAGCGTGAGGGAGGCCTTGTGTGTAGAAGGCAAGAGATGATGGAGAGGTGGGAGTGAGTGTGTGAAACGCTGCGAGCTTGTGTGGGACTCTGTGAGACACTGAGCCATCGTGGGTAGCTAGGTATGACACCAGGAGATGGGTTGCGTGCGTGTGTGTGACAGGGACAGACTGTGTATGGAGGGAATGTGTCAGATGCGTGTGACACCAGGAGACTGTGAGAGAATGTATGTGACCTTCCATGGTTGTCACTGGACAGGCGACTGGGTGTTACTATGAAATACTATAAAACAGTGTGTACTTGACAGGTTGTATTGGGTAATTGCATGCCACCGTGAGACACAGAAAGTGTGAGACTGGGACAGGGTGTGAGATTGAGAGAGTTTAAATGGCATGCAAGGCCAGGCGCGGTGGCTCACGCCTGTAATCCCAGCACTTTGGGAGGCCGAGGCGGGTGGATGACCTGAGGTCAGGAGTTCAAGACCAGCCTGGCCAACATTGTGAGACCCTGTCTCTACGAAAAATACAAAAATCAGACGGGCGTGGTGTCAGGCACCTGTAATCCCAGCTACTCAGGAGGCTGAGGCAGGAGAATGGCTTGAACCCAGGAGGCGGAGGTTGCAGTGAGCTGAGATTGGGCCACTGCACTCCAGCCTGGGCAACACAGCGAGACTTCATCTCAAAAAAAAAAAAAAAAAAAGGCATGCAAATGTGTGTGACATTTGGAGACATTATGTGTGACACTGTGGTACATTTGGTGCTCTGAGATAATTTATCTGACTGTGTAGCGCTTGGAGCTGCCATTGGTGGCGGCTGTGTGTGGCATTTGGGGCAACCGTGTGAGGTTGTGTTGAGCAAGGTCATTCGTGAGGTTGTGTGGTGCTACCGTGTGACAGGGCAAGATAGTTTTTGTCTGTGTGAGGGACAGTGAGCATGAGGCTGGAGGGGGGTGGTGACACCGAGGTGGCGAGTGTGGCTGAGTGAGCGGCTCTGTGGGACACACTGGAGAGGTTTGTTGTGACTGTGGATTAAATGTAGCGAGGCCCGGGGCCCACCTAGAGAGACTGTGTTTTCTAGTGAGTGTGAGAGAGGCACAGAGAGAGTCACACAATAGGACAGCAGCGGCAGAGACACAGGGAGAGGGACAAAGATAGGACTGACAGACAAGAGAGAGGGCCCAGAGAGGGAGCCCCAAGGTGGCGGGGCGGCGGGGACGGTGGCTCCGGGAGGAGGCGGGTCCGTAGGGGCTGCGCCCCAGGGGAGGGGGCGGGGCGGGCCGGAGGGACCCAGACGCTGCCTCCCAGCCTCTGTCACCGCCGCGAGCCCGGCCCAGAGCAGCAACAGGTAGGAAGCTCCGGTCCCGGCCCCACAGCTGGTCCCTTTGCCTGCTCCGTGGCCACCGTCTCTCCGCCTGGGAATGAATGAGTGAATGAGTGAATGAGTGAGTGAATGAATTCTTCTGCGTCTCCATCAGCCTGTCTCTCGCCTTGTTCCTCTCTCCCACTTTCTGTTTCCATCTCTCCCCAACCCCTCCATCTCCCTCTTTGTCCTTCCCTTCTTTCCTCTGTCCCTCTATCTCCCCGTCTCTGTTCCTTTATCTCCTTGGTGTCTCTGCTCCTTCCTCCCTCCCCCCTTCCTCCATTTCCCCTTCTCTCTCCTTCGTCCCTCCCTCCATCACCCCATCCTCTCCCACCCCATCCGTCCATCTCCTCCATCCTCTCCCACCCCACACCCCCTCCCTCCATCTCCTCCATCCTCTCCCACCCCACACCCCCTCCCTCCATCTCCCCATCCTCTCCCACCCCACACCCCCTCCCTCCATCTCCCCATCCTCTCCCACCCCACACCCCCTCCCTCCATCTCCCCATCCTCTCCCACCCCATCCGTCCATCTCCTCCATCCTCTCCCACCCCACACCCCCTCCCTCCATCTCCCCATCCTCTCCCACCCCACACCCCCTCCCTCCATCTCCCCTGCTCTGTCCCCTCTGTCCCTTTGTCCCCTCGGTGCCTGTCGCCTTGTATCACCCTGTTCCTTGCTCCCCCCTTCATTTGTCCCTCTATTTTCTCCTCCATCACTTCATTCCTCCCCCAGTCTCTCCCTCTCTCTATTCCTCCCCGTCTCTTCATTTCTCCCGTGCCTCAGTCTCTCCCTCCATTACTCTGTCTCTGCCTCTGCGCGTCCCGTTGTCCCTCTGTCCATCCGATAGGCCTCTCCTCAGGTGCCCGAGTTGGGCTCCCCCAGCCCTCTGCCCTGGCTGCTAATGAGCAGAGGAGGCTTTGAGGTGACCAGGGCTAGGGTGGGGGGGCTCCCTGAGGGTGGCGGAGAGGGCAGCTGCTGCCAAGGCCCTAATGAGGCCCCCTCTGTGCCCCTCCCGCCGCGATCTTAATTCCCAGTTCTCCCTGGAGCCACTGCTAATTGGCCTGGGGGAGGGGCCCCCCTCCTGGCTCTCGCTCTGCCCCCGGGGGTGAGGACACCTGGATTCTGATCCAGCACCTGTGGCCCTGTCCTTCTGTCTCAGCCTCCCATCTGTGCGCCCCTCCTTCCCTCCCTCGCCCCTCCCTGCTCTCTCCCCACCTGCCTTAGCTACCTCCATCCGTGCACCCCTCCATCGCTCCTCTTGTTCCTGTCCCCTTCATCTGTCCCTCCCTCCACCAGCCCCTGGCCACCCCATTCA